>NW_018654718.1:348946-697892 GCF_000001405.40 Homo sapiens
AACATATGTTTATATATTTATACCTGATATTAACTAGAATAAATGTTTCAATACTAAGTATACAGACATTTTTTAAAATGCTATTTGTGACTTTGTAAATTGGTTTCATGACCAACTAATGGATTGTGACCTGTAGTTTGAAAAACATAGGGCTGCAGCAACTGAGCAACCACACAAAGCTGACTAGACAACTTTCCATGTTAGTTCACTACCTTTTTCCAGTGTTACTGACCTCTTTGCTCTTAATCACATATGTGCTTCTAAAAACAAGTTTAATCTGTAATATGGGCAATGGAGAATTTTGTGATTAATTCTTGAACTAGTCACACTCTCTCACTTGATTAGCTGTTCTAATTTTGATTTTTCAGCATGAACCCACAGATTCTACTTTGCATTTCCCTCGTACATATAATGAGGCATTGTTTTTCTTTTGTCTGTTAAGTTCCATGATCCTTACACAGATCATTGTCCTCATAATTTTTCAGTCTTTCCATCTTTAAAGTGTAAAGAATAGATCATGGCCTCCAAAGAACGAATTGCTTTGAGCTCATTAGAGAAGACAGGCAATATAGGGGCCATTGTAAAAGCTTAAATGTTCATAAAACAAAAGTGTATACAAGTCTTAGTGATCTGTATGACTACAATTGCAAAGCATTTATGGAGTGCTCACTTGATGAAATTCATTAATTCTTCATGATTTATTATTGCTTCTTGTGTCTGTGCTGAAATTACATGGTCATGTCTTCTCCAGTCTTTGATCTCACTGATGAGTAAGATGAAGATACCCTTACTTTGCTTACGGGGAAAATTTCACATATGTGAACAACATGCTAATATGACCCTTAGTAGAGAAGAGTTAATTTTTTGTGTGTTTAGAGTTAATGAAACAACCCATCTTCTGTTCTAACCTCCTTGTATCTGAACTCTTTTCTCCCAAGTATCTTACACATTCCTATCTCTGTACCTTTGCCCATCTGTCTTCTTAGCTTGGAATGACCTTTTCCTGGAAAACTCACCTCCTGTCTTCTCCCATACAATCCTTTCAGCCTATGAATCCTCATTGCATTCTGTTGCGATTTTTCTTGTGGCACTTAGCTCACTTTATCCTGACTTAGACTTATTTATTTACTACGTTACATATACATTTTTTTCCAATTCTAAAAAAAAACAGTCATTGTAATAAAAGAGAATTGTTATAGAAAATCTAGCCTGAAAACATTATTGCAATTGAACAAGAAATTGGGCTTTGAGTTTCTTGACAGATAAGCAAAAAGGAGGAAATAGTATGTTTCATAAAGTTTTACTTATTTATTTATTTATTTATTTATTTTTTGAGACAGGGTCTTTCTCTGTCGCTCAGGCTGGAGTGCAGTGGCACAATCACAGCTCACTGCAGACTTGACCTCCTGGGTTCAAGCACTCCTCCCACCCCAGCCTCCCAGGTAGCTGGGACCACAGGCTGGTGCCACCATGCCCGGCCAATGTTTTTTATATTTTGTAGTGATGGGGTCTCACTACGTTGCTCAGGATGGAGATGTTATTTTTCATGTTTTGTAGTGATGGGGTCTCACTATGTTGCTCAGGATGGAGATGTTACTTTTTATGTTTTGTAGTGATGGGGTCTCACTACGTTGCTCAGGATGGAGATGTTATTTTTTATGTGCTTATCACCACGTAGTCTCCCTAGCACTTGGTCCAATGCCTTGTACATAATAGAGATTCAATAAATGCTTATTCTTTTGAACTAAACCCTGAGTTAGTTGAATTTACTCATTAAATGTCAGCATTTTTTAAAGAGCTCATGATTTATAAAATAATGAAATCCAAGTTGGGATAAAAAAACGTGCAATAGCAAGTCCTGTTCTCTCAGATTTTATATTCTAAGGGAGATAGAAAAACATGGAAAGGTTTTTGGTTTTTTAACTTTCAAACAAAAAACTCTTGAAGATTAGAAATCATACTCAGAGAAAAAAGATAAATAATGTTGCAATGACTTCAGCATTGCCATATTGTTCATCTCCCTGGCCCACAGAGATTTATTTATTTTTTATTCTTTTTTCCTCCCCACAAAGGCCTAAAGCTCTGACCTTCTAGGATGACGCCAGCCTTCTGCCTTCTTTCTATTTGAATAATCTGTGTTTGTAAAACCAGGTCATCATCACTTAACCAAATATACTAAGTTGCAGGCTCGATATTAGTAAAAGACCATTTCGAATAGGCAAATTCTTTTTTAATCCGTGTAACTTCCATTTCTGTTGGCGCCCAGAGTGCTGGCGTACTTCCACTGTGTTTCCATAAGCCTCATGATGATACCTTGGACAAATATTGGTGACTTCGAGTTTCATGATTATATTATAATTGTCATTATGAGATTAAACATATGCTCACACTTGGTTTTACAAAGTTGGATACTGCAATTTAAAACAAGTTTGTAGAATGATAAAAAAATAATGTTTGGGTCTGGAATTTTTATACCATGGCAATGACTGAGTAAGACAAAATTCAGCATCTAATCAATTAAGGTAATTGTAAGAAGACAGTATGTTTAGATTCTTTGAAAATCAGAATATAACTGAAAACTGGTTTTGTAGGCATGAATGAATGTTTGCATACAAATATAGATTGACTATATCATCACAATTTTAAAACACAAATACACAGTCTGCTTTATTAGTACTCTTTTCTTTGTTGTGTAAATACCCTCTAAGTCTGGCATTTGTCCTGTAGTAGAATATGTTAGAATGGAGAGGAAGAGAGGAGCTTTCAGGATGCCCCTAAGAATTTGTGATTCTGAGATGACTTAGCCTCTGATGCTATGCTTTTGCCATCTGTATGAGTTGCCCTTTTTTTGCTAGGAATTTTATTCCAAAGGATGATAGAAGTGAACAATTAACTCTCTCTCCCTGTGGAGGAGAACAGTTTGAAGCAGTGTGTTATCAGTTGTTTTCAATGCATGGTTCATTTATGTTTTAAGCAGCAGAGCACAGTAGGAAGGGCACCCCCTCCTGGAAAGGGAAACTAGTTTCACCTCTTTCTATCTACGTGACCTTCAACAAATGACCTCACCTATACCCTGGGGAACATAATATTTGCTCTACCAATTTCACTGGGTAAATGAGATCAAGTGAGAAAATGTACCAGAAAAAGCTTTGCAATCTGTACAATGTACTGCAAATAGAAAAAAAACCCAAAAAACTATTACAATTAGTAGTAGTAAGAGTATCACTATCTTCATCATCATTATTATTAGTTTCATGACCAGTATTATTCTTTCTAATAGAAGCCCAGAAGCGATACTTTTAATCCAATTACCCAATTAGTGTTCAAATCAAAAAAATTCTGCATAAGTGACAAAGAATATGTTAATTCCCAGGGCAGCACATTCCCAATATTTTTATACGCTAAAGGATGCAAGTTAAAACATATTTATCAGAAACTTCACAGAGGAAGATAAAATATAGGAGACATAGCTCTTTGTTCTGCAGGGTTATACAAAAGGTTAAGATTTGAAACAATTGTTTGAGAGCCAGAGCAGAATGAGAAGGGGCAGATAATGGGGTGAAGACTGGGGAATGTGGGGAAGGCAGACATCTACCAGGGGGGGCTTTTGCTAGGGTAAGAGGTAACCTGTACCTTTGAAAAAGTCAGAAATTCTCCAGTCTGGGCCTTATAGCTCCCTGGACTAGACCTCTCTTAACTTGACCTGGAGGGGGACTGGGGTAATTAGAGCTTTTTGGAGTGGAGAGATCACTCTTGAATTGACCACTCTCTTTGCTTCTCTCTGCCAGTCCCATGAAATCTATTAATTTACTGTCACTGTCAGGAGTCAGGTGAAAGCTCAGTGGGTCTAGAGGATCTCTACAATAGCTACACCTTTTGATTTGCTTCTTTGTATTTCTGGGCATCACCCTAAGATATGAGGAAGCACCTTTAATTCCACATGAAGAGATCATTGGCTTAAAATGCAAAGACCTGATAGTGCTACCCAACGTCCACGAGTCTCAAAGTAATCAGTCATTTGATTATCAACAGGGAGAAAAAGATGTTAAGAAAGAGGAAGTAGAGGTCGGGCACGGTGGCTCACGCCTGTAATCTCAGCACTTTGGGAGGCCGAGATGAGCGGATCACCTGACGTCAGGAGTTCGAGACCAGCCTGGCCAACATAGCAAAACCCTGTCTCTACTAAAAATACAAAAAAATTAGCTGGGCGTGGTGGCAGGCGTCTGTAATCCCAGCTACTCGGGAGGCTGAGGCAGGAGAATCACTTGAACCCGGGAGGCAGATGTTGCAGGGAACCAAGATTGCACCACTGCACTCCGGCCTGGGAGATAAGAGCGAAACTGAGTCTCAAAAAAAAAAAAAAAAAAAAAGAAAGGGAAAAAGGAGGAAGTAGAAACTGCAGAAGACAAATCTCTGTTTTATTCTCAGTGTACCATGGAAAGGACAATGGAAGTTGCTGGCCATGCCTCTGAAAACACAGGCAGCTCTGTGTCACATTATTGAGGAAGATGATATTGGATGTGGCTGATTTCACATACAGGAGCCTTGTCCTGGGACATGGAGGAGTGTTGAGGGTGGTCACCAGATTGCCTTTCCCATTAACTAGGTGTGCACTAGCTGATTCATTATCATAGCGCTAAGGTCATAGAGGGATGACCCGAATGATTATCTGCTTTGAGCAAAGAACCCACAGTTCTGGGCAAGTCACTTCACTTCTCTGTGTAATAAAGAGATTGAATTAGAAGAGTGCTACGCAGCTACGGATTCTGTGGTTCTCTATTAAGCTACCTCGGTTCATATCAAATGCGTATCAAATCTTTACAAACATGTAGAAAAGCCCAGAAACAATACTGAACAATATGTTTAGGGAAACATCTCACATTGAAATTAGGTCAGGAAAGCAGCCCATTAAAGACTTTTTAACGTTAAATCAAAACTAAGGGCCGAAAAGCCTTTCTTCTTCCATTTGTTGTGTTCCCTCATGCTCGAAGGAAAGCTGTTGTTGTGGGGAGAAAGGAATGTTTCCCCTTGCCATCCTGTAGGTGGCTTCCTGCCAGGGTGGATGGGCTCTCGCTGTAGATTGCTAATCCAGGTGAAATGAGTATTTCAAATCACCTGTGATGATTTGCATGGCAGTCTGTAAGAAGCAGTTGGGAAAGAGTGTCAGAGCCTCCTTGGTGGAATGCATTTGAAGAATTTTGTAATTACTTATTGTTCTTACAACCTACTATGTTACCTTTTCACCTTGTCATTGATTTTTCTCTTTTTAAACTGATGTATGAAGCCCCAAAGGTAATTGAACTGCAAAATATTGTGCTAAACTAACCTTAAGTCCAAGATGAGAGGCTTTGGAAAAATACTTGGCTTGGTCAGGAGCTAGAACTCTAATAGTGGGGACTAGGGGGTAGAGGGATGAAGGGGAGGTATAGTATCTACTTCTATAATGCTGAGATTTAAGAATATTTCCTTACCCGGTCCCTCAAGCCTATCATAAATATTCTATATTGGGTTGACAAATTACAGCTCACAGGCTAAATCTGGCCCTCTGCCTGTCGTGTAAATAAAATTTTGTTTGAACACAGCCATGCTCACTGGATTGTCTATGGCTGTTTGCACCTTGCAACAGCAGAGTTGAGTAGTTGCAACAGAGACCATGTGATCTGCAAAGCCTAAAATATTTACTATCTAGTCCTTTACAGAAAAAGGCTTTTGGCCTGTATTATTTAAACAAATCCATACGTGAGTTATACTGAGGACTCTCTACATGCTCAGTAGGCACCCAGTTTGTGCACATTGTAAATACACAATAGATTGGAAGCCCAGTTTCTATTCTCAAGGAATTTAAAATCTAGTTGAGGAGACAAAGACTAGCATACATGAAAAAATGTGAACAGTAAAATACAGTGTATAATCAAGGGTTCAGCTGTGATGTACAGGCAAGTACCAGAATTTGGAGAAAAGGAAGGAGGATCAGTGAGACCTCTAGTAGTTGGGGAAAGCAATATTTAGTATAAAAAGTTCCAGGACACAATAAGAGCTTGGATGCTCCCTTGAGATCCATTGTAATTGGATGTGACCTGTATTTCTACTCCAGTGTCATTTAAATCACTGTTATTTTTGGCCTTGTGCTTAGAGGACACCTAAATGACCAGAAATATTTCTGAGTGACTTTAGCTGACTGATTTTTCTGGGATTTGGGATTCCTTCAATCTCCCTAAACTACAGAAAATTAAACCTAGCCATAGTGGCATAATGTCTTTCTCTTTTGGAGACAATACAGCAAAATGATTGCAAGCATGAGCTCTGCAGTCAAAGAAACCCGTCTCAATCTCCCTCTAGCTGTGTAAACTTGGGGAGACTCTAAAGCTCTGGGCCTCAGTTTCTTCATCTATAAAATAGAGACAACAATAGTGGTAACCTGCTAGCGTTACTGTGACAACTAGATAATATAATGCCTGTGACGTGTTTAGAATATAAAGTGCCTGCCTGGTATGAAGCTAGGTCTCCATGAGTGTTTAGTCATTGGCCCTTGCTCCTGAGAATAGCAAGATTTATATCCTGCACAAAAGAGTCATACTTAGTTCCAGAACAAAAATTAGTACTTTATCATTTATAAAGGCACTTATAACAAAATGTACTAATGTAAAGCAAAGAATTACTGCTCCTCATTTTTTGGTTTACTAATGGTTATAATTTTTAATTTTTAACAAATTGCCATTGCCAGGCCCCTGATTTATTTCTGTGATGTCCTTGGGGATCTTGGGACCAGGAGCATGATGCAAAAAACACAGATACAGATCTCTGCTCTGATACTAATGCAGGAATCTTGGGTGTTTTCAGGACCTGTTGTGACTGTCTTTGGAGGTAAGGCAGAGGGCAGTGGTACCAGCCTTGTGGGCTGGAAGGCAGCATCTGTAGGTTCTCACCCATTTCTGTGGGTATGGAAGAAATTACGTAGAATCCAGACCAGTTTTTCTTATCTCTAATAAGGAGATAATGTTATAACATTTATTTTTGTGCTTGTTGTGAGTATTGCTGAAAGAGCTCTTAGAAACACTTTAAGTGTTTTGATGTAATCATAAAATATGAGGCTTTAGAAGTAGGGTTTGAGCATCCACAGAAGGCTCTGTTTTCTCTGTGGATAATGTCTGATGATAACATTGTTTTCTGTTTTCCTTGAGGTAATTTGAAGATTAAAGGGAAGGGTGTTTTCCACATTTCCTGTTGGTAATAAATAGCCCTCTCCCAGTGCTTTGACCTTCCCCTGCTGCTATGGAGACTCCTAGGAGCAGTGACCAGGACTGCAGCCAGCCAGGCCCGTGTTATTAACAGGGCTGGCTCCGTGGGCCTTCAGTATTAGTGTATTTATAAACAACCCCAAACACTGAAACCACTGTTTGGTTTTGTTCGCTTTTATTAAAAATTATATGGACTTTAGAAGAAAACAACAAACTGTCAGAAAAATAGGCATCTTTTTTTTTTTTAACCCAAATAAGCCTGTGTTTAGTCTATAATGGGAGAGTTCTTATAATAAGCATAGCAACTCATGGCTCAGCACTTTCCCATGGAGTAGGTAGCAAGTATTGCTTATTCGCTTATGAGATAACCTTTACATTTAATCACTTGTCCATTCAATGAATATTTATGAAGCTCTTACCATGAGACAGGCACCGGGCTAGGAGCTGGGAATATTGCAGTGAACAAGACAGGCACATTCCCTGCCTTCCTAGAACTTAGAGTCTCACGGGGAAAATGGACACATAAGCAGGTAATCAAAATAAAGTGCGTTGAGTGTGAAAAGTTTGGGATGCTATGGGAGCATGGCAGAGGCCCAAGAGAGGCTCCAGTTTCTTTACATGAATTGCCAAGTGTATCGACCTGAAGACACTGTACCTCCTGTCTTTGTGCCTAGACCAGGGTAGAATGGTCCTAAGAGTTAGAGGCTGGTCTCAGTTATTCTTGGACATAAGACTTTTCTGGTTGGCTTGAGCTTTAGGCCTTACAGAGGAGCCAGAGACTTGTCTGGGTAGTGCCATAGGTGTCATGCTAAAGCCACCTTGTCCCCACTGGCCTTGGAGCTAGTCAGACTCAGAGCCTCCCAAGAGCACTGGGAATGGGAGCAATCCCTTCCTGCTCACGGACTGGCAGGTCTTGGCCCAGGGATTCACCTATGCAAATAGTATATCCTTGAGCCACCAGTAGTTTTTACCTGCTCAGCTTTCTCCTGTTCTCCTTCTTGGAGTTTCCTTTCCCAAGAAAACAGACTGGATCTTCTGCTTCTCCAAACCCATCCCTCTGAGGCAGGGCTGAGAAGACCATGTTGCTCTATGAAAGGGCTAGTTTACCAGTCAGGGGACTCTGCTTCTGTACTCTCTCTCCCTTTACCTGGTGCCGAAAGACCATCCTCAATTAGGGCTGACAAGGGGCACCCGTTGGGCTACATTTATCCTCCTTATTCTTAAGAAGCTACAGCTTTTACTTGCTGTACAGCATCTAACAAAATAAGACTGTGTTAGCTTATCCCAGCCCCAAGTTTTCTGTAGTGGAGGCTGAAAACTTCAGGGGAAAGCTGTCTGGAGTCAGATGTGGAGAGTCTAGGAGTCCCCTGTTTGCCAGGGCCTAAGGTGGGAAGTGGAGCAAGGGCAGGGATAATTTGTAGGCATTCAAGCTAGAATTATTGCCAAGATAGGTGGCTTCAGCCACCTCTTTGTACAGAAGAGACTGAAGCACAGAGAAGTGGCTTTTGGGAGGATACAATGGCATAGAGTAGAGAGAGCCTAGGGCGAAAGTTCTCAACCCTGGCCACACTTTAAAATTGCTGGAAGGCATTTAAAAAGAAGCCCCATGGCCAGGGCTCATCCAGAGGAGTTAATAGGATTCTGAAGTTGGGCCCTGGTCAGTCTCAAAGTGATTCAAACAGCAGGCAGAATGGAGAACCACTGGACAGCCTGGTTGGCAGCCTCTGCACTTCCTGGGTTCAGATCTCTCTCAGCTAGTATGGTACTTGGGCAGTTCACCTGTCCTAGGTAAACCTCAGCTTCCTTCTCAATAAAATGAGGTTGCTAATCATATCTATTTGGTAAGATTATTTTTGAGGATTAAACAAGAAAATACAAATAAAGTACCTGGGACATATCAAGCACTTAATAAATACAAATCACTGACTTTGTTATTTGGTAATGACAGAACAGGACTAGACTTCAGGTCTCCGATTTCCAGGCAATGCTCTTTCTACCAGGAGGATTTATCAAGGCTTATAATGACCAATTCAGTGGGAAATGGGGTGCTCCATCTTTAAAATAATTACCTTTATTCAAAAAGACATGAATGACTTCATTTCTTAGTTCGGTGTCTCCTGGTTGAAATCATTCATATATTTGTTCATTTGTTTGTTCTTTGATTTGACAAACATTTCCTGAGTGTCTTATTAGGTGCCAAGTACTTATCAGGTCCCGAGTACTGTCAAACAACAGTACTCAGTACAACAAAATACATCAGTACAACAAAATAAATACAGACCCTGCCTTCCAGGAGCTTAAAGTTTAATGGAGGAGATACACTAAAACTAACTATTGTACAATGTATCAATGTATTGATTGTGACAATGGGTTTGTTTAAAACATTTTTCTTTTTCTTTTTTTTTTGAGACGAAGTTTTACTCTTGTTGCCCAGGCTGGAGTGCAATGGCACGATTTTGGCTCACTGCAACCTCCTCCTCCCGGGGTCAAGCAATTCTCCTGCCTCAGCCTCTCGAGTAGTTGGGATTACAGGTGCTGCCACCACGCCTGGCTAATTTTTTGTATTTTTAGTAGAGACAGGGTTTCACCATGTTGGCCAGGCTGGTCTCAAACTCCTGATCTCAGGTGATCCGCTCCTCTCAGCCTCCCAAAGTGCTGAGATTACAGGCGTGAGCCACCATGCCCATCTGTTTAAAACATTTCTGAGAACAGTACCTGATCTACCAGGCAATCTGGGTCACCAAAATCCTAATATAGTTTTGGTATTACCTAAGGTGCCAGACACTGGCTTTACCCACAGACATTCTGATTTAATTGATGTAGGACGTGGCCTGGGCATTGAGTTTCTTTAAAGCTCCCAGGTAATTATAATGTGCCTCCAAGTTTGGGAAGCACTGGTTTAGAAGCTTCCTGTTCCTTAAGGATATAGCCAACTCTGGAAAAACAGGCTGGCGCTGGGTGGTTAGGAGTCTTCTGGGACCACGTTTGGACTTTGGGAATTTGGAGTTTATTCTCTAGGCAATGAAGTACAATGAAAAGTCTTTAAAAGGGGAAGTGACATCAAAGTTTCAGAAAGGTAATTCTGGCTACAATTTAGAAAATTGGAAAGGCTGGACACAGGGTAATTGTTAGGAGGAAGAGATGACACCGAGGGCCTACATGAGACTGGGATGGTGGCACTCTGATGCTAGGTAGCAGCGGAAACCCTGGCACACGGGTGGAAAAAGAGTAAGCAACTAAAAATGTTCTGCTTCTGCTGGTTTTCAGCTTTGAAATTTAATTGTGGCCTCGTTAGTAATCATATAAAGAATTCCGTTAGTACTTTTTAGCTTGGCTGTAAATGGGGACAGCCCCTTCAAGAACGCTCAAGCATTTATGGGTTTCAGAATGATACAAGATAACTGATCACCCTTAAAAAATAAAAGAACTCAGTTAGCTTTTACAGCTACCCAGTTAATTTTGGTAATGTAGATCATTAAGCTTCCAGATAGAGTTTTTCACAGGGAGTGAGGGGAGAAGAGATGGTCTGGCTACTTAGGATCCAATTACCTGGATAATTGCCAGATACCCACTAAACATGGTGATGTAAGCATGGTTTCAGTCAATGTATCTTTTTTCTGTTTTTTTTTTTTCTGACCTAATGCCTCTACTGATAAAAATATTTTTACTATTATTGGTTCTGTGGAACTAGTATGACTGTGATAGTGAGAGGACTGCATTCCATTTGCCTTGTGCTCCATCAGAGTCAGCTGTCGGTGTGTCCTCATGCCAGACTCATTGTAATTAGGAAGGAGACAGAAGAGGCAAGAAGAGCCCAGCGGGAGGCTCCCATTTTGGCTTGAAGGCAGTAGCACCACAAATTAGAAAAACCATTGCTTGCCTTCTACACGGACTCAACACAATACTATTGTGTCTACCAATGGGAGGTTCTGAATATTTTTTTAAAACCTTTGAAAACATAAAAACCATTCTTAGCTCAAGGGACACAGGAAAACAGGCCACAGGCCAGAGGTTGCAGACGCGTGGTCTAAACAATTAACAGAACAATAAATCAAGCCCGGATATGTCACATTTGCTGACCTCCCTGTTGTAAATACTCTCACAATGACTTGATTCGAGAATGTCCACGTAAACACTGCTGCGAGGGGAGCTAGGGAGAGTTGAGCAGTGGTTTACCGTGGTGTGCTCTTTCCACCACGCGGATAGCATAGGCTGACATGTATGATAAGCAACCTTGAGAGCAAAGGGAATGGTAAAATGTGGTAAAATAATTAGGAAGGAAGGAGTTTTTGAGTATTTATTCTCTTTGTTTCTAATATAATTTATTTAGTTGTAAGTTCACATAATTCGGTTTTTATACTGGCCATGTTGAACAATCGGCTGGCAAAATTTCTGAAAATTTAACAATATTCTCTCACAAACTAGTACAAGCTGGCTCCAGTACACCACGGCTGGAGAGGGGAAGCTAGAATGTTGAGAGGCAGTCAGGATGAAAGCAACAGAGCAAGGAAAGCTGAAGTTTATGGCTGTGGACGAGCGCTTCCTCCATCAGCTGAGATGGAGCCATGCGTGGGCGTTGCACAGGGCAGCAGCCAATGATGGGACGGAGCTCATTCAGGCCCTCTGTCTTAATAAGCACAACTCAACTAATTTGGGAAGAAAACTCAGTTCAGTTGGCCAGTACCTGGCAGGGACAGGTAGCTTGACTTAATATATAGTAAATCTAATTATAAAAATATAGTACTGTGCTCAAAATTTACATGTGAGTAGAATGATCGTGATGAAACAGAAGACAGAACTTTTCCCTTACGATAACATTGGATTTTCTTTCCTAACCTAGCTCTCCTACAAACATGCAAATAAACTGAACCAGCTAAAGAAGTGGTCCCAAGGTTTTAATAAAAAAAACATTTAACCCTTCCCTAAATATTATCTAATGAGGGAGCAAAATGTGTCACTCTCCCTTAACAGATGGGATTCTCATGGCTGCTGTTAAAGGGGAAAAAGGAGAAACCAAACTGGGTGACTCTCTGAGTTACATCTTTGGCTCTGAACTCGGTGAGTCTATGGTTTGATAGGTTGGCAGGGCAAAGGGAAAAACAGAGTTGGAGCTGACTGAGGATTAGAAATGGAATCTGGGGCTGGGTACAGTGGCTCACACCTGTAATCCTGACCCTTTGGGAGGTTGAGGTGGGAGGATCATTTGAGCCCAGAAGTTCAAGACCAGCCTGGGCAACATAGTGAGATCCCATCACTACAAAAAATTTTTAAAAAGTAGCTGGGTGTTGTGGCACGTGCCTGTAGTCCCAGCCACTCAGGAGGCTGAGGCAGATCACTTGAGCCCAGGAGTGCAAGGCTGCAGTGAGCAATGATTACGCCACTGCACTCTAGCCTAGGCCACAAAGCAAGACCCTGTATCTAAAATAAACATAACAAAGAAAGAAAAGAAAGGGAGGGAGGGAGGGAGGGAGGAAGGAAGGAAGGAAGGAAAAGAAAGGAAGGAAGGAAAGAAGGAAGGAAGGAAGGAAAGAAAAGAAAGAGAGAGAGAAAGAAAGAGAAGGAAAGAAAGAAGAAAGAAAAAGAAAGAAAGAAAAAGAAAATCTAGATGGCTTCTAATGTAACATGGTATTTTTGTGAGAGGATACTGTTAACTATAGCAATCATTTGATTTGCTCACAGATTGATTTAGTTTTTAGTGTCCATAATATGTTAAGTATTTTTAAATATGAAATATGTACCTACATGTATTTAATATTTACCACTTAATTGAATCCTGAAGATATCAGTGGTAGATGGTTTATGTTTCTGTTTATTTCTCATGTTTTTAAACTTTCTGCAGGGAGGAACCATTTGTTAAATTTCTTTTTATGTTTCTTACTATGCAGCATTGCACCATGAATATGGAGAGTGAGCTTTAAAATAGTATGAAAGACAAATGTTTAAAGGTATACATTTCTTTCAGAGAACTTTTTCTCTCTCTTTCTCTCTCTGACAGTGTGTGTGTATCTCCTGTGTCTCTCTTTCCCTCTCTCACATGCACACATAAGTGCACACACACACTTCTCTTGGAAACTGAAGGAGGCAAGAATATGATGCCATTAACAAATGCTCTTTGGTGGACAGCAATAATAACAACTGCTAACTTTCACTGAGGACTACTTATGTGCCAGATACCATGTGAAGCGCTTTGCTTGTATTAGATCATCGAAACCTCAGAAAAACTCTATAAAGTGGGTGCTAATATTTTCTAGATTTTTCAGATACAATACTGAGGATCAGGGAGATTGAATAAGTTGTCCAGTGTCACCCCTGGTAGCTGAGAGAGCTGGTTTGGATGCCTAGGGCTGTTTGTCTCCAAACCTGTGCCTTGCACCCTTAGCTCTGGTTCCTCCCCTCTCATGTCATGTAATCAGCACAAATTTCCTGAAGTAAGGCTGCATGCATATAACAAGAATAAAGGAATAAAAATAGAGGATGCCGTGGAATGGGAGAAAGTGGACTACTTACGGCAGCAGAGGAGACAGTAGGAAAGGAGAACTCTAGATGCTGTAAAGCTTCCTGGGACTATAAGTACACTTGGCTACAACAAAATGGTTGAGCAGGAAAGAAGGGAAGACAGAAGGGCTGATTTGGTGGAGGGCCATGGGAGGAATAAAATTAGACATCATAGCTACAGAATAGAAGCACTGAAATTGCACCAAATCCATAGACTCTCAGGAGTGGAGGAGATTTGAACGCCATCTGCCTAATACATAAATTTGCTCTGCATCTTGACAAGGTGGTGGTTCAGCCTCCTTGAATGCCCTTGGCCATGAAGAACTCATTAGCTCCTCTCAACAGATGGTGAATTAGAAAGTTCTTCCCTGTATGGAACCCATATTTGCCTACCAGTAACTTCTGCTCAGTGGCCAGGAACTGACTTCTTGGGGCCATACATGAAAAGTCTTTCATAGAATAGTTTCCAGGGTAAGTAGGAAAATATCTACACGTCAACTATTTTTCCCTAATGGTAAAATTATTTCTGGATACTGCGTTCACAAATGCTTCCTAATCACTAATTATCACTCAGTACATTTCTTAATCAACTGCCTTTTTGCTAGGTAATAATAATAGTTGATAATAACCAACTGCAAATAGCTTTGCATAGATCATTTTTTATGTTGTCATTTTTATCTTACAGTTGAGGAAGCTGAGGCTCAGAGAGCTTAAATAACTTGCTCAGGGTCACCTACACTATAGGCAGAGCAGTCAGAATTTGCTACAGGTAATTTAAACACAGAGATAGAGCACTATAGTCAATTTGGTGCTGCTATACCAGAAACCCGAGACTGGGTAATTTATAAAGACACTCATTTTTGCCGGGCACTATGGCTCACACCTGTAATCCCAGCACTTTGGGGGGCTGAGGTGGGTGGATCACCTGAGGTCAGGAGTTTGAGACCAGCCTGGCCAACATGGTGAAACCCCGTCTCTACTAAAAATACTAAAAATAAGCAGGGCGTAGTGGTAGGCACCTGTAATTCCAGCTACTCAGGAGGCTGAGACAGGAGAATCGCTTGAACCCGGGAGGTGGAGGTTGCAGTGAGCTGAGATCACACCATTGCACTCCAGCCTGGGCAACAAGAGAGAAACTCCATCTAAAAAAAAAAAGACATCTTTTCTCTCACAGTTCTGGAGGCTGGGAAGTCCAAGATCTAGGCGCCAGCATCTGGTGAAGGCTTTCTTACTGCTTCTCACATGGCAGAAGGCAAGAGAGAGATATGCAAGTCCTTTTCATGGTGGTGTTAATCCACTCATGAGAGTAAAGCCTTTGCAAGCTAAACACCTCTAAAAGGCTCCACCTCCCAACATTATTGCATTGGGGGTTAAGTTTCCAACACATACGTTTCGGGGGACACAGTCAGACTATCGCAAGTACAGCAGGTCTTTGAATACATTTATTGTGTTCAACACCTTTTCATTATGACATTGATGGGAAGAAAAAATGGATTCCCAGCCAGGGCCACTGTCTAGGTGGAGTTGGCAAGTTCTCCCCACATCTGTATGGGTTTTCTTAGCCTTTCCTGTTTCCTCCCACATCCCAAAGCTGTGCACTTAGGTGAACTGCTGTATTGACAGGGTCCCAGCATGAGTGAGCGTGGGTGTGTGTGCGAGTGCTCTATGTGATGGAATGGCCTCCTGTCCAGGATTGGATCCTGCTGTGCACACTGAGCTGCCAGGACAGGCTCTGGCCACCTGAGTTCAGGGGAACCGGAATACTTGGGTAAATAATTATCTCATTTCTGTAATCTTTCTTAAATGTATGTATAGCTCACATTTGTTTCAATGTTTAGTATTAGAAGTGTTTTGGTCTTTATTTAGAAATTTGGGGTTTTGTTTTGGTTTGGTAATGTTTTTGTGACCAGAAAGATGCCCTAAGGAACTTTTTTTTTTTTTTTTTGAGACAGAGTCTCACCCTCGGGGGAGTGCAGTGGCACAGTCATAACTTGGACCTCTGGGTCCAAGTGGTCCTCCTGCCTCAGCCTCCTGAGTAGCTGGGACTACAGGTGCATGTGACTACACCCAGCTAATTTTTGTATTTTTTGTAGAGAAGGGGGTCTCTCTATGTTGTCCAGTCTGGTCTCAAACTCCTGGGCTCAAATGATCCTCCCGCCTCAGCCTCCCAAAGTGTTGAGATTACAGGCATGAGCCACGTCACCCAGCCTTAACTCTTGTTCGTATCCATTAGCCTACGGTAAAATGGGTTTTGTTATACCAATTTTGTAATACCCTTATATCATCATTTCACTTAAAGTGACAATTCCTGAGAACCTATCAGTGGCATTAAGTGAAGACTTATTGTACTTAAATAAATCATTCATTCCACCTGGTATAAAAAGAGAATGCTGTGGAAGGTAGAGTCTACCCAGGTTTAGCTTTGAGAACGTGCAGCTTGTACAGTCTCCCACTGAGAAGGGCTCTGAGCCTGGTTTTATACTCTGCTGTCACAGCCTTGAAATTCTTAATAAGTTTTGAACAGGGAGCCCTGTATTTTCATTCTGCACTGAGCCCCCCAAATTATTAACTTGTTCTGGGTCTGCCATTAAAAACGAAAGAAAACAGTCAAGCTGACAAATAGAACACCTGCTTTGGTGGTGGTGCATCGAGTGTTCTGTCGTTCTGTAGGTTCATATGTTGGAGTGAACTTTAGAACCCATTCTCTATTCTGTGGCTTCTGGTCTTACTGCCCTGGACAGCCTCAGTGGTCAGGGATGGAGTGTAGGGTGTGGAGAGTGGCTTCCTTTCTTGTATATTTAATGCCATGCGTGGAGAAGGGCTGAGTTCTGGCAGGAATGCTTTTACATTTTTGGCTTTTATCACTTTCTACTCCTCAGACACTGTGTCTCCTGTCACAGGAAATTTATGGGTACATTTTAGTAGTTGACAGGAACAACGAGCCTCCAGGATTTCCCCAGGAGAAGCTTCCACCTGCCGAGTGAGAACTTCCTCCTATTGGCTAATGTGGAAGCTCTGGGCTCTCCTCATTATTTCCTCAGCCTGTCATAAATGCCAGGAATGCAGGTTTCACAAAAGCAGGCAGAGGTGCGCTGTTAGTAACTGTTCCAGGACAAGTCATTTGGGAGAGGTACTTACTGTGCTTCTTGGATGTCTGCTTCCAGTCATCTTAGTAAGTCCAGTTTGACAAAAATGTGCCTTTCTAAGTAAATGCAGCTCACAGCTTATGGTTGCCAATGAAAAATAAAAAGGACAGATGTAACATGGAAGAATGCATAGCTACCCAACACCTTCTTCAGAACACCAGGGCCTGATATTATGTTTTGCTGCTTAATAGACTTCATTCAGATTATGAATGCCTTCAAAGTGGCAGTAAGATATCTTGAAAAGAGCACTGCACCGGGAGTCAGGAAACCTGGGTTTCCACCTAGTTTAATCTTCCCAGATTAAGGGGAGGAGTTGAATTAGGCAATAGCTAAGCCCTGCACTTAGTACCCAGTGCAGACATTGTAGGAGGCTCCCTCTTTTGGGAATTGACAGATGTTGAGCTTGGGTTTCCTTCTCTTGGCTCAAAGTGAACAGGCTTTTAATCAATCCAGAGATATTTACCTAGATCTTTTCATTTACTGCACTGCAAGCCCTGTGGCAGAATGATATACAGGAAAACCTGAGGCTCATTATGAGAAAATTGCATAAGGGGCTTCTCTCCTGACTTCCACGTATGGCCCAGGAATCTTGGTTCTGACTGTCAGGCCAGCTCCACCTGGGCCAGGTATTTATAGATGACATCCTTAGATGGGGAACACAGAGCTAGCTGCTATAATAGAAACCCAAAATAACAGTGAATTTAAGGGGGGTAGACATTTATTTCTCTCTCAAGCAATCCAGGGTGTCTCCATGTCAGACTCCCAGGCCCCTTCTGTGTTGTTGCTCCTGCCCACCTAGAGTGTTGCCCTCCCTGCATGGCCCATGATGGCTTCCCACTGTGTTCACAGTCCAGGCAGCAGGATGGAAGAAGGGGAGTCAAAGCCAGGTTGCACCCATCTCTTTTCCCTCTCAGCCCAACAACCAGAACTCAGTCCACTGAAAGGTAGGAAATGCAGTCTTTGTTCTGGGCAGCCATGTGGGAGAGTGGATACTGGCAGACAAGTAGCAGGTTCTGACATGTGGCCTGTGTCTTGGGATTTGATTAAGATGAACCAAAGGGCCTGTTGAGAGCATCTGCACTCTGACCTGTCAGGAGATCTCTATACACTGTAGGCCACGAACTTATATGCAACAAACCACGAAGACCAAAGCAGGCTGTGGCACCAATCACCCATCCCTCCTCCAAGGAGCTGGTGCAGACCCTCAGCTGGTGTGGCCATGGCTGTGGTCTCTGTGCTAGTCCAGTCTGGGTCTTCTCTGACTATCCTGCACTGTTCTTGTTTGGATTGCTCTGGAGTGCCAACTTTTCTTCACAGTTCTTCTGATTAGGTACTAAACTTCATTTATGCATTTGTCACAGTGGAGGCTCCAGGCACTTATTTCTGGGGAAGGCAGGCTTAGCCTTCCCCACGGCCTCTGCAAAGTGCTGCTCTCAGTTCCCTTACCCTGCGTTCTCTGTCTCTTTGTGCAATTCTGTGGTCGTAGTGAAGGCGAGGGGGCCCCTTCTAGTGGGAAGGGTCACTTCCAACTTAGATTCAGACTGGAAAGATGACCTCCAGCTGTGCAGAGACATGTTCCATGGTTCTGCGTTCCACAGAACATCTGGAAGAGCTGATTCCAAGCGGTGGTGTCTCAGCACAGCTGGGGCAGTGCTGTCTGCCCCCTGCCATGGTTGACATCCATTAGGTGAGTACCCTGGGTGTTGTGGTGTGTGTTAGAGACTCTAGAGGTGAATGTGGTGGTCACCTTTTCCCGTTCCAGCTCTGCACTCTCTGCAGAGTTGAGGGCCAGACACCTTCTTGTTGAGGACTTAGTTTACTCTAAGCCTCCAAAATGGTTCTGGGCCCATTTTACTTTTAGCCTCCCAACACAGTTTGGGCCGTCCTGTTTTCCTTTATTCTCTCACATCTCAGCCTCCCAAAATGCTGTTCCATCTTCTGTCTTCTGACTCAAATCCTCTTCATCCTTTGAAGACTCCAATAACTCCTCTTGGAGAAGCTTTCACCTAAAATACCAGCCTTGGGATTTTTATTACCTTGTCAATTCTCCCCAAATTTCTTTCACTGGCCGAGCAGAGCCATTACCAATCTCTATTGTTCAGTATTTAACTTCACATATTTTTGTCCTCTTCTCAGGTTTTAAACTCCTGACTTGTTTTATTCATGCATTTATCAGTTATTTACTAGGATTTGCTAGGCACAGAGCAGACAAAGACAAATAATTCCCCTGTGTAGCACTTCGCTAGGGTAACCAAGGGGGGAAGACATTTACTGGAAACAATAACAGAACAAATTATTACCTTACTAGTAGACATATGTGCAAAAGCCTTTGAAAGACCAGAAGAAAGCCAACTGCCTGGCAATGTCGGAAAGTTTCATGGGGGAGCTGGCATTCTTATTGGCCTATTCAGTGGTGGATGGATGGAAACAGTTGCTGGCTGGAAGAAGTATGAGTATAAATGATCAACAATTTGAAGAAGGTGAGAGTTGGAGGTCTATTTATTTGGGTGGGAGAAAAGGATACAAAAGAGAAGGATGGATGAATAGAAGATAAAGCTGAAAAGCTGAGTTGGGCAAGATGGGCAAGTACTTATTGGCTCTGCTAAAGCTTTTGGATTTTCCTGTTGGTAACGGGGAGCCTTGAAAATTCTTCGGGAGGGAAGGTGGATGGTCCCATCTGTGTATTAGAATGATGAGGTTGGATTTGGAGGGAAAAATTGATTGGGGTTGAGGAGTGAGCCTCAAGTCAGATGGATCAGTTAGATACAAATTTCTGCCAGACAATGACACCAGCAAAGGTGAGAGGTGAGGAGAGCTCTGAATTATTAGCAGTGGCAATGGGTAGGAATGAATGAAGGGAACACATTTAAGAGACACTGAAAATGAGTAATTGGATGCGTGGGAAGTTGCAGATGCTGGAAGACTTCACTCTGTATAAGGCAATGTCTTTTTTTATTCAATAAATATTGGCTTTTTTACACTGTGTACAAATGGTGTATGCTTTTCTGAACATTTGGGTTTTGACACAAACTTGTAAGACTGAAACCATGTGAATATTCTTCTTAAAAAATGGATTGTAAAGATTTCATGTGAGAGTTTACTGTGTACAAGACTTTGCAGTGTTGATTTTCAGTCTAGCTGGTGGTCAGATTCTTTTCTTATGAAGTACTATTGGGGAAATTTTGAGGAGTACACAGTATACATTCTTGGAGTACAAAATCAAAATGTGTACCCTGTTATGTTTTAAAAGAACTAAAACTACAAAACGATGCTTTTCCTTCAGGTTTTGTGGGTTGAAAAAAAAGTTAGTGGAGAAATAGCTTTCTAATTCTTTCTTGCCATTTCCCAAAGAAAGATACTGTGATATTTCATTAAATTAAAATGGTTATTTTTTTGTTTATTGTCATCAGGCTAGTAAGCCAGATGATGCTGGGGAGCAGGGGTGTAAAGAAAAGGAAAATGTTTCCTGGTTTAAACTCTCTTCCAGTGCTAAACAAGTGCTTTGCCCTTTGGGTGGCATATACCACCCAAATGGCAGAGCAAGGGGGTTTAGGAGAATGTCTTTTCCTTTTTGCCTGGTGTTGCCCATAACTACATAATTGTTTCTTGGTTAATTGGTTCAGATGCTACATTGTTTCCAAAGGAGATCAATCTTTCTTCTCTCCATCTCTCTCCTTCTGTCTTCCCCCCATTTGTTAAGCTCCTTTGCTTTAATGCTTAAATGCTTAACAGTCTTATCTGCTGATCCCCGCAGCTCCTAGATACTGAAAATAAATTATCTTTATGCTGCGGCTGCTATTAATATATTCCTGTTTGTCTTGGCCTCTGAGTTATGGGGAGCTGTCTGCCTTGAACACTGCATCATAACAATTGTATAACCTCTTCCAAGCACTGCAGCAAACTTAAATTTATAAATGCCTATGAAGTGAGAGGAGAGAATGGAATTGACTTGAGCGTGGGCATTTAAAGCGGAAAGTCCCTTCCCTGGAGGCTCACTCTGATCTTTCCAGAGTGAGCATGAGGGACTCACTCTCTCCCTGACACTTTTTGTCCAATTATTCATTGACCAAGCTTAATGATGGGGACCAGAGGAAATATCAGTATGAAGTTTTATGAAGAATTAAGTAGTACTACTTTGATCAATGTAAAACTCTAATAAATAACCCAGCTTAGTAATTGTAGAGCTATTTAGAGAAAACACACAGATTGAGAATTGAGCAGCTTGTCTCCCAAGAGGGGCCCACTGGGCTGGTAGCATCTAGCAGTTAAGAGGGGGCTGTGTTTAGGTTTTGGACATCCTTATCCGTCCTTGGTATGATCCCCTCATGCTTCATACCTGAAACCTTCGCCTCCTCTGCACAAAGCCATCAATCCAAACAAATGTTTTTGAGCAAAGTGAGCAGAATATTATAAGTTTTCCCACAGTGTTAAAGAATGCCTAAGGATGCAGTATTTGAATTTAAGGTTTTTAGGTTTTATTTTCAAAAGAAACTTTAGAGGTTTTCAAATTGTATTCCACAGAGTTACAAGGGTTCCAAGACAGTGTCTCAGGAGCTGCTTGGGGCATGGAGAGCGGGTCTGCATCCTCCCTCCCCCATCTTGAGCCAGAACAACCCCATGCTTGTGTATTGGGTTTCTAAGTGAGGCTTAATCTGAAGACAGTTACATTGATTAAATCATTGGAAAACTATTGATCTAGTCCAACTTCTCATTTTATAGAGGAGGATGCTGAGGGCCAGAGAGTTTTATAATCTGCTCAAAGTCACAATACCAGTGACCAAGATGGATCTAGAATACAGATCTTCTATCAGTCCAATGTTCTTTTATTATCCTATTTACTATTGAATTCCTCCTTTTATCCAGGACAAGCATGGTCCTATCAGCACCAACGTTAGAACTAAAATAAAATACAAAATAAAATGGATCCTGTCTATGGAGAGGCTGTGACACAGAGAGGTTAAGCACGTAGACTCTGGACCTAGACTTCCTGGGATCAAATCTCTACTCCACCGAGTATTTCCTGTATGATGCAGGGAATATTTCTGTATGATGCAGGGAACCTTGTATAAGTTACTTACCTTCCTGTAGCTCTGTTTTCTCGATTGTAAAAGGCTGTGATGATGATGAAATAAACCAGTGCATATACAAATACTGAGAACAGTGTGTGGCAAGTAGTGAATAATAAACATTAGTTTTTATTTAAAAGTTGGAATCATCAGTCTTTCTCTAAGTTTCCGTTAGATACTCTGTAGTGTGTCAGTCCTTCTGCCTTCTGTGTTTGGCGCTGAGGATGACCGTGGTCATGGATGTGTGTTCTCTCATGTCTGTTAAAACCGTTCTCCCAGAGGTAGGAGGAGTAATAGGATCATAGACCATTTGGACTGGAGGCATGTCTTATGTTACAAGTACCTGAGTGAGAACTGAGGCCCCATGAGTGGAAATGACTTGCTCAGTAATCTTAAGGGGCTTTTTCCAAAAGGGCAGGGGGCAGGGAAGGAGAGACTCCTGACACAGTCCTGGGAACCTGCATTCTATCGGAAAGCCAGTTGTCATTCGTGGGGCCAATATGTTGATGCTGCATTTATAAATTTTTAAAAATTGAGGTGTGATTCATTTCACATAAAATTAACCTGTGTACAATGTGAAATCCAGAGCTATGTAACACATCCGCAATATACACCATCACCACTAACTTTTTCATTAGTCCCGAAGGAAACCCTGTACCCATTAAGAAGACACTCCCTATTCCCGCCTCACCCAGGGCCCTGGCAGCCACCGCTCTGCTTTCTGTCTCCGTGGATTTACCTATTCTGTATTTTTCACAGAAATGGAATCATGCACTAGGTGAACTTTAGTGTCTGGCTTCTTTCACTTAGCATAATGTTTTCGAGGTTCATCCACATTGTAGCATAAATCAATATTTCATTCCTTTTTATGGCTTTTACGTTGCACTTTGGTTAAAGAATTTTGTTGCCTTTGTCTCTCACCACTCCCGAAGTGAGGCTAACTGACTGTGACACAGTTTTCTGTTTCTTTCCACCCCACAACTTGGTCATTAGTAAGGGGCTAACACTGTGGTTCTATTATTTACAGAAAACTTGTTTCTGGTTTCTCGGGTCAGGAGACCAACAGCAGAGAAAGTCTAGCTGCTGCTATGCTGGTGGGACCTGCTCTGTTAGGTTCCCTGCCTGTCACTGCTCTTGTGCCCAGGTGTTTGTGAGGGCATGAAGAAGGAAGGGACTTCAAGGGCTGGGCGATTTGGCCCCACCATGATACCTGGGTGTTGCACAGAGCCCACATGGCAGTGGAGAGGCTATCTCTTATCAGCACCTTTGCTGTCAGCTTCTTGTCACAACCTCAAGCCTGACAGGGGAACCACACTGATAGGTGGGCCCTCTGGGTCTTGGCAACAATGTCATAACGCGGATTACCAGAGCAATATGTCACAGTGTCATTTTGCAATGTTGAGGTGTTCCATTTGTTAATGAGGTGAATTTCTTGTCTATAAACATGAACATCTGAACTGTAGAGGAGAGATTAAAAAAATAAAATCACCATATTAATCAGGCCCAATAATTCCTTTTTTAAGCTTGGATCCAATGCTGAGGAATCTCTGGCATCCTTCCTTGGAATCAATTACAGTCAATTTCTTCACATTTTACATCAGTTAAAGGAACATTGTCAAGATAAAATCTTGCCCAACATAGTTTTTTTTTTTGTTTTAATTTCCTTACTCTCATAAACCAAGACCTTCTTAGGTTACTTTGCCAATAATGAATTTTTAGAGCCAAATCCCTGGTTTGTCTTTATTTGGGCTGTGCTGAGGAAGTAGCATCTTCCTTCCCCTTGGTTCACATGTTGCAGTGGGCTGCTCCACGGCTCTCAGATGTGCCCTTGGGGCTGCATTTTGTCCACACAGGGGCCTGTGTTCTAGTTCCTTAGGTGCGTGTGAAGTTGTGTCTGCCTTGCTGATGGGGTTATTTGTGCTAATCTTTCTGGAGCCCGGGCACAGGCCACAGCAGGGCAGAGATGCCTGGAAGGGGTCAGGACTGGGTGCCAGCATCCTCTTGGGCCGTAAAGTTAGGCAGGCATGAGGCCACATTCCACAGGCCTGAAGGAGCAGGGAGCTTGGGCTCAGGGAACTTAGTTGAGGCAGAAAGGCTCAAAAGTCACCTGAGGTGAGGCAGGTGGAAGCTGGAGACCCAGCAACAAGTTGGGAACATTACCCATGAGTTTAGTTCATAAGACAGAGGCAAGCTTTGTCCTGACATCTTTGCCTTCTCCTTTGTCCTATGTTAGGCAAGAACTCACAGGTGTGTGCTGCTAGAAGGCAAGACAGGTCTCTACAGGTTCAACTTACCCATAATTAAGGATGGACAGCAGCCTAGACCTCTCAGTGGTTTCCTAATGTGAGTTGCTGACAATAGATTTTGTTCTTTTGTAGTAAAGGCACCCAGAGACTTGCTGCCTAAGTGCCCATGGGCATCCTTGGTTCTTGCCTACCAGGCAGACCCTCTCCTCCTCATCCGAATTGGAGGGTCCAATCACTCTCTTGGGGGTCCAACCTGGATTTTGTCTTTCTCAGCATTGTGGTCTCAGTACGGAGAAACCAAAACTCGTGGCACTCAAGAGCTTGTTCACTCTTCTCTTCTCCAAACCCTCTGGTGTCCAAGTGAGTTTGGACTAAGTGGGAGGCCAGATTCATTGGCACACAAGTGGCAGCACGGTGAATGGGGGGCTGTGCTGTGTTCTTCAGGCTCAACCTTCCAGAAGACAATGCGTGCCTGTCTCCTCTGCTGCATTCCTTGTCCCATGTCTTTTGTTTGAACAAAAGAGGATTGGATAATGAGTTTCTTTTTTATTTCCATCCTTATTTTCTATGGACATGAAGCTTGAAAGCCAGTCTCCTTGGGTCTCTATCTCTCTACCTATCCTACTACCCCTTACCTTAGAGTAAAGGTTCTGAATGTAAAATAAAGTTATTGGGGAGATTTTAAAATTCTGATGCCCAGGCTGTATCCCAAATCAAATTCATGGTTGGATTTTACTATACAGTAAGGAATGCTTTGATACCATTTTGAATGTAGATGGCTCAGTGGCTTTCTTTGGCTTTCTCCAAGTCCTGCTCAATCCTCCTGAGATGCCCCGAGAATACTGGCCTCCTGAGCAACAGTGGCAGGATCTCAGGAGAGAGAGGGCAGCTGTGGGCTGTGTCTTTTCATGAGTATGCAATAGTCACCTTTGTTTATTATTTCCCCACCCTGGAGACAAATGTGTTGCTCTTTCTGTGTGAGTGTGTGTGTGAGTGTGTTTGTGTGTGTGTGTGTGTGTGTCTGTGTGTATGTGTTTGGAAGGGGTAAGAGCAGTGTAACCACAGCTCCCATCCCCATGCTGCAAGGTAGAGGGAGGAGGGGTGGCTCACACGTGAGTGGGAGCACGGCTTGCGGCAGTCTCGGTAACCGGAGGGGGCGGGCATGCTCTAAGGGAGCAACTTGGAGGAGTTCCTGTGGTCCCAAACACCCATCCATCTCTGCTTGAGTTCCTTCCCAGTTTTAGGTGTCATATGAGTGCTTATATCAGTATAACTCACATCAGCCTTAGTGCCATGGACAGTCCCTAAAGTGAACATCAATTTCTCTGTCACCTGCCGTATTTTGGGTGTACCCTAGGGGCACTTAGCACACCCGGCCAGGAGGCTCAAGCCCATGCCTGTGGATGGCACACATAGAGAATGGACTCTGTTGCTCTTGAAAAGGATTGTTAAAAAATCAAGTTAGCATCTTGTTTGTCAACGTTAAGACAGTTGATGTTTCAGAATAATTGACAAGCATGGAAATCCACTGGAAACAGGAATGTTATTAGGGCCACTGTGTTTGTGAGTGTTCGGATGTGAATTAAACCAATCCATTACACTTGTTTGATGTTCATTGGGGCTGCAATATTTTTATGCAGAACCCGTGAAAGGAGACACAGTTCAGTGGTGTTTATGAGTGACCTTGTCTTGTCCTCTGAATTATGGACAGGCAGCTCAGAACATCAGCAGCTGGAGCTAACAACTGTGCTGTGTTTTCTTCATATTCCGTATTCCTGAGATGCTGCTGCCATCTCGGGCTTAGATTTTGCAGTAGAGAACATGAATGCGGCTTTTCAAATCAGAAATATTTATAGAACGAGGTCCTGATTTAACAACGCTGAAGCGCTGGTCCTGGAAATAATAACACAAGTCAGGAAAGAGAACCTCTCTCCCTATAAAACATCCCTCCAGTGCTTGCTTTCGAGGGGACTTCTTTGTGAAAAATTAATGTTTCCCAGTTTGATCAGAAGGGTTTTAAACTGAAGGTAGGGGGTGGTGGAGTAAAATGCCAGGTGAGCCTATGACACTGACAGGCAGTGCCTGGTTAGGTGCAGTGATGTAGCTAACCCACCCTGGGGGAGTTCCGCTGGCCATTCCACTTCCAGAGGGGAGGTGCTTGATTCTCCATTCCTTGACGTACAAGGAACCCTGAGGAAGGTGTGGACAGGATGTCCCAGAACAAGTGAAGCCAGTCTCTGTGTCCAGCTGGGTCCTCTTTCTGGCCCTGACACAGATGCCCCCATGATGCCCGCCCTCTGCAGGCTCAAGTCCGCCCATGTGCTCGGCCACCACCTGGCCTGCAAGTCTATCCTGGGATGCTGAGGGGGCAGCTCTGGCATCCGACACCCTGGAACCCAGGACATGGATCCCATTTTCTCTCCAAACCCAGGCTATGTTTACATCTTCAAAACACATAAGGCCGACTGTCCCTTCTTTCCTGAAAAATGGAGCTTCATCTCCACTCCTCTGGGCTATATGTCTCCTGGAGTCTCAGAGTCCTTGGGGCTTGGGGGCATTGTGTTCAGAGCTTTGGACATGATTCACAGTATAATCCTAAGGACAAAGTTTTTCTGGCAACCTCATGCTAAAACATGAGAAAACAACAACACAACAACAACAACAAAACAACAACAACATCCCAGCTCGCTCTCATTTAAAATCATTCCCCAGGTCAAATCTCCAGCAAACATCCCTCTAGAGAAGTGAGAATAACATAGTCAAAATGCCCAGGAACCTCAGCAGATGCAGCTGCCAATAAAGTTAAAGTAAATGTAGGCACCGTGAATAGATGTCTAGCATTCCAAATAGAGGTGGTGAGAGT
Organism: Homo sapiens; assembly: GCF_000001405.40. Lineage (NCBI taxonomy): Eukaryota > Metazoa > Chordata > Mammalia > Primates > Hominidae > Homo > Homo sapiens. The sequence continues at coordinate 376,001 of NW_018654718.1, forward strand.
TTGCCTGGCCCTGGCCATACTGCCCTCGAAGACAGCTTAGTGCTGGCAGCATGTTCCGAGAGAAGCACTGACAGAGAAAGACAGAGGAGCATGGAAGAGGATGGGAGAGTGGCTCATGTTCTGGCCTAGAGAAGCAAAGATTCGTAGAGAGGGGAGGAAGAGAATACAGTAACTGTATTGCAACATTTATTAATAATAATAACGACCACATTTTTAACATCTGCTACACCTTAGGCCGTTGGAACATACTAACTCATTTTAATCCTCACAGCAACCCCATGAGGTGGATATCTTTATTCCTATTATACAGATGATGAAACTGAGGCTTGAAGAGAGCGGTTCAGTGACTCGCCCAAACTCACATGCTTAGTGTGGGAAAGTTAAGATTTTGCCACATCCAAGTCCTTTTAGATCCAAGGCCGTGTTCCTTTTTGTAAGCCTCCCTGGTGTGTGGAAGGGAGTACACTTTCTCCGTGAGATGCCAGATAACTGAAAGAGAACTACAGGGAAGATGTCAGAGGAACGAGATTCCACGCAACCTGATAAAGAACTTGCTCATGGTCAGAGTTGTCCAGAGATGGGATGAACAAGCCCAGCTGGGGCTGCATTTCCATCCCTCGGAGGTCTCAGGCAGAGGCTGAGGTACTAAGGTTGAGGGTACTGTGGTGGGTATTTAATACTAAGAGTCCCTCTTAATACTTTCTGTTTTATTACTCTAAAGTAAACTTCCCCAGCACACAGCTCAAAGAGAAGGCCAGTGTAATATGCTGGTTCAATATCCGACGACTTTGAAATAATTCGAGGGCTAACTGGCTCATCTAGTGTGATTTAAGCTCGTAGTTTCCCATTCATGTATGTACTCACTTCTTCAAAAAACACCTTTCGGAGTGCCTCCTTCGTGCCAGGCTCTGCAGATATAGCTGTGAATAACAGATAGTCCCTGTGCAAGGAATCTATAGATGGGAATGGGGAGAGACAGGCAGACAGGTGATTTTCATTCTGTGTGTAAATATAATTAGGAAAGTACAGGATGCTATGGGACACCGAATCCAACTTTGCGGGACAGGGGAAGAAGCCTTAGGAGCTGGCGAGGCGAGGGGGTGAAGAGGAGAAGGAGGTCTGGGCACTGGAAGCGGCACACGTGGAAACGGTAAAGGCCGACGCCGGTTCAGAGCCGCAACCGCGACAGCCCCGTCGTCCACCTCAGGTGCCGGCGCCCCCTGCTGGTGCGCGGAGATGCGCGGAGACCGCAAGGCCCGGGGGCGTGGCCTCCCCTGCGCCGGCGCGTGTGCCCGGGCCCTCCGCGGGGCGCCGGCGTCTGCGCCAAGGCACGTTCTCCTGCTGCTCCAGAACTGCCACCTTCCAAGTCCTGAAGGAGGCCGTTTTCCTGTCATTTGCACCTGGCCGGAGCCATTCTGGATGTTTTAAGGAAACGAGAAAACCATTCTTTCCTCTTACCGGATGATGTGCGATGTCATTTGGAAACAAAGAAGGGCTCTGTTTCTTGGAGCCCCTGGGTTCTGTCTGCAAGAGGGGCAGTCATGAGGCTTGCAAGGCAGGGAGTGGGTAGGATGGTGCTACAAGCGGCCGGGAGGTGATGGGGTGCAGGGAAATAGACATTTCCATTTCTTCCTCCTCCCTTCTTTTCTCCCCAGAATCTCCTGTGCGAACCTCTTCTGTGCAGACACCTTCCCACCCAACCTCAACAGAGCCCTGTGGGCCTCCCACGCTGTGTAAGTGCGCGGACTCATCTGAGTGCCACTAGGGGACACAGCCCAGATTCAAGCTGGGATCCCCATAATATGTGCACCTGCAGCCAGGTGTGCCTATAGAACCACAAATGCGACAGGTGAGGGGATCATCTTATTATTTTCCTACTTCCGAGGCAGGACGGTACTTAAACCATCTCAGACAGATGGTTAACTGTCCTATTTTAAAATATCTCTGGGGAGGACGATTTCACAATTCCCTGTGGCTGTCTGTTCTAGTATTTAATCATGTTCATTACCAGCGAGTTCTTCTTTATGCCGGATCTAAATCTCCACCGTTGTGATTTAAGTCTTTTTCCTTGAGGGTAGACGCTGTGGCTCTTCTGCTTCAGGGGAGGAGAGGATTCTGGTGCTAATTTTGCGGTCTTGTGAATAAGTTATCTCTTGTAACACCTTCTTTGGGGTTTATTTTCTTTACTGGTAAATGGGGTTGGAGGGTGAGTTAGGGATGGTTCCCAAGGACTTCTCAAATGTCATAGCTTTTAGACAAGTGCTGCATTGGTATCGTGTGCAATTCAATACTTAGTGGAAATAATAACGCTTTGTTGCATTGAAAAGCGTGTAGCTGAAATCTGAAATGATGCCACGTAGACCTAGTCCAGAAAGCCATCTATCCCTTAGTGTCTGAGTGGGCCGTGGGAAGGAATGAGCAGTGGAGTGGGCTGGGCCACTCACAGCTGGACCTTCCAGAAGTCACTTCAGGGTAGGCGCTCTGATCATCTATTGCACAGAAAAGGGGAATCAGGCTTTGTGGGTGCTGCCCCAGCCTCTAGCTCTGGAGAGCTCAGAAATGAACACCCAGCAGAGGGCAGTTGTATGGGACAGTGGATTTTCATCCTCCCTCCCCTTTCCTATCTTTTTTTTTGAGACAGAGTCTTGCTTTGTCACACAGGCTGTAGGTGCGATGTTGGCTCACTGCAACCTCTGCCTCTCGGGTTCAAGAGATTCTCCTGCCTCAGCCTCCCCAGTAGCTGCGATTACAGGCATGCGCCACCACGCCCGGCTAATTTTTGTCTTTTTAGTAGAGACAGGGTTTCACCATGTTGGTCAGGCTGGCCTTGAACCCCTGACCTTGTGATCTGCCCTCTTCGGCCTCCCAAAGTGCTGGGATTACAGGCATGAGCCACGGCGCCCAGCCTCCCCTTTCCTATCTTTAAAAAGCAAATGCCCTAGGAAGGGTTATACCTTAAGTCATTATCAGGTAACCCTTTAGTGACCAGATGAGGAAATGGGCTACAGAGTAGCTGCTTAGTCTTGACACTGGAGGGGTTAGCACAGGAGGATTCGGGGTACCCTGGGAGGAAGGTTTGCTAACAGCAAAACAAAGGCTCCACACCAGCGGCAAGAGACCAAGTTCACTCATTTCCCCTTGTTTTCAAAACCTTCTTGTCTGCTTACTTTGCTATGTATGTCCTTAGGAGCTGGTTCTTGCTCCAGGTGGCATGAGTTACCTTGCTTTAGGGGGCAGTTTTTAGGCAGGATTCATTCTAGGCAAAGTTCCACCAGCCAAAGCTCTCTGAGCATCCTGCCTCATCTATACATAGGAGTAAACAGAGCTTCAGCCAACGACTGGATCACATCATGAGACGGAGTAATCTGCTATTTACTTGTATTCTCTTACCTCCTCAAGTTGTTTGAGACAGAAATAAAGACTTCCTTGTTTGGTAGGCATGGGAGGAATTTTAATCTTCTGCACATGTAAATGTGAGATTGTAGGATTTCTCTTGCCTTTATTACTGGTATCATCAAACACTGCATTGGGCTCACTGTCCGCTAACAGCAATTCTTGTATTATTATTTCAGAGTTAGCTGTGAGTTAAAGTATCTTCGGGCCCCACTTGGTCTTGAAATTGTTAAAAGGCATTGGGTACACCAAAAATGTCCTTGGGCCTCTGAAGGGGAGAAAAGGGTCAGAATGGTCCCAACTCAGATGCAAGTCTCCTGGGAAGGGACGTGTTCCCCACTTTGTGCAGGTCAGGCAGGGGTGCACTGCAGAACTGGTTTCCACCATCGTACCAGTCATGGAAGGGTTTCCATCAGCTCAGGATTGTAATTGTGTCCCACTGGAGGAACAGCACGAAGTTCTGAAGATACTTGTGCCTTCTATATAACCCTCACTTCTCAGAGCATGGTCTGGGGTAGAGCAGCATCAGCCTCACCTGGAAGCTTATAAGAAATCCAGAATCTCAGGCTCTACCCAGATCTACTGAATCAGAATCTGTATTTTAAAAATAACCCCAGGGGATTCTTATGCACATTTAAGTTTGAGGCCCCCTGGTCTAGCCCACTGGAAAACAGAGTCCTTCTTGGTGGATTTCGAGTGTATTGTTCTAGGCAACGTTGTAAAGCAGGTGAGGCTTCTCTTCGGGACCACCGACTCTATTTTCAATATTCTTTTCTCTCATTAAAGCTTCCTTTTCTCTGCATTTCCCTTCACTCCCTCCCAAAAGCACCCAGACAAAACCCTACTGACGAAGACTGTGCACTCAACATAGCCCAGGTCCCTGACATACTGGAGAAAAGAGACATGATTAAATAATTCCTATGAAGCTGTTAGTGACTTAGGATTTGCAGGGTTCTTTCTCATATGGATATTGCACTCTAAAATAGGGTACTTAATGAATCACTGTTTAACCTAAAGATTATATTTCCTTTCATAGAATTCGAGTCACGGTGGCACTCTGACAGAGATTGCAGATATCTGGGGATAGGGTGACTTTTATAATCACTAATAGGATGCTATGTGGGTGACTACTTAATCCGACTATGTAACAGACTGGACCCCCAAGCTTTGGGTGACCCCCAAAACTTCCCAGCTCAGTAAGCCCTCATTATTGCTCACAGACACTGAATTCTTAGTGCTGCTTCTCAGATACTTCTTTCTTATCTTTATTATTTTGCTATGTTTGGCCACTTAAGATACAGAGTCCAGTTTTCAAAATAAGGAATGGATTTTAGGAGAGTTTTTGATAAGTCAAAGAAACATAAAAGAAGAGAATTGTTGAGATATGATTCAGGAACTATTTCTGGAGATAGCTGAACCCATGCTTAATAGGGTGCTAGTTTTGCCGGGCAGCTTTGACATGTGACAACTGTTTCTCCTTTTAATTTCCAGTTATTGTAGAAATAAATCTGGCTTACATGGTATTTCTCCTTTTTATTGCTTGACCTGATGTTTTTTTCCCCATGCAAGTCACTTCCTAGCAATTCACTCCAATATTACAGCAACACCCTGACTGTCCTGTGCCCAGGTATGTTGACAGGTGAAATCCCTTAACATAAATTTTGTCAAAAAAAAAAGCCTGTAAAAGACAGATGCTGGGAAGTGGAAATTGATAAATCCAGGTGTTACAAATGGGACACTGTTAAATGCAAGGATTGCAAATGTTATATAAGTAAACACAATGTCCATAGGTAGGAAATTGCAAAAGACAGGTGCTGTGAATATTGGTCTATGAGGCCAACAGACAGCCCTTTGCAAATAACATGGGCCTTTTAATAGACAAATAAGAGCTGAAACTTTCATGCAGAGTTCCAATCCCCTGGTAGAGGATCTTTTTGGCTAAGTAACTCACTAAACAATGATGAGAGGACAAGTGTAACAACCTCCCTTTAAACTAATCTCCCTGGGTAACCTGCCAGGGAGTTTTTCCAGGAACATTAGCTACCAGCTCAAGAGCAGCCTTTCATGTAGATACTTTTATGAGATGATTGATAGAAGTAGGGCAGGTCTCTTGGTTTCAAAATTTCTCTTTTACCAGCCTGTAATATGCCTGAAATTGCACCATTAGCAATATATTTTTTGGATTAATTCTCTACCACCAACAGGATAGATAGAGCAATCATTCATTTATTCATCAGATGTTTATTAAGCACTTACTGTGAGCCAAGTACTATTCTTGGTAAAGGAAATTCAAAGGTAAGTACAACATCGTTCTTGCCCTTGAGATGTTGAGAGTCTAGTTGGGAATACAGGAGGTAAACAAATAACTACAGCAATATAACTAGTGCTTTGATAGAGATAGCGGTAGGCTCTATGGGAACACAGAGGAAGAAGAACTTGACCCGGGACTCTTGAGCTGAGTCTTAAAGGATGAGTAGGAGTTTGCACACAGATGCAAAGGATGGAGGTCTGCAGTTTGGGTGTGGGAGGGGAGAAGGAATAAGGGATGATTTTGGACCATTGGGCCATAGGGGTGAGCATCCCTGTGCCTGAGCTGGGATTACAGTTCTTGGGTTCCTGTGGGGCATCATGTCAGTGTTGGCTGCCTATATATGTAGAGAGAGTGCTTCTGGAGATGGGGATGGGGGTAGGATTTATGCAAAGAGGAGATGGAGGATGGCAGAGACCAATGCATCTACTTGGATGCCATGGAAAGCCTGACGGCACTAGATTTTTCTTTCAAGTCATCACCTCTTCATTCAACTTGCTTTCCCATCCAGGTACTTTTCTACCCAGCTGTGGCACACCCATGACTTCAGCAGGGAGAGAGTTAAGACTTTGAGGATGGACAGCAAAACTCCATCTATTTTTTTTTTGTTCGTTTGTTTCTGTTTTTAACATTCATGATTTGGGTATTGTAGAAACTATCAAAGATGGCTTAAATGAGGTCTTTGTGTGATAGGAAATGTTCTTAGCTCTGTGCTTCCCAAACTCTTTTAACATTGAACTGCTCTCTGCAGAACATCCATCTTGGTGAGCCTTCACTAAATGCATAGAAGTGACAGCAAATAATGTAGCTGATCTAACTACCTCCCCTATAGGATTTACTTTCAGAGTTTTAAGGGAAATTTTCAAGCAGAAAATGGTTACATGGATAAAATTGTTGAGATTTAATTAGACTTTTATAAGAAATGTGAGAGAATTTTGTTATCAAAGTCTAAGCGGTAGGCTGGGTGATGTGGAGATGTCGAATACCTTGACTTTCACTTCTGAAGAACTGGTTTTAAGCATCCTCTTTTCAAATAGACAATTAATTCTTACATAAGAGATGGTGACCAACTAGTCTCTTTTTCCAAAGAGGAATAAAAGACAAAAAGAAAATGGTTGGAATTGTGGTTAATGATATTCAGGTTGGACCAAGAAAGATTATTGGGTGCTTCAATGGATTGTCAAAGATGACAGAAAATTCCATCTTTGTGGTAATAAGTACCCTGCTATGTCTATACTTTTCCTTGACAAGCTTTTTCATACTAACATTTCACTTTGTACTCAGAATCCATTCCTTGAAAGTTCCTTGGTTTATGGTTGAGGGAACTGATACTCAAAGAACATTAAGAGACCTGGCTAAAGTTACACAGCCAAGTGGTAATAGATACAAGCTTTAAACTCAGAGTTCTTTCTAATACCTGACACTTTTGTCTTCTAGGCTGTAAATGAAAATACAGCAGAATCAGATCTGTCCAATAAATCCTGATTGAAGGCCAGAACTGAAAGTATTTCTTCTGAGGCTGAGAAAAATTCCATCTCAAACATTGAAAGGGTAGAAATAGGCAGTGAAGTCCTAGTGCCTGCTCTGTTTGGCCTTTCTGGGTTAAAAACATACTTAAAATTGAGTGACTCTGTTGTGGAATAAAATCCAAACAATCTGGGTTGAAAAAGACTGCTTAGGGGTGTGTGGGTCACAGTGATGCTAAGGGTATTCTTTTTTTTTTTTTTTTTTTTTTTTGAGACGGAGTCTTGCTGTTTCGCCCAGGCCAGAGTGCAGTGGCGCTGTCTTGGCTCACTGCAAGCTCTGCCTCCCAGGTTCATGCCATTCTCCCGCCTCAGCCTCCCGAGTAGCTGGGACTACAGGCGCTTGCCACCGCGTCCGGCTAATTTTTTGTATTTTTAGTAGAGACGGGGTTTCACCATGTTCGCCAGGATGGTCTCGATCTCCTGACCTCGTGATCTGCCCGCCTCGGCCTCCCAAAGTGCTGGGATTACAGGCATGAGCCACTGCGCCCGGCCCGCTAAGGGTATTCTTGATATCCGCTGGGATAATGTGACCACAGGACACCTTGCTTGCTTTCTCCAAGAATCTCAAGAAGACTACAAACCCCAAGAAGGGAGGCATCTTGTTCAAGATCATGTTGGGGATAGAAGACAGAGTGAGAATGAGAAAGCAGAGATGTTCATTTGTTTTATGAACATTTACTTATCTGCCAAGGTCTGTAGCCCTGGCCTTCCCTGTGAAGAGCAGCAGCCTGAACCAACGTTCAGTGGCCGGGGCTGCCGAGCCAGGACCTTACGGGGCTGCAGCCTGTGCTGACCCAGGGCCTCCACAGTGCTTTGCTTGCAGATCCCCCCAAAAGAGTTGTGAAAAAGTCTGTGCCTCATCATGCGTTTTCAAGTTGACATCCCAAAAGTTTCATGATAATTTTAAATGGTTGTAAATGATGCAATTTCTGGTGCTTTATAAATCTTGACAGTTTAACATAAAATTGTTGCATTACTCTTTTAAAGTTTCCAATAAAATATAAACACTGCAGCTATTTGATACCTTCTATTATGTATTCAAAGATATATAAAAGCCCTGTTTTTAACAGTCAAAGATTTTTCATCATTTCTTTTTCTCCTTGGATACATATTTACATTCCATTTCCTTCTTAAAATTTTACCCTAATACGATATATTTTTATGCTGGAAAGTCTTTTACTGATCACGCTACCATATTACTCTGCAACAAAAAGAGGCTTATAAATTAAAATTTAAAATTTAAAAATTTTATAAACATAAGGCTTTGTGTTATACGCTTCTTTTGGATTGAATTTTCATCACAGATACTATTAATGTACAACTGAGCAAAACAACATATTTACATTATGAGCTTTTCGAGGTAATTCTTAATATAAAATGTACCAGAAATAATATATTTTACATGATCGAAGGGATATGTTGTCCGATTCAAGAGGCTTTCTAGACACCTGTATTTCAAATGTCTCCTTGTCTGGGCACCAGTATTTCCTAGATTTCCTTGTTTGGTGTCCTGGGGGCATTCACACCACAGGGATATGGACCTGGAAGGATGCAGGGTGAATGACAGGTGTGCTTCTCTGCTGAAGTGTAGGATAAGGATGCCCCTTTGAGAGACAGGAGAAGCGGCAGGTGGGCTCCAGGCTCTGCCCCGGGTTGTCCTCCGGTGAACGTGAAGACTGAGCACATATGAAAGTTGAGGGTCTGGAAATGAATTCTATTAAATCATGACTTGTACACAAGTTTCAAGATGTCCTACACTACTCCAATCACTTTCGAAGGCCACTTGGGAAATTGTTAGCATGTTCTTGATTCATCCACATAAGAATAGTTTGCATAAGCTATTCAATATAAATACAAGCATAAATATGCCTGTACTTTGAGAAATATGCCTGTACTTTAAGAGGAAGACGTGTTTTGGGGTGTTTCATCTGGATAATCAGTTGCAATAGACACTGTCACCCGTTTATCTGGAACAAATAGAACTATTATGTGCTACATAAATTATAAATGATTGCAATATTACTTCATCGCAAGATCATTATGGTTACAGCCTGCCCTCCTATGAATTAGAATCATTGACTGATATTATGCTGATTGGAACAGAAGTCAATTCAATGCATCAGAACTTGGCAAATCCCTAACCACACATGGTTCACACACATGCGGTTGTTGATTTATTCCAGCCTGTTAGTCAAGATAGTTAACATACTATGGTAATATTTTCCACATTCCTGGAGCTTAATATAATACAAATCTATTTCTTGATCATACTATATCCAGAGGGGGCTAGTGAGAGGTTCTGGTTCACAAAGTCACTCAGGGACTCAGGGTTGATGGATGCTTCTCTATCTTGCAGCTGTACCATCTGGATAATGTGGCAGGAGAGGGGAGAGACAGAAGAATTGAAACAGGTCTTCCATCTCCTCAACCTGGAGGTGACACAGTCACTTCTGCTTACATTTCATTCGTCAGGACTAGTCCAATAGTTGTGTCCAAATGCAGAATGGCTGAGAAGCTCACTCTGCCATGTGCCCCAGAGGAGAAGAAAACAGAATATTCTTTTTTTTTTTTTTTTTTTTTTTTGAGACAGAGTCTCGCTCTGTCGCCCAGGCCGGACTGCGGACTGCAGTGGCGCAATCTCGGCTCACTGCAAGCTCCGCTTCCCGGGTTCACGCCATTCTCCTGCCTCAGCCTCCCCAGTAGCTGGGACTACAGGCGCCCGCCATTGCGCCCGGCTAATTTTTTGTATTTTTAGTAGAGACGGGGTTTCACCTTGTTAGCCAGGATGGTCTCGATCTCCTGACCTCATGATCCACCCGCCTCGGCCTCCCAAAGTGCTGGGATTACAGGCGTGAGCCACCGCGCCCGGCCAAAAACAGAATATTCTTGCTAACTAAACTATAGTAGAAGTTGATATGGGTGGCATTGGTCAATTGGTCATTGGTTAAAAAAATGATTACCAAGAGTTAGTGATTAATAATAAAATAATGGGGTTATATTCATCACAAAAAATCATTATGTAAGCAGGACCGAACATGACAAAGGCAGAAAATTTGAATCTGCTATGTAAAGAGGCAAAAATGTAAACCTTGGGAGATTGAAACTTACCTTCAAGTATGACTTTGACTGAAGGAAGACCTATCTAGCTGGCAGAGGTACTTCAGCTGGGTCATACGAATACATGACTGGAAGTGTCCTGCCATACTTGACAACTCTGCCCAGCTCTTGTTTCCACCAGGCTCCACTTGGCCACTAAGTGGAAGTCATTCGGCAAGTTCATGAGAGTCACTACTGAGAAGATATCCCTTTGGTTGCCCTCGTGACTTTGCCTATTTCTAGATGTATTATGGAGCAATGACCTCTCTAGCAGGGCGGTGGTGATTAGTTGTAACTTCCCCGCCCCCAGGTACTTGGAAAATGGCCGAATCAACAACTTAGAGTGAACTAGCCAAGTGTTAATTAGTTATATGGCATTGAGGTTTACCGTTCCAGGAATGTAAATATTTGGAATTATTCCTATCAGTGTTATCTATATTCTTTTAGATTTCAGGGATGGGACCGCTGCAGGTTGACCCAAGGGTATCCCTATAAAAGATCCTTGGAATCTACAATTACAAGAGTGCATCATCTTTAAAAAAGAGGTTTCAGGGAACAAATATCCCTTTTTGTCTATTGAGGTGGCCTGGTCCCAAATGTCATATCAAGGAAAGGGTTACCTGACCTGTGTAAGACTAGGAACCAGAAATGTTCCTGGCTGCATAACCCTAGTCTCGCATGACTTCTGATACTGTAGGAAAGCAAGCTGGAAATTAATGTGTGGAATTCTAAGAGAGATGCAAGCAAAGTGACCATTTGGGAAGGAATAATCCAGAATGCAAATACAAACTGAGCCGTCATTTATTATTCATCCTTGGGTGAGAGGGAGAAGAACCAGGGGTCAGAGAGAGAAGACATTACAGATTGAATGCCAGCTGAAATATGGAAGGAAAGGTGAGTTTGCCAAGAGTTATATTAGTAGGGGGACTGTGAATAGAATGAGGGTTGATGGCTGATTTCTGATGGCCAAATAAATGTGTTTACTCTTAGGACCGTGTTTTGAAAATGACAGAGAACTTAGAATGCATTCACAGAAGGGTAAAAAGAGAAGAGAGAACATTTATAAAGCTAATTAGAAGAGGAAGGTTCTGAAAGCCCTACTGAAAAGAACACTTTTCAGCTTCCTTTGAGAAGACATTTTCTATCTAGCTCCATTGAATACGTTTGAACTGGCCTGGAACAGTTAAGAAGGTAAAGGGGTTAGGGAGGTTGAGGATCAGAATGGTCTTTGGGGTTTAAAGCCAGGTCCACTTCTACCCAGCTGAGTTGGCTTGGCCAGGTTACTGAACCTCTCCAAGCATTCAATTTCTCTAATTAAATAGCCGAGGGTGATTGACTGAAAGGATTGTTTAAGTGTAAGACCAAGTTCTGTGGGAAGAAGCATCCTCCATAGTGCAGCACCTTCGTCACCACTCACTTAAGCTCTAACATATGGCAATAACTTCTGTATTATAAGTGAAGAAACTGAGCCTCAGTGAGAGAAAGAGGTTGCTAAAGTTTCAGGAATTAGCAAATGTTGGACTTGAGATTCAAGTGAAAATGGGTGAAGAAACATTCCTGTAGGTTAGGGTAGCGCAGTGGGTTGAATAGCAGCCGCTCAGAATGTAAGTCCATGTCCTAATCCCCAGAGAGTGTCAGTGTTAGCTTATCAGGAAAAAGGGTCTTTGCAGATGTAATTAACTTAAGAATTTTGAGATGAAGACATCGTCTGGGATTATCTGGGGAGCCCTAATTCCAATGACAGGTGTCCTTGTAAAAGCCAAGCAGAAGGAGATCTGACTGCCAGAAGATGAGGAGGCAAGGTGACCATGGAGACAGTGTGATGTGGCCACAAGTCAAGGAATGCTGCCAGCCAGCAGAAGTTGGAAAGGGACAAAGAAGGGGTTCTCCCTGAGAGCCACTGCAGGCAGCACACCCTGCTGGATTTTCAACTTCTGGCCTCAAAACTGTGAGAGAATAAATTGCTGTTGTTTTAAAACACCCAGCTAGTGGTAATTTGCTATGGCAAAAACTGAATACATGTGGGAACGGCTCGCACTTTGTGAAGGCCTTTGAGCACCTAAAAAAGTGGACACAATAGTGGATAGGTCTGAGCCTTGACTATGTGGTTCCTTCTGGGGGTCAGCAGGTCACCCAGATGAAACAAACTTTCTCAGGGCCTTAACAAGTAATGAAGGTACAGCTTTGGTGACTGAGCGCTTCCCTTGGTATCAACTTCTCTTTCCAAAGAGCCTCAGGAGATGAGGCCACACATTCCCATTTTGCAGATGAGCAAACAGAAGTCCAAGATAGTTACATAATTAGCATGCACCACTGGCTTGCTGAGGTAGAGGGCCATCATTTGAATTCACACATGGTAGATGAATTCTCCCACCGGGAGAGCCAGTCCCCAGGATCAGGCCATAAATAACCTCGCTGCGTTCTGTCTTTGGGGGCTAAGCATTGCTGAAAATCACAAGGCTAGTCATGTTAGTCATGTTACCACACCTTGTTATCCTAACAACTTAGGCTGCTGTAGAATAAGCTTGAATTCTCCTCACACTCCGAGTACTCTGGCTTCCCCTTGGGACGGACGCTGGGGCTGAGCTGCCAGGAGAGTTTTCCCTAAGTGTAGTGTATAACAGCCCAGTGGGTTAGGTGGGATCTGGTCCATCCTATGGCTTCTAGATAAACAGACAGGAGGAAAGATGGAGATGTGATGGAAGGGAGAACTCTGCCAGCAGAGGTTTTTAAATACTAACATAAGTTGTGAAGGCCTCAGCGTTATTATGGGTCTTCCAAAAGAAGGAGAAAGGCCATTCTGCACCCTCTTCAGCTTTGCTCTCTGAACCGTGGGTTGGGGGATTTCCCCCAAAGCCTTCTTCTCTCCTCCATTCTAGTTCTAGTGCCTGAAATGTTGCCCACAGTAGCGGCCAGTGCACGGCCTCTGGGTTTGTGTAGACTTGGGTTCAAATCCTGATTCTATAATTTGCTGACAAAGCAATCTTCCGCAAGAAAGTTAACCTCTTAGCTACTGTTTTGCACCTGTACAATGGTGGTAAGTCTCTTTGGCAGGGCTGTGGTGAATTCAGGGCACATAGTAGATACTCAACAAATCTTTTTCACAGGGGTGAAGGATGATAACAGCTAACATTAAATGAGCACACTGTGCACCCCACACACTTTACTTGGACTATTTCATTTCATTCTCACAACCACCCTATGGAGGTAGGTACCATTATTAGCTTCATATTGTAAAAACTGGGTGTTAAGAGGTAAAGCCAGGTGTCCACATGCCCATAGCTCATAGCAGGCAGAACCTGGCTCTGTGTCTGGCCTGTCTCCAAAGACCAGGCTCTTCGCTGTATTTAAAGTGCCTATCATAGCACCTGATACTCACCAGGCATATTAAATGATGATAATTAGTATGAATTCAACAAACATATATATTGAGGGCAACTATGTGCCAGGCACTATTTACCCATAAAAATATCTAAACAAGTAACCTGGTCACAGGTGGGAGCACTACACTGTTGCATCAGCCAGCTTTGGTCAGGGAAGTGGTACCACCGTGAGTGATGTGGAGGAAGGGATTGATTGCAGAGATTAGACCTTATCCAGTTGTGGAAGCTGGTGAAGAATCTCTAGAAGGCTGCTGCCTCTGCATCTGAGGATGGGTGTGAAGTTGCCGTAATGCCAAAAGGCCGGAGGAAAGCAGGACATGATGTGGGAGAGAGTGAGGCCAAAGTGGAGCCCACAAGGACAAATAAAACCCTTGTTTGCCTTTCACCACTTCCGATCTCGACCATGAAACATAAAGCTGGAATCTTGACTACAGAGCTGGACACGTACTTTGCCCAGGCCTCAGAGTAGCTGAAGGAGGAGATCTAGCAGGAGCTGGAGGAGCTGTGGGCTCCACCATCAGGGTGAGCCAGCAATTCGGTGACAATGAGCGCATGCTGCTGCTTCATGTCCACCTTCCAGAGGCTCCACAAATACCTGTTGTGGACAACCTTAACGCAGAACCACATAAGGAAGGCAATTCTGGGAAATAGGTTCCAGCTTAGTGAAGTTGACCTAATGCAAAACCACCACACTGATGTTCCCATCGCTGGCCTTTGAGAAGGAACGGTTGTGCGTGGCCCTATGTGGAGATAAAGAAGGTAAGGTGTCAGAAGGCACATTTAAGCTGGGCTTTCTGACTCCACTCTTCCTACTCTGGCTTGCTAATCAACTTTACCTGGTTTGAAATGCCCACCCTTATATACAGGCAATTATGTGGATTAGAAATTAAGGATGAAACATCTTCCCAAAAGGTCACTGTTAAGATTTACCCATCATCTTGGTGCTCCTAGCTCTCTACGACCAACACAGAGTGGCTGACACTTCAACCAGGCAGCTTGGATTGCAATGAGGACAATGCAATGCATTTGGGCTGGAAACACTGCACAGGTAATTTTTGCAGGTGGGTGGCAGCATTTAGTGCTGAGTGGCTGTTGTGGTGGGCAGAGGGAGAGAAATAGAAGGGACACCTTGCAGACTTGATGGGAGACTTATTCTGAAGAGATTGATTAGCAGTGTTGTCCCTGGCTAGGCAGTGGGGGGAGGGCTCTGTGTCAAGAGGTGTGTGTGTGCTAAGGGAAGAGGAAGAGCCTGCTTGGCAACCTGGCTTTTCAAGCCTTGGACCAGACAGGGAAGAAGAAGAAGAAGAAGAAACATTTACGTGTAATCCCACCTCCCAAAGACAGCTACTGTCAACACTTTTTTTCCCCACCTGCCCCAGATTGAGGATACTGTCAACATTTTGGTGTGAACCCTATTTAGTCTTTTCCCTAGTTCAAATATAAACCTGACTTTAAAAGGAAAATGAAATCATAGTGCCTGTAATATTTTCGTGACTTGTTTTTCTTTTAATGTAAATCATCTTTTTCCACGTTACTAATATTCTTCCTTAATATTGTTCATGTCTATGTAGAATTTAACTGTATGAATGCACTCTAGTTCATCTATGCGGTGGTTAAGAGCGTAGGCTCTGAAGACTGCTAGGGTTCAAATCCCAGGTCTTTCAACATCAACTGGCTGTGAAACATGGGCAAGTGAGTAAACGTTTCTGTGCTTTGGTTTCCTCACCGGTAAAATGTGGATAAAAGCAATTCCTTCACAGGGTTGTTTGGAGGAGCAAATGACTTTATGTATGTGAGGCACTTAGAATAATCTCTCAGTGTTATTATTTAACCAACATTTTTGTTGAATATTTAGTTCATTTCCAGGTTTTCACTCTTACAAATATACTGTAATTAACAAATTCAGTGCACTCTTAATTGCTTCCAAAGAAAATATCTGTGGTCACATTTAAAAATCTTTTCCAGAGTGAATCATGCACTCAACACAAATTGAGTGTCCATATGTACAAGGCATTATGTTATGCACAAAGAATAAACACAGTTCTCTTCTTGAAGACACCTAAAATGTAGTAAGGAAGAGGAGAGAAAAAGGCTCATGCAAATATAAGCAAAATACTATGCAGAAAGAGGGCACACATGAAGACCTATGGGAGATTCTTTAGCTGGAGAATCAAATCATTCAATGACAGAGAAATGCAGACTCCCTCCTCTGCTCCCACCACCTCCCAAATCCCCAAATCGGAATTCACAATGGTCTCCTTTTGTCATGTTGAGAATTTGTTACCTCGAAAGAGCACACCCAGGGCTGTGTTCCAAAGTTAAAAGCTGGGATATGGGCGTATACTGCAAGACCAAATATTTAGGAAATACCTTTTTCTGGAAAGGAAAGAACACATTTCACAGCTGAAAAGAGAAGTGAAAAATGAAACTAAAGAAGCGTGGAGGTAATATTTACTTGCTAGATTTATACAGTGCCTACCTTTAGAAAAGCTGGGCTATAAATCCTGCACGTGACCCCCTAACACACATACACTCTGTTCCCAGTGACTTGGCTCTTTGTGAATTATCTGCAGCATATTTTGCAATCATTTCACCCTGTTCATCTCCCTGCAGCCCTGCCCCCACCAGCTCACCCACACTTCACCCCTCAGAAGAATGAGTAAGATAATAGTAGAGACTGAGTTTGGTGTCAGATATGCCTGGGCTAAGTCCAGGCTCCACATTTACTCAGCTGGGTGACCCTGGACATTGTAATTCAAGTCTCGAAGTCTCAGTTTCCATATCTGTAAAATGGGGATAATCATGACGATAACACATAGCTTATTGGATCGCAGTGAGGATTAAATAAGATAAAGGCTGTAAAGGGCCTATCACAGTACCTGGCACAGAGCACTCAGTAGTGTTAGCTATTATTATTATTCCTGCACTTGTGTGTAAAGGGGATGCAAACCAATTTTACTATTCATTTAAACAAATTATCAGCTACAGCAGCCTCTGAAACACAGGCCTATAATGCATCCTAAAGTAAATGCGAAATATTTGAATTTGTGTCATTTCTAATTTTCTCTATTAAGTTGAAAATTGAGTATGAACACACCAGAATGGCAAAGAGGCCAGATTTCTCTTGTAACCAACAAAATTGAGATCGCTATTAACATTAGAATGAAGATGACCGAAACAGCTTAATACTTCTCCCAGGGGCACTTGCATTTTACACTGGGGCCAGAACCACTGGACAAAGGAAGGAAACAGGAGTGGTAAGGTTTCAGGTACCAAGGGACGGACAGATGCATTTTCATAGGGGGAATTGCAACACTCCTGAAAGTATCTCAGGCACTCACTCATTTATTCAATACATATTATGTACTTACTATCTGCCAGATACTGCTCTAGGCACTGGTGAACAAAATAGATGAGACACCTGCCTTCATGGGGGTTACATTTTAGTGGGGGGATACAGACAATAAGCAATAAAGTTAATGAATAAGTAAACTATATAGTATGTTAGACAGGATTTCAGTAAGAGTAAGGGGAGATAGGGAGCGCTGTGGGGGTCTGTCAGTACTGAATCAGGATGAGGTCCTGGTGAGCCTCACTGAACAGGTGAGATTTGCGGAAAGCCTTGAAGAAGCCGAGGGAGTTTGTGTTTCAGGCAGTGGGAATAGCTAGAGCAAAGGCCTTACAATGTGCGTGTGTGTTGAGGGGTCATTCCTGGAGTGTCTGGGGCCCAGCCAGGAGGCTAGTGTATCCCGAGTGAGGGGGACAGCAGTAGGAGATGATGTAAGGGGATTTGTACTCAGCCATTCCTGTAGGTCACCACAAGGACCATGGCTTTTACTAAGTGAAATGGGTAACCATGGATGGTTTTGAGCAGAGGAGTGCTGGGATGTGATGTTTTAAATGGGTTACTCCGACTGCTGTATTGAGAAAATACCAGAGGGGAGAGGGAAGGTAGACCAGGGGGATCAGCCACAGGAGAAACCTGGGTGAAGGATGCTGGTTCAGCCCCAGGTGGTGGCAGTGCAGGAAATGAGAAGTGGTCAGGTTCTGAATTCACCTGAAGGTAGGGTCAACAGGATCTCCTGATGGACTAGACGTGGAATGATGAGAGAAAGGAGTCAAGAGTGACTCCAGGATTTTGAACTGAGCAACTAGAAGTATGGGATGGTCATCGACTGCGATGGGGAAGGCTGTGTGAGGAGGAGCAGGCTTTGAAGAGATCAGGAATCCAGTGTTTGGATGTATTAGGCTTGAAATGTCTATCAGACGGAGTCAGCTGTAGTCTGGAATTCAGGAGAGAGGTCTGGGCTGGAGATAGACATTTGATATAGACAGCTGCTGAAAGCCACGGGAATGGTTAGGGTCACCCAGGGAATGAGGGTGGATGTGGAGGCGAGGAGGTCTTATGTGGAGGCAGGTAGAGGTTTTCCCCAAGAGGGAGTTGTAGGCCCCCCTGAAAGGGATCACGAAGCCCCACTGGAGGGGAGCCCGGTCCTGCAGGGGGTGCCGTGGAACTTGCTGTGGTTGCAGGGAGTGATGGAGGGAAGTGTTTGCTTCTCCGGGAAGGAGAGGTGCTGGATAGATTCCTGCCGGAGTTGCAGAAATAATTAAGAGAAGTAGGTAAGGATATCCTAGTAGAACACGTGCTCGGCTGCCTCCAAGGAATTATTAAACCTGGGTCTAGGAATCTGTTCAGACATCTGGGCACCGCTGCCTCGCCTACCAGGCTCCGCCTCGCTGCCCCTCCCGCTTCCCCTCCCCTCCTCTATCTGTCACTTCTACAACCGCTCTGATTATAATTGATCAAACAGAATCACGGAATCACGGCTCATCTTGCCGTTTTGTTCAGTGGCCCGATCCGAAACGAGACTCTGGTAGTCGGGCAAATTGTATTCCTCCTCCTTGGAATTCCGCTCACAGAGGCCTTCCCGGCGTGGCCGGCCCAGCAGGGACGCGCCGCCGCAGCGGAGGAGAGAACGCGGGCGGGGGGCTGCAGGCCGGCGCGGGGGGCGCGACGCCGCCGGCGGGGCGCGAGGGGGTGTGTCCGCGCCGCGGCCACCGCGGCCACCGCGGCTGGCGCCCGGGTGCGCCGCGCGCCCCGGCCTCCCCGGGGGCTCCTCACGCCGCCCCTCGCCCGCCGGCGGCCGGGGCCCGCTCCCTTTGACGTCATGCGGGCGGAGGGCTCGCTCGGGCGGCGCTGCCGCGGGCGCCGGGAGGGGGCCCGACTTCGGGCTCCAGTCCGCCGCCGTGCGCCCCGCGCCGTGCGCCCGGCTCCCTGCGCGCCGCCGCAGCCACATCTGGAAGCGTTCAGCGCGTCTGCCTCCGGCGCGCCGGGCGGGCGGGCGGGCGGCGCGGGCAGGGGCGGGCGCGGGCGCGGCGGGGCTGGGCCGGGGGGAGTGAGCGCGGCGCTCTCGCGCGCCCGGTGTCTCCCTCTCGCTGCCTCTGCAGAAACAGCTCCTGCCAGAGCGGCGCTCGGCGCGGCGCGGCGGGCCCGGAGCGGCGGCGGCGGCTCTTCCTGCCTCCGCGCCCAGGAGTTGCCGGCTCCCTTTGACAGCAGAGAGCCGGGCAGGGGCCTCAGGAGGACTCGCTGGGAGTGGGCAGAGGCGCCTCGGCCCCTGCCGGCCCAGGCGGGCCCCGCGCGCCCCCCGCCCCTCCTCTCCGCCTCTTCTCGCCCTGCCTCTCCCGATTTATTTTTTCAAATGGTGTAGCCGCCGGAGGTGCGGTGCTCAGTTCTTGGAAGGGGCCCGGATGTACTGAGGATGCGTTACAGTTTCACTCGAGGAGGCAGTAGTGGAAAGGAGCAGTTTTTGGGGTTTGATGCCATAATGGGAATCAGGTAATCGTCGGCGGGGAAGAAGAAACGCTGCAGACCACGGCTTCCTCGAATCTTGCGCGAAAGCCGCCGGCCTCGGAGGAGGGATTAATCCAGACCCGCCGGGGGGTGTTTTCACATTTCTTCCTCTTCGTGGCTGCTCCTCCTATTAAAACCATTTTTGGTCCATGGTCAATGAGAATACGAGGATGTACATTCCAGAGGAAAACCACCAAGGTAAGGCTGGACCCCGCCGCCTCGCCGGGGCTCCCTGCCTTTTCCACCGGGTTCCTGCCCTACCCGCGCTCCCCGCGGCCCCGGGGCCGGTCCCTGCGGAGTGGCCCGGGGCCGCGTCCGCGAGGGGCGCCTCCGCCTCGTCGGAGCGCCCGGGAGCCCGGCGGGACCGGGGCCCGAACCGCCGCGCGAGACGGAGCGGAAAATTCCCGCCCCTCCCCCTCCGGGCCCCAGCTTCTCCAGAGCATGTGTTTCCTGTGAAATTCCAGGCGAGGGGGGAAAAGTTCCCCAAGTGGCTGCCGCCGCCTCGCTTTCTCGCGTCCGCCTGGAGAGCCCGGCTGCCTGGCCAGCCGCGCGGGGGGCAGAGGGCGCCGGCGCCGCGGAGCCCAGAGGCCCGGGGTCCCTCGCCCGGCTCGGGGCGCGGCTGGGAGCGCGCGCGCGCGCACCCTGCGCCGGCAGAGCCCGGCGCCCACGGCCGCCCCTGGGGCGCCCTCGCGCTGCCCGGCGTCCACTCTCGTCCAGGCGCCCCTGCCCTGGGCGGCGCGCTCCAGGTGGCGGGTGGGGGCGGCGGTGCAGATGTGAAGCCCAGCGCGCCCCTCTGGTTCCCCCTCTGTAGGTCCCCTTCTTCCTCTCTCCCTCCCTCCTCCGCCGCTCACCTACACCCACCCACCTCTCCACTGCTGTTGACCCCGAGCGCGCCCACGCCGCGTGTGTTCTCATTCGCACCCACATGTGGGCTAGCACCTGAGGATGGAAGCGGCGAGGAGCCGGGCGGTGTGTGGGCTTTGCTGTTTCGTGTTTGAAGGAGATCATGAAAGGGTGTGCCTGGCTCACGCGGCTCCATACTATTGCCCAGTGTTTTCCGAGCATCTCCATCCTTGGCCGCGAGTGTCACCAGCTCCCCCTGTGATGGTGAAAGGCAGTCAGGTAACTCCCTACTTCCTGGAAACTTTCTCCCTCACCGCTCTCCCCCCATATTAACAAGTTGTTTTCTTGGACGTTGCTTAGCATTTAAGGTTTTGGGGACGGGGGGTGCAGACAGGGTGGTCCAGCGGGGCTTTCTGGCAACCTCCAGGCATGACATCTCTTTCTTCTCGCCACTGCTCTGTCTCTTTGGGTGTAGTCTCTCCCTTTTCTCTCCCAGTTCCCAGAGCCTCCCTGTTTGCACTCTTCCTCTTCTCTTCCCCTGAAAGCCTATCTGTCACTGCTGGTCTCTGTTCCTTCCCTGGGTTCTTCCCAGTGATCCTCTGAAGACCAGCCTGGTGGAAGGAGTTGTCTCCAGGTCTTTTTGTCCAGCTTTTTCCCTCTGTTTGCTCCCAGCTCCACCTTTTGGGGACAGGGCCTTCACTCTTTAGAGCCAGAAGCTGCCATCCAGCCTGCCTGGTCTCCATCTATCCTGAAACCGATTTTGGGGCCAGTCTTCTCTGCTTTCCAGCATGGGTGGCAGCTTGGGGATTGTGGCCTCCTTTGGAAGAAAGAATCTTGTCAAGGGTCATGGGTTCTAGGGTGAGCCAGAGCTTTGGGGTCACAAGGGCAGTATCCATGTTTGGATTTCTCTACTGTTGACCCCATCCCTCACCTGATCCCCTCTCCCTTCTGTAGCTGATGGGCTAGTGAATGGTTTAGGAGGGAAGGAGTGAGACACAAAAGAGGGTGGTATTTGTGAAGAGTGGGGATGCAAGATGACTCCCCTCCAGGTTCTGAGACTGCGTGCTTTACCCACCTCCTCAGTCTAAGCAGCATTGAAGAGGAGAGCTCTGTAGTATTGCCCTAAGTATCACTGTCAATGGCAATGTACTGTGGTAATAATAGTGATTATTCACCTTATTCACAGGATGATAATCTTAACTAGTTTACAAGGTCTCCTCTTAGTGCAGGATAAACCCCTTCTGAACCCATTTCCTTACTCTGGTTGTTTTCTTTGGCCCCTTTGCCTCTCAGCATCTCCCTGCTGTATGCTGGGAGCAGACATTAAAAGTAGGAGTGCCAACCCCAGAGAGGTTCCTGAGAAAGGTAGAGGGGAAGGGAGCAAGGGAGCCAGCGGCTGAGAGCTCTACCTTTCCAGCAACATGCCAGCAAACGCTATGGCAACCTGAATTCCAGTTCTCTCCCTTGAAGCTGCAGTGATTATATAATTCATGGGAGCAGTTTTGCCTCCATTTCTAGATGCGGTTCCCAGGTGGAAGAGCACCAAGATCCCTGTCTCCCCTCTACTCTCCATCTTCTCTTCTTTAGTTGGTTGGCATTGCCGAGGTTGTTGGGGTAGGAGAGGGGAGGAGGGTGGTGGAGGTGGGAAGGGCAGACCTAGAACAGAATGAATATTGACAAGGAAGAGGTTGCTGTGGCTAATCACTAAAGGGGGCGGGTGAGCCATCATAGGGGTTAGAGTTTCAGGAGACAGAAGAGGAGTCTAGGACTGCCTCAGAAGATCAGTAATGGTGACGAAACAAAGAGTCGAGAACCAAAAAAGTTGTCAGTGGCGGGGGCTGTGCATTCCTCTCTTCCCGACATGCTCTGAGATGTGGAATGCACCAGTCCTTGCTCCCTCACCTTTTCCGTGGAGTGTGTGCATGTGTGAGTGTGTGTGAGTGTGTGTGTGTGTGTGTGTGTGTGTGTGTGTGTGTGTGTGTTGAGGGTCGAACTGGAGACTGGAGGTCAGTGCCTGGGAACAGCCTGGAAGTTCATTGAAGGACCAGCTTCTGACCCTGGGTTTCAGGCTGGGGTGGCACACTCAAGCCTTGCCTCGCCTCTGGTGCCCTGTCTGCTCTGGGCCTGTGCCAGCCTCCCACTTTTCTGGGCCGATTTTCTATTGCAGGCTCCAGCTAGCAAATGAGTGTCTTAATAGTCAACCATTGAACAAATAAAACACCAGAATGTCCCTTATCTGCTAGAGACAAGGCAGAGGGGAGAAACATGTGTTTGGGGAGTGCAAGACACACTGTGCTTTTCTTTTAACTACTTAGCGATTCAGCAGAATAAGAATCACTGTAATAAGGTAATAATAATAATGATCACAGTTAACTTTCTTTACAAATGGTCAGAGAACAACATTGCTCGCACATCAGCTTGAGCAGGTTAAAGAAAGCTGTGGCAATAGCTTTGCTTTTTCTTGATCCTGCATGGAGAAAACTGGAGGAAAGGGGCTATTGGAGTTCATCATATTATTCCTACTATTGGTCAGGCACTTTTTAGTGTTTTAGAA
This sequence comes from Homo sapiens, assembly GCF_000001405.40. NCBI lineage: Eukaryota > Metazoa > Chordata > Mammalia > Primates > Hominidae > Homo > Homo sapiens. The sequence continues at coordinate 398,955 of NW_018654718.1, forward strand.
TATGACAATATATTAAAAAGAGTCAATTTTTCATTATTTCCATAGAATACACACTAACAGTATTTAAGTGTGTGTGTGTATACATACACACATGGAATAAGGAAAAGCTATTTTAAATAGATCACACGAGAGGCTAATGCCCTTCAGGGACCTGGGGTGTTGAGAGAGAAGTATTGATAATGCAGTCTCCTAAGACTGTTTAAAGATTTCTTCTTCATAGTAAAGGGAGACTTGTTCTTACAGGTAGATGCTGCAGGCACAGTGCTTTGTAAATGAAATGATGAGCCGTTAGCCCCGTGGGACCATCTCTCAGTCTTGGCAATGACCTAGGTCTCTTCAATTTGTTCTTCAAATAAAACTGCTTGAGTTGGGTTCTTCTGTAAGACCTATCAAAGGGATCCAAGGAGCATACTGACTGGAGATTTCGAGGCCCTGCTCATCTTGGGATCCCTGCTTCCTAGTACAGGCCGCTGCTCAGTCCAGGGCCTCGATGCAAGGCTGAACAAATAAATGTCTGCGTGAATGAATGAATGCGACCTGGCCAGACCTGCAGTAGATGTGGCTTCTGCCTCTTCCAGTAGGTGGCGCCACAGGGCTTAGGAGTCAGGAAAGGGGCTTCAGGGTCCGCCTGGTGATGAAAGGTGTAGGGGGAGTTTAGAGCTTGTGACCTGTTGGGGCTGTGCTGCTTCCATCAGGCCCACACCTGCCCCGGCACAGGTAACCCAAAAGACCAGTGTGTCTCCGTGCCGCCGCACACACTGGAGGCCCTCGCGGCATCACTGAGGGACCCAGGTCCCACAGTGACCTCTCCACCCTGTTGTAATGAGAACTCCTTTGGAGCCCACCCAGTCCGTCGCAGGCTCTTCCCACAGACGTCTGTTCCCTTCCAGCACAGACAGCATCCCGCCGAGCCTGGAGGAAGCCTTTTGGGTGAATCGCTGAACTTGGTATGGCCAGATGTTAATTTTCTCCCTGATTTTTCACTGATGGTTTAGTAACCAGAGGGCCCGGTGGTGCCCAAGCCCAGTGGAGCATGGGGTGACCTGAAGCATGGGATCTGGGAACCCAGACCTGTGCAGTCACAGAGCTTGCCAGCCAAAGGCAGGAGGACATTTTCCTAACTTTAATAGGGAAAAGAACACAAAAACAACTGGGTGCACTTCACAGTTGATTTCCGTTTATGAGTCTGCCTGGATCTCCTGCTGGGTAATGGCAGAAAAGCTCAGGAGACCCAGGTTAGGAAGTAACTGAGATTTGTTCTAATTTCCAGTGATGTTTTCCAGCGCCTGGCATTTTCTTTTCTATTCCTTTCTTCACTCGGTTTTCTTAGTTGTGTGGCAAGTTCCATGAGGTCTGAGAAGCCCTTGGCACTGTGCTAAGAAGGGGTGAGTGGCTGGCAGCACTTTCTTCCTTTTACAGTAATTCCTCCCGCCTGATACAGCAGCTGTTTGTTCTGTAGGAGGTACAGGTCAGCCGGCGTCATCTCACCTCTTCCTTGCTGGGACCCTGAAATCAGTGCTGAGCATTCAGATTTAGCAGACAATTTTATTTTCCAATATGGACTACAGAAAGCTGATAGACTGTTTGCGAAACACCTGGAGACTTAACAACAAGCCTAATTAACAAAATAATCACACTGATTTCATCTGTTTCTAGATTCCATCCTCACAGTTGCCTAGGTTAATGTTGGGCACTGTGGAGGAGAACAGAAGATTGGTTTTAAAAAAAAAGGCATGGGGAATTGTTTTGCAACATATCAGGTGCCAAATATTTAGGGACAGAAGTGCTAAACATTCTGATAATGAAATAACACTCTGAGCCATGGCTGTCATTATTAAAATAATTTAGTAAACACCTGTTTACATGTACCTCAAGGTTAGATACCACGTAAAACAAGTAAAAGTGACAGGATCCCTCGGGGAAAATGGAATGGAATGTTTTTCGGTGTCATTTCGAAGCCGGGTGTGTAGACTTAAACTGAACCCACTGCAGAAAAAGCAAAATGGAAGGCTGAAATAATGAATGCCATCATTTGAACTGAAACCTGGGCACTCCAGAAGAGCTCTTCTCTGTGTTTTAATTCCTAGATGGGGTGCTTATTTGCTCAAGACCAGGCTTTCCTGAGCCTGTGTAGACACGGGCCTGGAGCAGGTAGACAGACCCTCTTGGTTTCTATAGTTGAGGCACCCCTGGAGGCAGCTGTTTATCATGGCAGGAAGGGAAGTGGATGCATTCTCTACTGCCCCCTTTCCCCTGCCGAATTCAGGCAGGACCCGCGCAGGTCCCTGGAGAACCTTGCTTCAGTGCTAGCTGTGTGTACCGTGTGGGCAGGACCCCAGCTGGGAGATGGGGAGCCCAGGATGACCCCACAGAAAAGCAGAGCTGTGAGATGGCTGGAGCCTCCGAGAGCTGAGATGCAGAAGGTGAGGGGAAGCCAGAGGAGCCCCAACTCCCTAGGGTGTCTGGGAGGGTTTGGGGAACAAGGTCATCAGGGTAGTCAGTTACTCCTTGTGGAGCTGAACTGAATTTAAGTTGGGATTGTAGGGACTGTAGGAGAGAAGTTTGGGCCTGGAGCTCAGGAGTCGGACCGAGGTTGAAAATAGACCCTTCCTTCCCTGGAAGCCGAGGGAACTAGAGGAAGGGTTCATCTGGCTGAAGCAGAGGGTGAGGAAAGCGGGGGTTAACTGGCAAGAAACCCAAACCTCTCAGCCCCTCCCCTCCCCAAAACCCCACAGAACAGTTCTCTGCAAAACACCTTCACTTTAAAATGGGCTTCTTGTGCTATACCCTGTGTGTATAGGGGGCAAGGGGCTAGGCTCTGGTTCGTTAAAGGGTTTGTCAAACATAGAATAAATGTAATGTCTCTTTGGGAATTTACTTTCTAGGATCAGGACATTTTATGGGTAAAGGAACCTTAGAGACAATCCTCATTTCCAGTTGAGAAAACAGAGGCCCCTAAAGGTTCATGGAGGCAGGGATGTAACTAAATACAAGGTCTTCAGTCTCTTCATCCTCCTGCCTGTACCACACTTGGTGCTGGCCCCCTGAGAGAGCATTGTTAGTGCTTCTGGCTAAATTTTGCTTGGTAGATCTTTCAACCTCTCTATTCTTCCTCCCCCTGCCTCCACCTTTGTACTGCCTTAAAATAATTTCTGCGATGTTAGATTTAGGAATGGAGTTGGAAGGGTGGGGTGGGGGAAATCTATCATTGGAAAGGTTTAAAAACACTTTCTTAGGCTACAGAGTAGAAGTTCATACATGTCCACAAGAAACTCCTGCAAAATTCAGATCACGATTTTGTCTGCAAACAGATCTGCCTCTAAGCCTTTTTTATTTGCTCACTTCCTCTCGGCCCCAATCTAGGCTTGTTTCAGCCCCTTTGCGAGAGTGGGATGGGGATGGGAAGCCGGGCTGTGCTGTGGGACTTCCCTGGTGAGCTGCTGGGATTCTTCATGGACCAGCTGGCATTACCAGTAGCTGGGGTATAGACACACAGATCAGCCCCAGGGTAGAGACTGTGAGACAGGCTGCCACAGACTCCACCTGAGCTGGGCGACCAAGGGCGTCTTTCTGCTCCCATGTCAGGGTTGGTCTCCTAGGACCCCCGGCCTACTCCCAGGAGACATTCCCAGCAGTGGTGGTAGACTCAGCCCATGGAAGAGAATCACTAGGACCTGCCTCTGACATTCCCATCTTCCTTGAAGTGTTCATTGGCTGACTTGTTTCATACTCTTTCAAGTCATCTCTGAGAAACTGGAAGGCCTCTGAGGCTGACTCGGTCTAGCTTGAAGACGGAGGCATGAGCCAGGCTCATGCTTAGAGATGTGGCTTTTGAGTTCCCTGGAGGAAGCCATCATTTCAGAACATAGTGTTGTGATAATTTCATGAAATATTCAAGCTGCCAATTTGCCAACAGGGGTTTCTTTTAATACACTCGGCTACACTTGGTGTTGCCCACTTGAACCTAGCTAAAAGGAAAATAAAATAATCTTGTCTCCTGTCCTTTAGAGAACCAAGCCAAAATCTAGACAGTGAATGAATGTTCTTCTCCATATTGCCTGTGGGCAGAAATGTTGACTTGAGTACTCAATTAAGCTCTATTTACTTTATAACCATTGTGTCATGTACAGTCATTTATATTCCTTTCTTTCTTCCAAAATAATCTACGTTGGGCTAAAACCTTTCAAAGACATTAACAAAAGTAACAAAGTAAATAGCTAAAGAATAAATAAGGCTGTAGGCTAGAGAAATGACTTGGGTCTTGGGTCACATTCTTTGACTTCATCTCTTTCTCTGAGAGTTCAGAAGGAATCAAATCCCTTTTTTTTTTTTTGTCTGTAAAGTGGAGATAATAATCCTTAGCCAATTCACTTCGCAGGGCAGCTGTGAGGATCCAAATAGGAGAATGAGTGTATATCGCTGTTCAAACATCAGCTACTCTTATTCTCCCCATCAGCGAGCAGAGCACCAGAGTTTGGAAAAGCAACGCCATGAAGTAACATTCACAGCATTTCAAACAACTTTGGAGGTGTTGTGGGAGGGCTGACATTATTCAATATTTTAAAGGTGAAAATGTAAAACAAAGAGAAACCAGAGTCTGAGGTGGTCTGGCTGATACCAGAATAATCAGGGAGGAAGTGAACCATTGGTTGAGATGGGCCTGGTATTTTGCCCTCCAGAGAGTCTAGGAGCCTGTGGCCAGTAGGCTCCCAGGACGGTGGAGCCATGTGCACTGCTGGCACTGCTGCTGTTTCCAAGCTGAGGGTGAGGACATGGGGATGCAGGGTATCCGACGCCTGGCAGCTGTCCACCTGCCATGCTGCTGTCCCCTCACTGCCACCACACATGGCTGCCTGGCTTCGGCCTCAAGTCCAAAGCCACGCTGGCCTGAAGTCCTTTCATGGCCTGAAAATAGGGCCATTGAGGGCAGGAAGAACACCACCTGGGCAACCAATGTCTCCTCACTTTTGAACGTGAATTCCCCAAACCTAAACCCAACTTCCCAGTACAGGAGGACGGGCTGGAAAATAAAACTTTGCTTCAAAAGTAAACTTTGGGTTTGGAAAATAAACTTATTTATTTTTCATAGCCAAAATGTTGCAGGTTTGGAGATAGAGGGGACAGTTCTGTGTAGCTCCCTAAGACACTGATCAAAATAGGAAAGAGCTTTAACATTATAGTCTAAGTGACAGGATTAGTTTTAGTTTCCCAAAGCAAAAATAATCCCATCATCAAAAAGTATGCTGGGAAACTTTCGCACTTTCGCATTTGTTTGCACCTTGTTCTACCCCCAGCTCTGGTCCTGTGATCTGTGGAGCCATATATGTTTTAATTTTTCTCTAAAGAAAAAAAGCTGTATTGAGGTATAACATCTACCTTGTTATAATTTTAAAATAGAGCAAGAGTAATAGCCACCATTTATTGAATGCCTAGCATGTGTTAGACAATGTTCTTGGTGCTTCATGTGCTTAATATGTTTTATCCTTACAGTAATCCTACCACGTGGGTTTTAATTATATTTTTTAGATAAGGAAACTGAGGACCAAAGTCTTAAGCAATGTGGCCACAGCCACCCAGACAGTGTTGGGGCTGGGAATTAAATTCAGGTCTGTCGGACTTTCAAAACATTTGCTCTTTCTGTTACTTCTCCCCATGGAGAACAGTAGAAAGAGAAACCCACTATCTCTCTATCCTGGGAAAATGACCTTGTCCTTGCCTTCTGGAACCTGGCTTAGATTTGCCTTGTGGAAGCTCAGAGCTGGAATCCTTGTTCTTACTTGATGGCTGCATGTTGTCGTGGTACCCCGCCTCCCCTCCTGGTCCCGTCCTCTGGCTTTCTTTCCCCTTATTCCCAGGGTTTCTGCCAGGGCCCTCCTTGCTTCTTCACATCTCCTCACAGGCCTTCACAGACCACCTAGGTCAGTACACCTTGTCTCCCGGGGGACCCATTTGTGGCATGGCCTTGCTTCACCACCCATTCTTGGAATATTTCCTCAGTCACTCCCTCCAGGAAAATAGACACTCTCCATTCTCAAACGAGATTCCCGTGAGTCCCGGGGACCATCCCTGTAAGCTGAGCTCTCCAGACTTCATGCATTATTTATTTATTTATTTTGAAATAGCAGCTTTGTTGAGGTATAATTCGCATACCGTAAAATTTACCCTTTTGATGTGTATGATTCAGTGGTCTACCTACTTCCCCAATATTTTCATCACCCGCAAAAAATACCCTTTACCCATTGGTAGTCACTTTTCATTCCCCTCTCTCTCCAGCCCTTGGCAACCATGAATTTACTTTTGTCTCTATGGATTTTCATGTGTTATTGACAGCAATAATAATTCCTTTTTTTTTTTTTTCCTGAGGTGTAGTCTCGCTCTGTCACCAGGCTGGAGTGCAGTGGTACGATCTCGTCTCACTGCAACCTCCGACTCCCTGGTTCAAGCGATTCTCCTGCCTCAGTCTCCTGAGTAGCTGGGACTACAGGCACCCACCACCATGCCTGGCTTATTTTTGTATTTTTAGTAGAGATGGGATTTCACCATGTTGGCCAGGATGGTCTCCATCTCCTGACCTCTTGATCCACCCGCTTGGCCTCCCAAAGTGCTGGGATTACAGGCGTGAACCACTGTGCCCAGCCAACAGCAATAATAATTCTACAGTTGGAGTTTGCTGTGTAGTCTGACTGTTGATAACATATCTCACAAATTTCAGACCTAGATAGGTCATGACAATTTACATGATAAATGATGACATTGAAAGGAAGCACGTGAAATTAGGGAGCTGGCTGTCATTTGGAGGTGGGATTAAGCGTTTTCTTTCAATTATACAAAAAAGTGGTTTTAGCATTTTTCAAAGGTATCTTAGCATAATGTCTTCAAGGTTCATCCACGTTGTACCATGTGTCAGGACTTCGTTCCTTTTTATGGCTGAATAGTATTTCATTGAAAGCACACGCCACATTTTGCTTATCCATTCTTCTGTTGATGGACACTTGCGTTTTCACCTTTTGGCTATTGTGAATGGTGCTGCAATGAACACCAGTATTCAAGTATCTATTTGAATCCATTTTTAGTTATTTTGGGTTTACCTAGGAGTGGAATTGCTGGCCCTGCAATATGACTTTTTAGCTTTAAGAGCCCACTTCCTTGGGTAGTGCCCCAAATTTGAAGCCCACGTAGATGAGACTACAGCATTAGGAAATCCTATTGTGTCAGTAGTGAGGGTTTGGTATTTAGTCTGGGCTCCCAGTTCCTATACCAGAAATTTGACTTTAATTGGTGTTTCACAATCTGACAGCTGCCTTTTGATGAGGAGTGACTGATACTGCCTCTGTTCAAAAAAACAAAATGAAACAAAAACGAAACAAAAAAAACCGGTGTCTCTATATCCAGTTCAGCTTTCACCTCGTTGCTGACCTGGCTTCGTAACTCAACAGGAAATTGGTGTTTGGCAAGACAAAGCTATTTAGTCTGTCTCTGTCTCTCCCTCTGCCTGTGTGTCTAGTCCAGGAGCACCCATGTCTGTGGCTAGAGATGTGGGCCTGATAAGCCTGGGGACTGTTGGGAGAGGGTGGCTCCCCTCATGTGTGGCTGGGCCGAGTCCTCCCTGGACTGTGAGGGGGAGGCAGCTCTGTGCTCTGTGCTGGCCAGGTGCTGCCTGCCCTGCCCCAGGCATGACTGATTAATAAGGGATCTCTGCCTTCAGCCTGAAAGCTGCCTTCAGAGGGGAAAAGCAGCTTCCCAGGGCTCTCACCTGCTCCTCATACATCTAAAGTCTAGGCAAGAGAGGCAAAAACGTGAGAAGAAAGGTAAACAGTCCGGGGAGAAAATTGGGAAAGGAGGAAGGGGAGAGGGAAGCGAGCAGTGGGTAGACAGCCAGGGGAAACAGCAGCACGTGGTAGGCTCTTGGCTGTGGATTGATGCCCCAGTTAAATGACTCTGGAAGCCTCTTTCCAGTCTTGGGATAGGTATTTTCTTGGTGATCATTTTACCTAAGAGTGATAATATCATCGGCTGCATTTCTGTCTTAGCATGTTGAACTCTGCTAATCTGAGGAAGAAACACACACATACATTGATGCCTCAGCTGAACCCATTAATCAGAGACCTGGGTATGGATAAAAAAGCGCACAGGCTCATGGAGGTATGTGAAGCTCAGAAGACTTTGCACTTTGAAGGCCAATGTACTTAATTTAATCCAACCGACTATTAGTAAATTCCTCTCCTTTGGGCTCTGCCCTCACACCCCCTCACTGGCCCTGCTCACAGGTGCCTCTGGGCCGCTGTGCAGAGCTGGAATGTTGCACAGCATTTCTCCAAGGTGGAAGCTTCTGTTGCCATATCTGGCTGCCTGAGACATCCTGGGGATTCGAGCTATACATCCAAGTGGATTTCAGTGACTCAGAGCTCATATTTGGTCTGTCGTGAATAGGATCTTGTGCCTCTGTTTTTAAAATTATTTAAAAGGCAAAAATTTTGACCTATGCCCAGCTGTCTGAAAGACCAGGAGATAAGAAGCCTTTTCTAGGATAAATTGACTGTGAAATATCTCTGAAAATGAACTGTCTCATGCCAGTTGTGATGAAAACAATTCTAAATAGTTTTTTTTCCTCCAGAATAGGAATGGTTAGTCATTAACAAAAAGTTATTGAGCGTCTGCTATCTGCAAGGCAGTTTGCTTATAGGATCTCTGGATTCAAGGGTATCTTCAAGGTACAGCCCTCAACTATCCCTTCCTTTAAGGGAAGTATCTATTCTAGGAGGTAAGATTTATGCCTAGACACACAGACATCCGCAACTGTAATAAAAGGCAGAACATGCTTGATGTTACAAGGATATAAAGATAAAGGCTCACAGATTTAAAGAAGAAGGGTGGTATGGAAAGATGGAATAAATGGAGGAAGTGTTATATGGAGGTTGTGACTGAGCCGTCCCTTGAAGGGTGGATAGAAATGGGGTGGAGAGGAGAGGCGCACATTCCCAACAGAAAGGGTGGGATGGCCTGTAATGTATTCACAGGGATGTGCGTTGGATTTCAAAGGAGTAGTGAGTTGAGTTTGGCTGGAGCAAGGTTTTGCAGGGGGAAGAAGTGGGAGAGAAAGTTGGAATGGCAGGAAGGGGATAATGCGTGGAGCACCCTGTATTGGGCTGAAGAGTTTGCATGGCATTTGGTAGGCAATGGAGGGCCGTTTAAAGTGTTTGAGTGGAGAGAGGGTATACTCAGAGCTGCTCTTCCAGGCAGCAGGCTAGAGGATAAGGTAGGGGAGTCGAGGCTGCAGGTAGAGGGGCAGTTCTGAGGCTGTTGCCACTGTCCAGGCAAGAGAGGGAAGGAGTGATTTTCCCAGCAGAAAGCCAGAGACAAGGGAGCCCTGTGCTGTGATCTGGATGGGAAGGGTAGAGGTTGTATTTGGAGGCAAGTAGAAGATGCCCAGCATGCACGCAGAATTAGAGTTCTGTCTAAGAAGGTGCTATTTGAAGCTGTGGAGGTGGAGCCATTGGGGAGAGAGAGAGCAGAGGGAAGGAACGATGGAGAGCTGAAGACAGACAGGAGGAGGGTAAAATGGAGGAGACAATGACAGAGTAGTCAGGGAGGTAGCGGGAGAGCCTTACTACTGCAGGGTCTTGGGGATCAAGGCAGGAGAGCATTTCCAGGAGGCCGTCATTGCTGAATGGAGTCGTGAAAGGGAAGATGGGAACTGAGAAGCCCGCTGGATTGAATGATTGGGCTGGAGAGTGGGTTCAGAGTGACTGTTGTCCCGCCGAACTGTGCAATGATGAGGCGTGGTGGTTGTGAAGCAGGGGCAGCACATGGGGACCACTCTTTCAAGAATTTTGGCTGTGAATAAAAGGAGAGGGGAGGGATTTGTTGGCACATGAGAGATTGGAAATGCAAGAGAGGGGAGCAGATGGGGAAGAAGGCAGTAGGCAGTGGCGTTGGGGATGGGAGTGGAAGGCTCAACCCCAGCAAAGGAGGTAGCACTCTGTCTTCAGAGGCAGACATGCAGTAAAGCAGGGGATGAGGAAACGTAGAGGGGCATGGGGGGAGCTGGAAAGGAGGACAGGAGGGGCCTCGGGCAGGGGTGCTGAATCCTGGGAGGGATGAGGCAGCTGGAGTGGGGCCTGAGCTTGAGGAGACCGGAAGAGGGAACGGTCAGTGGGAAACACTATGAGACACCCAAAGAAATCCACAAGGGTGCCCAGGTCCCAGAGGCACCGGCCGAGGTCTGGAAGCATGAGTTAGGGGCCAGGAGTGATTGGCATTCCTAGAGAAAGCTTCCCCAGAAATGAATTTGGCAAAGTGAGACAGCTGCTGACTAGGTCTGGGGGCAAAGGGTTCTAGCTCTGTAGGAGGCGTGCCAAGCTCGAGCTGGTGTGGGAGAATCAAGGTGGCCAGTGGGATGCAGGAGCCAGGATGCATCGTTTTAGTGGGAGTCAGGGAGTCTGAATCCCCCAGCCTGCCTCCATCCCAGGTGGATTAGTCATCAGAATAGCCAATGGGCCCCTTGAGCTCTGAGTGGATGCACAAAGGGCCAGGTGGACTTTCTTTGGGGAGCATAACAGGAAGAAGATGACAAAAGCCTGGGTGGTGGAGATGGTGGCAGTTTAAGGATGTGGGCTTAGGACTGTGGACTAGGATGCACGTGTGTGTGTGTGTGTGTGTGTGTGTGTGTGTGCGCGCGTGTGCGTGCCTGTATGTAAGGGCAGGCACATGAAGACAGACTTTATTGGTTTCACAGTTTGGCCTCCAGAGGGTCTTCTGGGTGCTGACACCAAAGCAGAGAGAGCTCGTGGTGTGCAGCCCTGAGGTCACGTTTGTGACGTGGATGGAAGGAAGCAGGGGATGGGAGGACTGGTGGAGGTGGACGTCAGACACCAGGCTTCCCACAGACTGTCTTGGGCATCAAGGACAAGGAACCTGCACTGTTAACCTCAGTCAGGGCGCAACGGTAGAAAGGAGGAGTGATGGGGCAATCAAGACCACAAGTGCCAACCTCAGCGCACTCACCTGGAGAATACTTACCTTCACACTGTTCCCACCCCTGTCTTTCCATGCCCTTCCATCCAAACCAAGCCCAGCTTCACAGCCTATGATATTGGCTCTCTGGAGAACCGGTTAGCCTTTGTGGAGTGTTAAGCCCTGCGATTTTATATCCTTATAATTATATCAGAATATCAAATTCCTGAGAACAGAACATTTTGTTATTTTTTTCTTCATCCTCTCCCCTGTTGTAATCCCACAAGAAAAATGTTACAAACCACTGGAAAGCCTCTGGTTGGATCCCACTTGAGCTTTACAATGCCTTGATTTCCCTGTAATCAAGAAAAATATGATATCCTGAATGTTTCATGAAAGGATGTGAGTCTTTGATGCCAAGGACAGTAACACTCCTTGAATGCCATGGAAATATGCTCTGCTGAGTGGCTCTGAGCTTACCCTTGGTGTAGGAAGGTGTGAATGACCAGCAGGTACCCCCCAGACCCTGCCCCAGTCCCTGTCACATATGCAGAGGACTCTGGTTGGGAGGGGTCTGGTGTGGGGGAGGGTTGTGAGTGGCCTGGAGGCCTTTCCCGGAGGCAGGCAGAGAGGCGGTGGCTGCAAAGACCTAGTGTCTCTGAGTTGAGGAGGCTGGGCTTCTGCACCTCACTCAAATTCTCTGCAGCGGCCAGAGCCCCTGCATCCATTCTTATATGTTGGCATTGTTCCCAAAAGAGGCACAGTTGTTGACTTCTCATAGATGCCAATTTTCGTGATGTTTGCAATACTAGCTCCTCATGGTAAAATGCATAGACAGTCCAGTGGCCCCAAGTCCTTGCCTTTGTTCTTCCATTTTTGGCTAGGGAAGTAGCACTAGTCTTCTGTGTGCCTTGCCTGGAAACAGTGTGTTATGACGGCCCTCGTGGGAGTTGGCATGGCAGGCCCTGTGGCCACCATCTCACCCCGTCTGGCCTCATCTGGAAACCTACTTGCAGAGTTTGGCCTTATTCTGATGAACCTCAAGGGCAGCGCTGACCCCAGCTTGATCTCTTGCTGGGTCTGGGCAACAAAAGGCTTTGGGATTTTTCCTTTTTTCCACTCCAGTGAAACTTAGGCGGAATGCAATGTTTTCCTCTGAGGGTATCAGTTGGGGAATGAACTCAGAGTCCAGATGGACAGGGTTCCGCAGTTCCAGCTGCTGCCATACTCAGACAACTGGTCCTCTGCATTTCTTTGGAGTTTGACTTGGCTTTAATAAAATGAAGGAGAAAAGAAAATTTTGAGGAAGAAAATGACCAGAAGAAGAATGTCCTTGAGTTGAGGGAAGCCATGGAATGGGCTGGTATCCTGAGAAGTGGACTCAGCTCTTCTTCAGAGACCTGTAGACATCACAGCCTGCAATCCCATGCGTCCTTGGCCCTCAGACTGGTACAGCTAGCATCCCTCCTAATGATTTTTCCTGGGTCTGTCTGAAAGGGTGAGGATAAAATGGCAATCAGGGTCATCAACTTACATCTTTCAGGCCCAGAAGGAAATGAACAGAAAAGTTAAACCAAAGACGGAGCCTTATGGAAAGATTCCTCTAACACTTGGGAGCCAAACCCCAAGTTATTTGACTTGCATGTGGGGGGTGTGCCTGTACGTGTGTGGATGTGCATTTGTGTGTGTCAGAGAGAAAATAAGAAGCAGAGGAGGAGAGAGCAGTGTGACCGAGCTTGTAACCCCTGAAAGACAGCATGTGGTCACAAGATACAGCCATATCTGGGAGCAGGAATTTATGTTTTAGATGTATTGTTATCTGTCACATTGGCATTTTGTTCGAACCATTTAATTTTCCCATGTCTAGGATTCTGCATCTGACCTTCCTACCATATGAATCTATTTATTCTTGTAACCTCACTTATAATGACCGTTACTTGAGTATTTCAAAGGGATTGATGGAAATATGGCAGGAGAAAACTTTGTGTCTGGTCCTTTACGTACTATTGGCTGCATTGGGACATTATAGCATAGACTCAAATGCTTAAAGAGTCTTTTCTTTTCTTTTTTTCTTGAGACGGCGTCACTCTGTTGTCCAGGCTGGAGTGCAGTCATGTGATAATGGCTCACGGCAGCCTCAAATTCCTGGACTCAAGCAATCCTCCTGAGTAGCTGGGACTACAAGTGTCTGCCACCATGCCTGGATACATTTTAAATTTTTTGTAGAGGCAGGGTCTCACTGTCTTTTCCAGGCTTGTTTCAAACTCCTGGCCTCAAGTGATCTTCCCGCCTTGGCCTCCCAAAATGCTGGCATTATAGGCTTGAGCCACCATGCCCAGCCTTAAAGAGCATTTCTGAGCTAAATTTGCATTAAGAAAGAATGTCTTGGGGGTCGAGCGGGAAGAGTATAAAAGAGCCTTGCTCCATGACTTCAAAAATAGTACCAGAGACAAAGGACTTTGGGTCTTAAAGGAATGAGGATGTCCCATGTTTGCCTGGCCTTGCATATGAAACTACTGAGAGAGTCTTAAATCGGGGATGCTTTATCTTACTTGTGGTAGGTGTGACTAAGAAGTCACACCCATTTTCAAGAAAGTCTTTGAGAGGAAGCTTTATTGCATCTTGCATTCCTTTTCTTCTTTCTGAGTTTCTTTCCTAGTACTGAAGCATATATTTTTTAGTTCTTTCAGCAATGGTCTATGAGTGGTAAACTTCCTCAGTCTTTGTCTGAAATTTTCTTTTATTCCTTTTGGCTTCTCATTCTAGAATGATAGTTTAGTCAGGTACAGGATTCTGTGTTAGCAGTTATCTTTCTTCAGCAGTTTAAAGATATTCCATTATCTTCTGGATTCTATTGTTGCTGATGAGAAGTCTGCTGTCAGTCTAAATGAATAATCAATATTCTAATTTTTGAAAAGATATATTAGTGTTACGCAGTTTTACAATGATGTGTTAATTACATAGATTAAAATATATTGCTGGGAGTTGGTGAGATACTTCAACTTGAAGATTCGTATCACTCACCAGTTCTTAGTCATTATCTCTTTCTTTCTTTCCCTTCCTTTCTTTTTTTTTCTTTCTTTCTCTCTTCCTTTTTCTTTCTTTATTTTCTTTCTTTCCCTTCCTTCCTTCCTTCCTTTTCTCTCTCCTTCCTTCCTCCTTCCTTCCCTTTCCCCTTTCCCCTTCCCTCCCTCCCTCCCTGCCTGCCTGCCTTCCTTCCTTCTCTCTCTCCTTCCTTCCTTCTCTTTCTCCTTCCTTCCTTCCTCCTTCCTTCCCTTTCCCCTTCCCTTCCTCCCTCCCTCCCTTCCTTCCTTCCTTCTCTTTCTCCTTCCTTCCTCCTTCCTTCCCTTTCCCCTTCCCCCTTCCCGCTTCCCCCTCCTCCCTCCCTCCCTCCCTCCCTCCCTCCCTCCCTGCCTGCCTGCCTGCCTGCCTGCCTGCCTGCCTGCCTTCCTCCTTCCCTTTGCTTCCCTTTCCTTTGACAGGGTCTCACTCTGTTGCCCAGGCTTGAGCACAGTGAGTACTTGGCTCACTGCAGCCTTGACCTCCCAGGCTCAAGCAATCCTTCCACCTCAGCCTCCTGAGTAGCTGGGACTGGAGATGTGCGGCACCATGCCCAACTAATTGTTTCATTTTTAGTAGAGATGAGATGAGGTCTTGCTATGTTGCCGAGGCTGATCTTGAACTCCTAAGCTCCAGTGATGATACCACCTCAGCTTCTTAAAGTGCTGGGATTATAGGCATGAGCTACTACCGCTCCCAGCCTCACGATCTTTTCAAATATTATCTCTCCCCTAGTCACTCTATTTTGTTCCTCTGGAACTCTATTATTAAAACATGTATTGATCTTTCTCATTTTACTCTTTCTTTTAAATGTTCTTTCATATTCCATATTTTGTTATCTATCCTCTGCTACACTCTGGATAATTTCTTCTGCTTTGCTTTCCAGTTCACCAGTTTCCCCCTCATTTGTATCTGCTGCTTAGCCTTTAAATGCATTTGCAATTTCAATGACATTTTATTCCTGGAAGTTCTACTTTTTCAAATATTTTAGTTTTTTCATAGAGTATCTTTTTCCCTTTATAATTTCCATTGTGAATGATTTCACAATATGTGCGTGAATTCTCCATTCCTTGGTGCTCTGAGCATGGCCTGCCATACTGCCAGAACTGGAAATTTGAACCTGTGTTTTATAGTCCACTAATAATACTTTACTACCATCACAAGGATGTTGTGAAGACAAATGAGATAATGGATGTGGACATGCTTTGAAAGTATTCGTATATTTACCGGAAAGGGGTTATAATAAATATACCTCTGCTTGGCTTGTTAAATAATTCTCTCTTGAATCAGACATTTAATAAAACTGTATTTGTAAGGGGAAACTCTTCAAATGTATGCAACAAGATTATATATATACAAATATATATATATACAAAAAATATATATATATTTGGAAACAGAGTCTCGCTGTGTCACCCAGGCTGGAGTGCAGTGATGCTATCTTGGCTCACTGCAACCTCCACGTTCCGGGTTCAAGCAGTTCTCCTGCCCCAGCCTCCTGAGTAGCTGGGACTACAGGCACACGCCACCGTGCCTGGCTAATTTTTTTGTATTTTAGTAGAGACGGGGTTTCACTGTGTTGCCCTGGCTGGTCTCAAACTCCTGAGGTCAGGCAATCCGCCCGCCTCGGCCTCCCAGAGTGCTAGGATTATAGGTATGAGCCACTGCACCCAGCCTGACAAGATAATATTTAATAGCTTACCTCCTTTATTGCCTCCTATTCATGGCACCTAATGATTTCTAGTCTGTTCGATGGAACTTACTTATTTACAGAGTGTTTTAAACTTTCAAGATGTTAGTCCATGGTTTCTCCTTTTCAATGTTTTGGTATATAATTTGGTATATGAGGTATATATCAGATCTACATTAAAATATATTTTTGGTACATTAGGTATCTATTAGGTAAATTAGGTTAGGTGTATTGGGTATATGTCAGGTATATTAGGCTAACTCATTCTACTACCTTCATTTAGGGAACCGAAGACAGGGCAGACTGTCAGTCAACAATCAATCAATCCATGTTAAATGTGTGCTCACTGTGAGCTTGGCACTGTAATAGCCATTGGCAGAGGGCATAAACAAGCATAACCAATTTTGACAGCCATGTATTAAGTGTCTACTAGATACCAGACGGACACAGTGATAGATACGTTGATGAATAAAACAGATGGGCATCTGCTGTGCTAGAGCGGACAGTGGGGCCGCTGGCTGGAAGTGCATCACACATTCTCAGTGGCGGCAACACGGACCATTGTTAAACCACACTCGTTTGAGAAGTGAGTGAATCTTTCAGCTCTCAAAGTCTTGCTCTGTTTTCCATGGAGCTCCAGTGCACAGGCAGATACCCTGGCTCCATCAAGGACCAAGTGTTTAAAAAAACGTGGTCCAACAGATCAGCAGCTTTTGGTATAAGGGGGTCAAATACAGGATGAAACATGATATTTTGTGAGGTTGAGTGGCTATCTCTATGTCACTGAAGTTTGTCTTTGGTTGTCACCTTACCCTTCTGTGCCCTTCCATTGCTGTGGAACATTCTCACTTCACCCTCAGGGATCTAGGGCTTCTCCCTTGTATCTCTCCTTCCCTCTGCTGAAACATGACCACAGAGAAAGGGCCCTTGCTGCACTGTTCTTGCTCATCCTGGCAATGCAGTGCTGGCTGTGTCTTGGAGGAGCTGGGCTGGCCCTCCAGGCCAACTTTGCCAGGAGACAGCACAGGTGGGAGGAGAACGGTCTTTAGGATGTAGCTGAAAGCCCCACAGGAGCAGAGCCACCTGGAACCTGCTCAGAGGGCGGCTGGAATCAACTATTTACATTTTTGTATAAATTTAAGTCATTTTGTCTTCCCTCTGAAGTATTTGCATGTTCAGCCTTTTCTCTAATTGTGAAATGAAAGACTGTCTCCTTTCCAAGAATTTCAGGCATCAGCAAATAAGTTCAGGAGGAATTAGTAAGATGGAAATCATCCTGTGGATGATTTTGCCCAGCCTATGACTTCCAGTTAAATCCGGCAAAGGAGAAATCTAAGATGACAAATAGGTTTCAGATCCTGTGTGGATCCAGGACTGGTTATGGCCACCTGGAGTGCTCTGTTGAAAGGACCCTGAACCATTGCCTAAGCTCCTAGGGGAAAGTGTTCAGTGATGGATTAGTGATGTCTGCCATAGGCCTAGGCAGGAGTGAAGGTAAGCGGCACCACTGCAATTCTGGCCATTCCTCATAGAGTCAGAGAGTTGCTTAGGTTGTATTTTATACAGCAAGTTGATTCAATCATTGCCATCAAACAAATACCCAATTCAGTGAAAAAAAAATCAGTTGAAGTATGTGTTAGGATAATGTAGATAATGTAGGAAAAAACATCTGCCCATTAAAAATTATATTCTTCCCTTTTTATTCAGCTAGGTTGGTAAATCATAGACATATTTTTAAAGGTGAATTAATTTGAGAGCTTCTAATTTCTGTTCTAGACTCCTGAAGGAGTCTGCAAATAATACTTTATAGTTTTACTGCACCTTCATTCTAAGGATTTTTCAAAACATCTCATGCATGTTGTCTCATTGCATTGTTTACTTGACCCCATGACAGATTTGTTTCCAGCATACAGGTGGGGAAACTGAGGCTCGGAGATGATCTGACTTGCCGAAAGTTGAATGGCAAGTCTGAGCAGGTGCAGGCTTGGCCCTGCTCTTCTTCCTTTGTACCATGAACTTGTTGCGACTCCTCTGGGGTCTCCTCTGGGAGATGGAAATTTCCATCCAGGGAGTACTGTTATTGATAGGCCCTCTCAGGGGGAGGAGACTGCCAGTGCCGTGACTCAAAATAGCTGTCTCTTCCCTGCTGAAGATGTTGCCCTTTCCGCAGCAAATGGATGAATTAGACCCCCCTGCTTCGATAAAATACTTTAGGGTTTATAGGGTGGAAAATTTTGTTTGGAAATGAAAATAGCCCATAGCCATCCATACCCTGAAGCTGTCAGCTAATGCCATCTGAGTCACCCCTCCCCATCTTCTGGCACCTGTGGGGAGCCTCCCTGTGGTCTACCTTGCGGGGTCTGAGCTTGGCCATATTTGGCATTCTGGAGCCTGCTGGCTTTGGAAGTGCCTTTCAACCTGCCAACACCCACATGGGGACCCGGATCAAGCCATGTGTTTAAATGACTGGGCTGTGGAGGGAGCTCCAGTGGAGACGTCCAAGGGATGTAGGGCCATTTACTTAACATAAATCAGTTCCCTGAGTGTGAGTGTCTTAATGCATTCCTTCAGTTATAAACAGTTTAGAGCCATGACAGCCAACATCTTTTCACCCCCGCTCTCCTTAGCCCAGGCCTCCATTTGGATTTGTTTCTACAGCCAGAGACTTTGATGATTGCAAGGGATGATAGGGAGGCCATTCTGAAGACAAATAACCATTGTTTATGGAGCCCTGACTCCTGGGGTGGCAGCCGCTCACTGGGTGCAGGCATGGGACCTGCTCATCAGCTCCTGGTGGGCACTAATCTAAGTGTGTCCCATACTCTATCTTGTTTAATCTTCCCCTCCCATTGATGAAGTGGGGACCTCTTACATTTTACACTTTAGAGAAAATTTTACATTTATGGAAACCCATTTTACAGAGAAGAAACCTGACGTTCCCAGGGCCTCATTAATTTGCTCAAGGTCACACAGCTATTGAATGGGAGAGCTGGAATTTGAACGTAGGCAGCTTGTTTTCTGAGCTCTGGCTTCTAAAACGCTTTGCCATGTTTATGTTATTTCCTGTCTAATTTGGAGGCTTTGTTGCTGGGCTTTTGAGATCTTTCTTGCTTGCTTAAATAGCAGTCCATAGGTTGGCAGAACAAGCCTGTGGATACTGCCCTGACCTCCGGTAGGAATGTTCACAGAAGTGGCGTCAGTACCATGGACTTGTCCTTGTCCCAACCTCAGATGTAGAACAGTGGAGCCAGGTTCCCAGAGTCCTGGCTTGTGCTGTGCCCCAGGTTTCTCCTGGGAGCGGATGTGCCAGGGCTTGTTCTTGGGAGTCTGCCTGCACCCATGGAGAACTGACAGTCAGGGAACCCATTTTGGTATAAACAGGGGTTGGTATATTTAGAAATAATCTCTAGAGACTGTCATATGTGCTTATCTGCATGCTCAGAGATAAAAGTCAGGGAGGTGGGTCAGTAAGAAAATGCTGGGGTTGACATCCAGTTGACACATGGCTCTTTCCCAGGGACACAGGGCAGCCTGATACATAGGGCCTATTTTAGGGTCTTTCATTATCGGTTTGGAATTGTCGCTGTCTGCACTGCAGTAAAACAAGACTCGCCTGGATCTGCCTTTCCTGACTTGAGAAAAAAAGATCCTTACACAGGCTTGCCTTCGATTCCCATCTTTCTCCAACGTGCTCACATGTGCTAGGGTTTTTTGTTTTCTCTCTGCAACCCACCCGCAGACGTAACCTTCTGATTCACTGTCTAATTTAGGGCAGAAACTTGCAGAGCAATGTCAAATGGGTCTGTTTTCACTTCTGGATATTACACATGCGTAATGTTCTTGCTTTGAAAGCATTCCAAGAGGATACGATAAATAAAGGGGCTCGTACACATACAGCTCAGTGGCCACGTGGCTCACATGGGTCTGCTGCTTTTGGGAGCGGGCCATGTTTCTTCTCCCCTTCCTTCCCTCGCCTCACTCCCTCCCTACCTACCTCCCCCCTCCCTTCCTCCCTTCACTTTTCCCCCTCCTTTCTTCCTTTGTTAAGCAAAATAATTTTTTCATTCATGAGCAAAAACAGTTTTCCAAGGGATGTGAAAAGGCAACAGAGATGGTATCTCTAGTACCCTGTATTTTTCAGTCACAAAATTATTTGCCTCTGGCTTTTTTCCCAAGTTCGATTCCCATTTATTCTACACTTGTATCGGAACCATTGCTGTTTTTAATGGGATGACACAGTTAAAATGAGCCCCTGCTTTATAGAATGGGACTTGTTAGACGGGTCACCCTGGTTGGAAGGCCCGGGAGACCTCTGGCTCTTTAAACACGCAGTTGCTGTGTGTGAAGGACACTGGGTTCTGCTATACGGCACTTTCTACTGAGTGGGAAATTGAGACATGGAACATGAACCAGCCACCCCTGGAATCCAGGAGAGGGCTGAAGCACTGGCTGGCACGTGCCCTGGAGCGGACGCCATGCTGGGCTCACTAGCTGTGGCTTCATGTTTAGCAATGAGGTCGAGCAACATTCATTACAACGCATTGCCCACTTAAGTTTGATTTAAGATGTGTACCGTTTATGATCAACAGGGAAATTTAATTTAGGTACAGCTAATAGCTGCATGTGTGAGTATGTGTGTGGTAGGTTGATGAGAGTTTCAGGCATGTTGTTTAAATTTGAACATTAGCTAACCTTCTAGGTAAGTGTTTCATAATGGGGTATCCCACATATAAAAATGACATTAGGGTTCAGACTTTGCAATTGATTGCACATCTCTCTTTTCTAAATGTTTTCTTCTGTCTTTTTCAAGAGAAAGGGGAGATCTTAATGTATGGGTAGTCCAAGGTACATAATGTTTTATATCACAGTTTTAAATTTGTATTACTTTTTAAAGAGGAAGATGAAGTAGTAGTATTGGCTAGACTGGGTTGAGTTGGGATTTGCAAGTAAAAATAGCCTTACTTTATTGAGTATCTAGTGTATGCCAGGCCTTATGTCAGGAACTTTATGTGACTTGTATAACTTAATTCTCACAACAACCCTGTGTTGTAGATATGAGTGTGAACAAAGGAGAGAATAGGTTCAAAATAGCTAATGCCATGGCAGCCCATAGAAGTTTGGAGCTGGATATAGGGTTTGGGGCTGAGGAGGCAAGAGTTACGGCCTCAGGCCTATAAAAATTGGGGGAGCTGGAATGGAACCCTTGCATAAAGCCCAGAACCTTAAAGAGCTTCCTGTTCAGAGAAGGGAGATGAGAAACTCTGTTTACTGCTTTGGAGTCAACAGCAAGGAAGTGTTCTGTGTGTCCTGGGGCTTGCTGTGTCACCTTTGAGAGAGCAAAACTCTCGGGCTGTATCAACCACATGTGTGGCACCTGAATTCATACTACTTGCATACTATAGGAAATTTAGGATAACAATTAACATAAAAATGAAATCTAAGACATTGATAGATTAATGGATAAAGAAAATGTGGTGTATACATACTGCTGTGGACTGAATAGTGTGTGGAAGCAAATTCATGTGTGGAAGCCCTAGCCTCCAATGTGATGGTATTTGGGGATAGGGCCTTTGGGAGTTGATTAGGTTCAGATGAGGCCAGGAGGTGGGCCTTCCTGATGGGATTAGTGCCCTTAGAAGAAGAAACACCAGAGAGCTTGCTCTCACTTTCTCCCTGCCACGTGAGGACACAGAGAGAAGGTGGCCATCTGCAAGCCAAAAGGAGAGCCCTCACTAGAAATCCATCTGCTGGCACCTTGATCTTGGAGTTCCAGCCTCTAGAACTGTGAGGAAATAAATTTTTGTTTCTTAAGCCGGCTAGTCTATGGTATTTTGCTATGACAGCCTGAGCTGATTAAGATACATACAGCGGAGTATTATTCAGCCTGAAAAAAAGAAAGAAATCCTGTCATATGCTACAACGGGGATGAACCTTGAGGACGTTGTGCTAAGTGAAATAAGCTGGTCACAGAAGGATGAATACTGCATGATCCTATTTATATGAGGTATCTAAAGTAGTCAAACTCTTAGAAGTAGAATTGTGGTTGCCAAGGGCTGAACGAGGGGTGCAGAGGGGGTTGTTCAATGGATATAGAGTTTCAGTTACACAAGATGAAAAAGTTCTAGAGATCTGATCACAACAATGCACATATAGTTAACACTAGTTTAACTGTACACCTAAAAACGCTTATCGTGGAAGTCGGTGTGGCGATTCCTCAGGGATCTAGAACTAGAAATACCATTTGACCCAGCCATCCCATTACTGGGTATATACCCAAAGGATTATAAATCATGCTGCTATAAAGACACATGCACACGTATGTTTATTGCGGCACTATTCACAATAGCAAAGACTTGGAACCAACCCAAATGTCCAATAATGATAGACTGGAATAAGAAAATGTGGCACATATACACCATGGAATACTATGCAGCCATAAAAAATGATGAGTTCATGTCCTTTGTAGGGACATGGATGAAGCTGGAAACCATCATTCTCAGCAAACTATCACAAGGACAAAAAACCAAACGCCACATGTTCTCACTTATAGGTGGGAATTGAACAATGAGAACACATGGACACAAGAAGGGGTACATCACACACCAGGGGCTGTTGTGGGGTGGGGGGAGGGGGGAGGGATAGCATTAGGAGATATACCTAATATTAAATGAAGAGTTAATGGGTGCAGCACACCAACATGGCACATGTATACATATGTGACAAACCTGCACGTTGTGCACATGTACCCTAAAACTTAAAATATAATAATAATTAAAAAAAAATAGTTAAGATGGTTGT
Organism: Homo sapiens; assembly: GCF_000001405.40. Lineage (NCBI taxonomy): Eukaryota > Metazoa > Chordata > Mammalia > Primates > Hominidae > Homo > Homo sapiens. The sequence continues at coordinate 421,456 of NW_018654718.1, forward strand.
CTTAGTCAGTTTGGCTGCCATAACAATTTACCATAGACTGGGTGGCTTAAACAGCAAGTACTCATTTCTCACAATTCTGGAGGCTGGGAAGTCCAAGATCATGGTGCTAGCAGATTTGATATCTGGTGAGGACCTGCTTCCTGGATGACTGCCTTCTCATTGTCTCCTCACTGGCAGAGAGTTGAGAACTGAAGAGCTCTCTCATGGCTCTTTCTATAAGGGCACGAATCCCACTCATGAGGAACCATCTTTATGACCTAATTACCTCCAGAAGGCCGCACCTCCTCATACCATCACACTGGGAGTCCAGTGCTTCAACATATAAATTTTGGGGAGACACAAACATTTAGTCCATAACAATGGTAAATTTTATATATATATTTTTGCCTCAATAACAAGAACCCCACAAAACTAGATCTAGGATAACTGATACCCATAGGACCCTTCAAAAATAATCACAAAAACTCTGAAGCCTTCTTCCACAGCTCAGGACCCTTCAGACTTTTATAAAATAAGCAGTCCAGGCTGAAGATGAGCTTACAGTAAAAAATAATGTACACCTCACAACAGAGTTGAGGAAGAGTCAGCAGATATAACAAACAGAATTACTACCTTGAAAACTGAAGTCACAGGACAATTTGAGGAGAATATAAAATAACCTTGTTTAGGCTGGGTGTGGTGGCTCACACCTGTAATCCCAACACTTTGGGAGGCTGAGGCGGGCAGATCACTTGAGGCCAGGAGTTCAAGACCAGCCTGGCCAACATGGTGAAACCTTGTCTCTACTAAAAATAACAAAAATTATCTGGGCATGGTGGCACACACCTATAGTCCCAGCTCCCTGGGAGGCTGAGGCAGGAGAATGTTTTGAACCCAGGAGGCAGAGGTTACAGTGAGCTGAGATTGTGCCACTGCACTCCAGACTGGATGACAGAGTGAGACCCTGTCTCAAACAAAAAACAAAAACAAAAAAAACAAATAAAATAACCTTGTTTAAATCAAAGAGATGGCCGGGCGTGGTGGCCCATGCCTGTAATTCCAGCACTTTGAGAAGCTGAGGCGGGTGGATCACGAGGTCAGGAGATTGAGGCCATCCTGGCTAACATGGTGAAACCCCATCTCTACTAAAAATACAAAAAATTAGCTGGACATGGTGGCAGGCGCCTGTAATCCCAGCTACTTGGGAGGCTGAGGCAGGAGAATGGCATGAACCCGGGAGGCGGAGCTTGCAGTGAGCCAAGATCGCGCCACTGCACTCCAGCATGGGCAACAGAGTGAGACTCTGTCTCAAAAAAAAAAACAAAAAACAAAGAGATAAAGGAAGAAATAGAAAGCATAATAAAATAATAGTGCTATATGAAAAAGGAGAAGATTTTTAAAAAGGGCCCAACTGTATTTTTAGAAATGAAAAACACATTTAAATAAATAACTTAATGGATGGATTAAACATTAGGTTAGATATGGTAGAAGGTAATATCAGTGGATTGGAAGTTAGATCTGAGGAAATTGCATAGAATACAGCCCAGATATTAAAATATTGCATATATGAAGGAGCCATTGAAAGAATTGGTGGAAAGAATGAAAAAGGTTAACTTACATCTAAATGGAGTTCTAGGAAACAGTGGAGAGAATGATGAAAAGGCATTACTTTAAAGGATAATGCCAAGAATGTTTTGAAATTTAAGAAAGATATTGATTTTTAGATTATACCAGCACACTGAGTATTGAGTAGGGTAATTAAAAATACATCTCGATCTAGACACTCAGTGTAGAAAACTGCTTAAATGTCAAAGAAAATCTTAAAAGCAAGCAGGGAGAAAAGACAGATTATTTCTGTACAAACACCAGACTTCATCAACCACAACAGACGCCAGAAGACAATGAAATAATATCTTCAAAGTGCTCAGTGAATATCAAACTAGAATTCTATACAAAGCTAAATTATCATTCAAGAGTTAGGATGGAAAGACATTTTTCGGCCAGGTGCGGTGGCTCACGCCTGTAATCCCAACACTCTGGGAGGCTGAGGTGGGTGGATCATGAGGTCAGGAGATCTAGACCATCCTGGCTAACACAGTGAAACCCCGTCTCTACTAAAAAATACAAAAAATTAGCCGAGCATATTGGCGGGCGCCTGTAGTCCCCGCTACTCGGGAGGCTGAGGCAGGAGAATGGCGTGAACCCGGGAGGTGGAGCTTGCAGTGAGCCGAGATCGCGCCACTGCACTCCAGCCTGGGCGACAGAGCGAGACTCAGTCTCAAAAAAAAAAAAAAGACATTTTTCCTATAAACAAAGGCTGAGAGTATTTACCTCTAAAGTGATCTGTGCTGAGAGAACTACCAAGGGACATGCTTAATAAAGAAGCATTAATTTTTTCATGAACCTGGCATTGCAAATGTATTTTTTTTAAGAAGATTAAGATTTAGGATGATTGAAATTTAGGATGGGGTGGGTGCAAAGATCAGAATTTAATGTGTTCTAAGGTCTTGGTATTTTTCAGGGAAATAATGAACTATTATTTGAAATATTTCATAATTCAAAAGAAAGCAGACAGAAATACCCAGACATTGACCTTTGGGCACCATCATTATCACTAGAATAACAACTAATATATGCGGAGTTCTTACTGTGTGCCAAGGTCTTTTATGATGTTATTCCATTTAATCTCACAGCAACCGTATGAAAAAGGTAACGCTGCCATTTTGAGAGGTAAGAAAACAGGGGGGACAGGGGGGATATTCACTTCAGTGCTGCCATCACTGAGGGTAACACACAGCAATAGTCTGTGTTCCGTGAATGTGGATGAACCAAACCAAGCTGAGGTTAAACTATAATAAGCACCTTGCTCGTGTCACATGTTAGAGAAGTGATGAAACTGTGGTTCTAACTCAGGCCTGTCTAGCCTGAGACTCCCTGCTCTTTTCCACAGTGTCTGCCCCTCACTGTTTCCTTCTCTGAGTAGACGAGTCAGACGCTGGCCCTGCACTTCCTGTGAATTAATGCCCCGCTTTTCCCCTCTCACACATGCTTTGGTCTGTGTGACTTGTCCCATTCAGGCCCTGATGTCCTAGTGGTGTCTTTCCAGGTGTCATACAGCCCGGCAGCGTCTCCTGCATCCTTGCTTTGCTTTCAACAAGACTGGGCCGGCTGTCGCTCCCCAGTTTCTATGTGGCAGTCAGACAACACCCCCCGCATGGTGTTGCTAGGAAATGCAGGAGCGATCATAGCATTTGGAGCAGGGGCCCTCTCTCCTGCCTCCTGTACACACCTGCCTTTACCATCTGTTCAGGATGCTCCTGGCACCTTGACCCTGCCACACTGAGATGCTCCACCTCATTCTAGACTGTGGACCTCAGAGCTTGGGTTTTCTTAATGGAGGAATTATCAGGGAGAAAACTGGAGCCTGGGGTTGCTAAGCTACACTGGACCCTGTTCTAGTCACACACTGGAGAAGAGGTGCTGAGAGTGGGATGTCTTGCGTTCAAGGAATTTTCATTCAGTTTCCTATATTTTCAACAAAACGCCTATCTCTGCTCAAGTCTACTTTATATCGTATATTTATATATAGATATGCACACACATATGTGTACATACACACACTGAATAATTAACTCGTTACGCCTGTGAAAATAGTTTTTTGGTGGTGTTTGTTTTTTGCCCCTTTGGTTCGTTTAATCATGGACTGTGCTGTTTGGTTTCCTGAATTGCCAGTTAATTTCAGGCTAAGGCAGTTAATCAGGTAGTCCCACATGGCCTGGCTTGAACATAGAAGGAACAGGGAGCTCTGATGCATTTAGGTTCTGATTACTGGCTTCTCACACACTGTCATCATTCTTTGGAGGGTTTTTCTTGACCTGAGCTCAAATCATTCCATACCAAAGGGATTCCTGATTTAAACTGTCAGTGTTAAAAGGCCTGGTGGACAGATGGTGTCTTACAGGCAAACAAAGGCTCTTGGCTTGCTGCTGATGGAAGCCATGGACTCCTCCAATTTCTCCTTTTCCCCCAAAGAGGCCCTGGCCGTAGATCCCAGCATTGCCAGGCAGCCTGTGTTGTTGAGGACTGTGTCCTGTGTTTTGGTGGCCAAGAGCATTTCGACTCTCCCAGGGGTGTGCCAGAGGATCAGGCTATCCCTTTCTTAGGGACACAGTTGAGGTGGGTGGAAACAGCATGTACCTTGCCATTGGAGAAGCTGGGTTTATGCTGTGATTCACCCAGCCATCTCAGGTTGTGCTCTTGGGAGAGTCTTTGATCCTCAGTTTCCCCAGCTGTAGATTGGTGATATTTGTCTCCACATTGTAAAGAGAATTTATGATACTGAAGAAAATGCTGTGTAAACTTTAAAACAATACAAATGTAAGGCATTGCTACTCTCAGTGCTTGGAGGATGTTTTGTGGGAAGTTAATGGCCCTTGCTCTGCCATATTTCAGTGCCAAGAACCACAAGAGCTGTCAATAAATACTGATGAATGATGAGGGGGAGAAGCCATTTGACTCTGTGGAAGCCAGTGCTTTATATATTAAATGCATGTATTCATTGGATCATTCATTGAGCAAATATTTATTGAGTTCCTACTAAACACGAGGCACTGGGAATAAAACACTGAATAAAACAAGTGGAATCATGACTAATGTTTCCTCTGGCTTTCACAGAGTTAGAAAAATTAGGTGTGTTGTTTTCATAAAATTAAATTATTCTATATATATAAAGGATTTTAAAATGCTGATAGTATATCTGTCCTCCTCTTTGGTATTAAAATGTCTCTTCTTTTGTGTGATGATGGTGATAGTTGATTTTTGAAAAACTTTTCACATAGTCAAATTTGAAAAGGTGTTGTTAGTTGTCCTTGAAATCCAGCTTGGGGATGACTGATCTAGCCCAACTCCCCACCCAGGGCAGGCCTGTCTTTAGCATTCTCAACAAGTGGTCATCTAGTTTCTACTTGGATAGTTCCAGGGAAGGGGACCTCACTAACTTCAACACGCAGCCATTCAAATGTTAAACAGCCATTATCTTTTGAGTGTTCTTTTTTATATTAAGTGGAAATCTACCATCCTATAACTTCTGCTCATCAAGCTTGAGTCCTCCATCTGGAGCAAACAAAATATATTTACTTCATTTTCTTATAGCCCTCCAGATTTTTGAAGCAGACTATTATGTTTCTTCCAAGCATATTTTCCAGACTTCTTGTCCCCACTTTCTTTACCCACGTTCTCCCGTGGCTTCATTCCTCTCCCTCTTGCCCCACCTCTGCTGGTCAGCTTCTACTTGCCAGTGTTCCTCTTGCAGTCTGTTCCCCAGAAGGGACACAGGGCTTCAGCTGTGTGCCGACTTGGATGGAGTGCTCAGCCTGCTATGTCCCTGATTCAGAGCTCTGAATGCAGATTAAGGAAGAAGTAAAGATTGCGTTTGCCTTTTTGGCAGCTGTGCTCTACTGTTGACTCATATTGAGTCGTAGCCTACTAAAATCCCTAGGGTCCTTGTCATATAAATTGCTGATAAGGCAAGCCAGGGTTCCACCTACCCTATGTTTATGCAGTGAATTTTTTCATCTAAGTATAGTCCTTTACATTGTGCTTATTCTATTTCATCTCGTTAGTGTGGACCATAGTTTCAGCTTGTTGAGGTCATTTTTATTCTGACTGAAACTTCCAATTTACTAGCTATTCCTCCCAGATTTGTGTCAGCAGCACATTTGGCAAATTTGTCTTCATCCAACTTTTTAATTTAGTGTTCAAAAGGCTAGAGCCAAAGACAGAGCCTTGGGTCACATCAGTAGAGACCTCCCAGGGTAAATGTATCAGTGAGTCAATCCCTAGGCATCTGTGCATAGAATCAGTGCACCTATGAATGTGTCAATCATCAGTGCATCTCTGGATCAGCCAACTGCAGACCCTCCTGAGTGTATTAATCACACTGGTGATGTGAGTTCTATTTTCAGACTCTTCTACTTCTCATTTTTTAAGGCAATGTCAACCTTTTCCATTATTGAACCACCATTGGTAGGATTATGACTTTCAAATTTACCTTTTCAGCCCAGATATCTGTCTCTTTTACATTTTTAATTTTTTAATTGAATAGCTGCAGAATGTTTTAATTTTTCAAAGTAAATGCACTATCTCCACGTCCTCTGAAACCTTCTTCTCTTTCTGTGATCAACTTGGTGCCACCAAGTTGGCCAAGCCAGGTACCTGGAAGCCATTCTCAGTGCTTTTGCTTTCTTCTCACTCCACAGCTAATTCAATTGAGTGGGGTAATTATAAATACCCTTAGCTGTTCTAAGAGATTCTACCTCCTTAATACCTCATAATACACCCCTCGGACTCTGATCCGTCTTGCCTATACAACTGTAAGAACCTTCTAACTAGATTCTGTACTCCTGGCCTGACTCCTTCTAGCCCTCATCCTGTACTGTGTCACCAGGAAACAAAAGCCTCACTCAGATTATGTCAGTGTACTGCACTGAGGCCTTTGCTAGCACCCTGTCCACTGTAAATGATAGGTGGTCCTGCATCGTCTTACTGTTCTCAGCTTTTACTGTTTCTTCTACCAACCCTACACTTCAGATGTACTGTCTACTGCTGGTTCCCAACTGCAGCATGTAAATTCATGCTTTGGATATGCCGTTCCCTGTACCTGGGATGCCTTTCACTCCTTCTAGTCAACTGACTTCTACTGCTTCTTTAGGATTCAGATCAAGCATCCCCTCCTTTGGGACTTCTTCCGCAGATGCAGCGGGTTGGGCATCCCTTTTCAGCACCACTGCAGCACTCTAAGTGTACCCATTGGAAAACTCATCACTACATGGTAGACTGTTTGTCTGCCTCTCCCACTTGGTGGAGGGCCCTTGCAGGGCAATGCCTGTGCTCTGTTTACCACTGGAGCCACAGCTCTTAGCACATAGTAGTAGGCACTTGGGATTTGTTGAAAAAATGGATGAATGGAGGATTTGACAAATCATTTCCAATTTGCCTTGAACTGAGTGACCATTACTTCCCTTTTAGCATTACTCTATGATTCTGCATCTGTGGCATCCCTTTGATGTACTGGCCATATAATTCCATTCAAAAAGTGAAAGTGTACTTGACATTGATTAGGTTTTTTCTCCATATATGTTCCAAGTCATCCGATTTCTAATCTATTCTAGGCTTGTTAAACTCCATTTTTACCACTTAGTTGCATGTTTGTTTCTCTGATCCTGTATTAGTTAGGGAAGGCTAGCAGCTGTTACAAGCAGCCCAAAATCTCACTGGCTTGATGCAATACGAGTTTAATTTTCAGTTACGTGACAGTCCAGTGCAGTTACTCCTGGTCAGGTGGCCTTCCACATGGTGACTCAGTGAGCATGGTCCATTTCATTCTGCAGGGCTTCTCTCTTTGTGGTCTTTGACGTTTTCTCCATTCAGCTAATGTATGGAGAAAGAGAAGCAATTGCAGGTGAGGAAACAGAGGGATGGTGCGTGGGAGCTTCTCACTGGCCCGGCCTGGACTAGCACACCATCACTTCTGTGCACATTTCACTGGCCAGAACTTAGTCATATGGTCATGTCTGACTGCCACGGCAGCTGGAAAATGTAGGCTAGCTGTGACCCCAGGAAGAAAAAGGGAACACAGATATTTGTGAGCATGAACAGTTGCCATTGCACCCATTCTTAGATTCTGGACCTCGTGATTCCCAGGGCTGCCTTCCAGAGCTCTTCTTAGTCAGGGCATTTTCTGTGCTCCAAGCCCTTTGATCTTCTATCTCCCAGGCTGGGTTTTTTTATCTCTGCCCTTTGCCTCTCTGTTCTCTCAAGCCCTCTTGGCCATTGGTACCTCATTTCTCTTTTCTTGCTGGCCTGTCTGATCTTGACTCCTCATCGCTCCAGTTTCCCAGCAGCTGATCCTCACTTGCTCACGTGTCTGGGACTGGACCATCTGATTCTTGGTACCTGCTTGCCATTGCCAGATGTGTTCCTCAGGGACAGCCCATCCCATTCCAAGTCCTGGCACAATGGGGGAGAGTCCTTTCACTCTGTCCTGTGCTTTGAAGTCCTTCCTATGAGTACAGAGTATGGATTTGAACTCTGTTTTTAGAGATAATTAGAGAACTGAGGGAGTTACAGTGAGAGCCACTGGGAGATGTGGGCTTTGGGAAGCCAAAAGTATCCATGCTGTATGTCCTGAAGCAGATAAGCCTGAAGTTAATGGATAATCTGTACGTATATGTAGAAAAATTGCAAAGGTGGTGATGCTAGAGTACATGTTTTTTTGTTACTCTGAAAAAGAAGAAAGTGTCACATTTTAGTGTGAGAATTTTAGGTAAGAGACAAAGAAAAAAATCATAAATTCCAGAATTTGGGATGCCATTATGGAGAGGTTAAGTAATGTGCTTTCCTAGAAAAAAATGGGAGTGGAAGAGCCCATCTCAGAAGGCTTTGCAGTGACCTGCTGGGTGGCAGGAGATGGATAAGCAAGCTCAAAATCTCTTCTTCTGCCATGATTCTTTGAAAAAAATAAAAAAGCTGGGTGTTCTGCTTTTGACTCTGACCTTGTTTGAGAGATGCTCATACTGAACGTGTTTGTCTCTGGGTAATGGTTCCGGATGATTTTGTAAATGGAACGGGTATTGTCTTGTAAGGTTTCAGGAACTATGATGCCTGAGTTCCATTACCTGTTTTGTCACCCACTCATTCTGCAGGTTACTCACTTGGGTAGGCCACTTCTCCATTCTTTTGATGGTCTGCTTATCTATTAAGTGGGAATGGGAACAGGATGAATTTTCAGGAGGTTTGAATGAGAAGTAATTCATGTTTCTAACACGCTTCAGAATACATAAGTACAACATCCTATGGGAATTCAAAATACAATTACACTTTTGTTAGGTTTATTTCTCCGTATGCTGGTTCTTTGGTTCTTGCCTTGAGACATGCAGCTTTTTGCAAATGCTGTTTCCTAGAAATAGCTCTTTAAATGTGTGTGCCTCTCCTAGTGAGGGCTGAAATGGTACCCTCTGCTGGGTTGGAGGCTGGGGAGGAAGGAGAGGAGGCTGAAAGTCAACACCCTCAGGCCAGGGCCCTAACTCTAGAGGCCGTGAACACGGTGGTTAGAGCACGTACTTTGCTGTCAGGCTGCTTGGTTTGCCGGAGGCTTGGCACAAGCTGGTTAGTCCCTCTGTGCCTCAGTGTTCTCATCTGTGAAGTGGGCGTCATAATAATGCCTACCTTATGGGGGTGCTGAGAGGATTAAATAAATCAATGTATGTAAAATCATGAGAACAGGGTCTGGCCCACAGGGAGTACTCTGCAAGTATTAACTCTTATTTTTAAACAGGTATTTTAGAAAGATGCTTTGCCTCAGATGCGTTCTCCTTGGTTACTTGCTGACGAAACAACCTCCTCCCATGTATCTGAAGGGCCTCAGAGCAGCCTTCGTGCTTGCAGACATGCGGAGAAGGACCTTCCCACTGTCCTCGGGTGGGCTCAGCTTACGTTAAGAGATGACCATCAACACACGGGGAAAGCAATTTTTCAGTTCATAGGATTTAGTCGGACTGGTTACTATATGTCACTGCAGCGTGGAGGGAATATCAGAGGACTCCACTGCATTAGGCGGGCTGGGCACTTGCTTGCCGTTGATATTCTTAAATGAATCACGTTGTTAAATGCGGAGGGAGGGCTGTGCGCGCAGACCTATATTCTTACTTCTGGGAGACCCTGTGGGGCTCTGAGACTTTGCACTTCTTAGTCCAACCAACTTGAAGTGGTCCCTTGCTCCCAGTGATTCATTCTGCTTTTACTGCTGATTCTGTGCTCTTGAGGGATTCATGGTTCGTGCACACGTGGAAGGGTGGGGCAGTGGGTAAAGGAGTGACATTGCATGAGTGTATAGACAATAGCTGCACTGTGTCACTTACAGCCTGGGCTTCTTCCGTAAGCCCTAAACCACCCCTGTCTGTCCCCCCGACCCTGAGGTAAGCCATTGATGTGGGGGCGAGTGGTAGACTAAGCATCCCTTTGGAAGAAAAGGATTAATTTGCATGAAGCTAGGAACACACTTTTGAAATATTAAATACAACAGAGGTCTGCTGAGCACCTCCTATGTGTAAAGCACCATGCTGGACGCCGTGCGAGGTACTTGGAGTAGTAAGACTTGACTCCTGTCCTCAACGAGCTCAAGATCTCTTGGGGGAGACAAACACAGGAATAAAACAGGTTGTGATGAACATGGCAACAGAGCGTGGTGACAGGATGCCATAAGAATCTTGGGGCTCTGCCGGGCCCATCCGGGGCATGTTATGTACCCAGAGACTTGACATTTTTTAATTTTTAAAAACTGTGGTAAAAAGTACGTAACACAGTTTTCAATCTGAATCATTTTTAAGTGTTACAGTTCAGTAGTGTTAAATATATTGTTGTGGAACACATCTCCAGAACTTTTTCATCTTGAAAAATTGTAACTGGCTGGGCGCGGTGGCTGACACCTGTAATCCCAGCACTTGGGGAGGCTGAGGTGGGCGGATCACAAGGTCGGGAGATCGAGACCAGCCTGGCCAACATAGTGAAACCCCTACTAAAAATACAAAAAATTAGCCGGGCGTGGTGGCAGGCGCCTGTAGTCCCAGCTACTTGGGAGGCTGAGGCAGGAGAATGGCGTGAACCCGGGAGGCGGAGGTTGCGGTGAGCTGCGATCATGCCATTGCACTCCAGCCTGGGTGACAGTGTGAGACTCCGTCTCAAAGGAAAAAAAAGAAATGAAAAATTGTAACTACACACCCATTAAACAACTCCCCATTTCTCCCTGCCTCCAGCCCCTGGCAACCACCATTCTACTCTCTGTTTTTATGCATTTGACTACTTTAGATACCTGATGTTAAAGTGGAATCATTGAATATTTGTCCTTTGTGACTGGTTTATTTCACGTAGCATAATGGACTGAAAGTTCATCTGTCTTACAGTGTGTGTCAGAATTTCATTGCTTTTAAAGGCTGAATAATAGTCCATTTTATGGATAGACTACTTTTTTTTTTTTTTTTTTTTTTTTTGAGATGGAGTCTTGCTCTGTCACCCAGGCTGGAGTGCAGTGGCATGATCTCGGCTCACTGCAACCTCGGTCTCCCAGGTTCAAATGATTCTCCTGCCTCAGCCTCCTGAGTAGCTGGGATTACAGGTGTGCACTACCCTGCCTGGCTAATTTTTGTATTCTTAGTAGAGACAGGGTTTCACCATGTTGGCCAGGCTGGTCTTGAACTCCTGACCTCAAGTGATCTGCTCGCCTTGGCCTCCCAAAGTGCTGGGATTACAGGCATGAGCCACCGTGCCCAGCCACGGATAGATTATATTTTGTTTGTCCATTCTTCTGTCAATGGACATTTGGACTTGTTATTGTGAATAGTACTGCTATGAACCTGGGCATGCAAATATCTCTTGGAAATCCTGCTTTGAGTTCTTTTGGATACATATCCAGAAGTAGGATTGCTGGATCATGTAGTAGTTCTATTTTTAATTTTCTGAGGAATCGCCATACAGTTTTCCACGGTGGCTGCTCCATTTTACTTTCCCGCCAACAGTGCTTAACGTTCTTATTCCTCCACATCCTCGCTGGCTCTTGTTAATTTCTATTTTTTGATAGCAGCCATCCTAATGGGTGTGAAGTGATAGCTCATGGTGGTTTGGATTTGTGTTTCTCTGATGATCAGTGATGTTGGCCATGTGTATATCATCTTGGAGAAATAGCTATTCAAGTCTTTTGCCCATTTTAACATCAATACTCGAGGATTTCTCTTTCTGCTCTGCCCATATCCTCAGATATCGGGACTGGCTTGCTTCTGCAGAGGGGGCCAGATCAACCCTGCACCAGCAGAGGCATAGGGCAGCAGGGGCTTCTCCCTCTGCAAGTCCCAAAAGTATGCGGGTTACTTGTCCCCATTGGCCATATAACTAGCACCCCTCTGGACTGCTTAGCTCTGCCCATCCTGCTGTTTCTACCTTGCGATGATTTACATGGATGAGAGGCTGGGTATGTTCATTTCTTCTTGCTTCAGTATTAATACATTACCACAGACTTAGTGGCTTAAAACAACACAGTTTTATTATCTTATATTTTTGAAGGTCAGATGTCTAAAATGGGTCTGCAGGGCTGCAATACTTCTGGAGGCACTTGGAAGACTGTTTCCTTACCTTTTCCAGCTCTAGAGAATGCCCACATTCCTTGGCTCATGGCCCTCTCCTCTACCTGCAAAGAGAACAATGTAGCATCTTTTGCTCTCCTCTCGTGCCTTCCTCTTCCGAGGACCCTTGTGATGACCTCAGACCCACATGGATAATCCCATCTCAACATCCTTAACTTAATCACATTGGCAAAGTTTCTTTTGCCACATAAGGTAACTTATTCACAAGTACCAGGGATGAGGACAAGGACGTGTCTGGGGGTGATGGTCATTATTCAGCCCACACTGGGCCTCTGCTATGTGGAAGGCAGGGGTAAGAGCATCTTTTGTAGGGAGGGTTCTTATTCTGTGCCTTCTGGACTTAAACTTTACCCTGGGTTAGTAGGAACAGCATCTAGGGATCTGAAGGCTTGGGCTTGACTTTGGTTTGGCTTTGCCTGGGTGGGAACCTAGGGGACAAGAGGCTTGCTTTCTCTGAGCTCCTGTGACCTCACCTTTTAAAGGAGGTGGGTGGGCCAGGTGCTCTTTAGGTCCCTCTCGCTCTGCCATATCCTCACCTGCTCTCATTTCTCATGTGGTGTCCTCACATTGCCTTTTCCCATTGGCTATGGAGAGACTGAGGCTGCCCTGAAGGGTAGAAGAGGAAAGTTATATGAAACTTTGGGGAAATGGCTCCTGGGCACCAGCTAATTCAAAGGAGGACAGGAATAGCAGGAATGAAGGGCGCGAAGGCACTGCTTTATTGCCCGCCTCCTTCCCCCAGCCCCTACATAAAGCATCCTTGGAACAAACAAATGGAAATACTGCACACCCTGTAAGCCTAATTGGGTCATACATAACTTGTACAGTGATTTCCTATGAAACTTCAATTAGCCCCCTCTTCCAGTTCAAACCTGATAAGCTCAAATATTTGTAAACTGCCAGCCAGATGGAAGATGTGTCTCCTTGTGGCTTGGATATCCTGTAACTCAATATGTGTGGTGACTGGCATGGGCATCCGTATTCAAGGAAGGGAAGGAGCCTCGCACCCTGGACGTGGCATTGAGGGGCAAGAAAAGGTGTTGTTTGTTCTCTTTGGGACAGGTGGCCCGACTCTCCTCTGGAGCAGGCTGGGAGAAGTTGCCAAGGACAGTTGGCGTCCTTCAGTGGCTGGGGAAGGAGAGGGTGACTCTTGGGTCCTTGTGTCATTCTTCATCACTTCCAACTCAAGGGAGAATGTTGACTTGAAATAGTTAACCTTTAGTAAGCATGCATTAGTATTAATGCACCCTATTTAATCCTTATTATATTATCCCTGTTTTACCGATAAGAAAGCTGGGGATCAAAGAGGTTAAGTTAACTTAGCAAAGATCACATGGTCAACAAGTGGAGAGCTGAGACTCAAATGGAAATGAGTCTCATGTCTAATTAAATGTCGAATTTCAAAATGCATCTCTTTCTACTATGCCACATCATATCTTCTGGCCTCTTCCCTTCACCTAAAACCATTGCCCTTGGGAGTGGAATGTGGAGCTGTGAATGAAGGAGGAGGCAGTGAGCCACAGCCTGGAGGAGGTGACGGCTGCAAACCCCGCACTCTGGCAGAGGCCAGTCAACCGCTTTGGAATGCCAGGCTGCCTGGAGCTAACTGTGGGCCAATCTTGTGTTGGCCACTTTCGTTTCAGGCCCAAATTTAGTTACAGAGTCAGAAAGAGCAAGGCCCCTGGCAGGGCAAAGTTACCAGAGAGTGTACGTGGGTATGTGTCTGTGTGGGTGACTATGCAGTGGGGCCTCTCCTTCCCAGGGAGGCTAGTGGCTTCTTGTGGCAGGGTAGTATCTTACACAGCCGTGCCTCCCACTCCCCTGTACCAGTGGAGCCCCTGGTAGGCCTGCACCCTGATGCTTCTTGACCACTTGTCCTATGCTAGGCATTGTGAGGCCACATAGTGGAATGAGACAGGACTCTGCTCTCAGGGTTATGTTGGAGCAGGAGGAGAAGTTACATGGATATAAGAAAGGCAGTGACCAAGGCCATGAGCTGCACAGATGGAAGTGGGTATGCTTTGTGCCTCCGTGTTCCACGCTGGCAACATGTGTTCGTACCTGTACTCGTGTACCTGCGTGCATGTACTCAAGGGTGACTGTGGGGTCATGTGGGGGACTTGCCTCCTGAGCCCCTTACCCTGGGCAGGTGGTGGCTGCTCCTTTCCCTCATCGCGGAGCACTTTACACAACTGTATGATCATGGGTGATCTGGGGCCCATGGGGGCAGCTTCGTAACTCTTTGGCTCAACTGGGAAGTTGGAGCAGGTATTTGCTACCCTGAGTGTGAGCCCTAAGACCATAGTTTTATGCTGGAAACCGCCCCTCTTTCATGACACTCAGTGCCTAGTGCCTGCAGTTGCAGGCTGCCAGGGGACCACCCAATAACAAAGCTATGTTGAGGCCATCTGTGTTTCGTGCTGAAAGGACATTTTTCTTCAGCAGCATACTGAGTGCATAGAGCAGACCAAAGCAGACATCCCATTTTCCCCAGTAACCTCCGCATGTGTGAAAACTGGGCAGCTGTCACCTTGAGAAAGATGCTGCTGGGTCACCCCAAAGATTCCACATACATGCTGTTGGGTGCCTCCTTGTATGTGTGTAGCTGTTATTAGCCCCATTTCACAGGTGGGAAAGGCAAAGGCAGGAAGGCTGCCAAAGAGCCTGGTATTCAAGGGAAATGAATGAGCAGGCAGTTGTAATCTCAGTGGCATCCCACTCCACAATCTGAAGTGCATCCCCAAGGGTTAGGGAGAGCAGCTTAAGAAACCAGCAGACATTTCAGAAGCTGAGCCCTATGGACAGTGCACATCCCATGCTCAAGGAGTTCCGGTGGTCCTAGCCCATTAGCCACGTTTGTTGAGACTCAGCGGAGCACCCCCAGTAAGTGGCTGCCCTATTCAGGAGTACTTTTCAGATTCAAGTCTTTATCAATATTAAGGGAGGAAATTCAGGGGTGGAGGTGGGCGAGCAGGGGCCTCCTCTCTTTTGGGAAGCCTATTTCTTTGGCCAGCATGTCCTGAATGATAAACTTCTCCAGCACCCACTAGTGAATTGCAGAATCACTGAATGCCAGAAAAGTGCATAGGACCTTAGAGGTCATTTGGTGAACACCCTCAGTTTACAGATGAGGTGACTGAAGCACAGAGAGGGAGATAAACTTGTCTAGAGTCACACAGCTGCTTAGTGGGAAAGGGAGGAAGAGACTCATGCATTCAGCCCCACTCAAAAAAGTGACTCAAGAGGGAGAGCCGACCAGGAAGTGGGAGTGGCTGGGACTGTCTGTGCTTCAGGGGAAATGTTGGGGGTTGTGAAATGCAGCCACTCTGGATGGGGCCATGCTGGGGTGCCTACAAGGGCCTTCCAGGTGCTCAGCCCTTCCTGTGCCTCTCCTTCATTGCTGCAGGCCCCAGGGGCTCAACCCCCTTTAACAATAACAAAATGAGACCATTTAATGACTACTTCCCCCTGAGAACTTAGTCGATGGCTGCACCATGCTAAGTGCTTATAAATGTTTCAAGACTCTTGTCACAACTCAGAGATATCTAAGTCTCAGAAACGTAAATAAGTTGCCCGGGCTCACAGGGCTAGTAAATGGCAATACAGACGGGAACTTAGGGCTCCTGCTTTTGCTGTTAACCACCAGATCACACTATCTCTTCTTGGAGGTGGCTGCTGTAATTCACTCAATGTGCTTGCAGTCCTGTCCCCATAAAACTCAGTATTTCTAGATCCTGCACTCCCACCTGTCCACTTTTTCTTTCCTGTCTTCATAGACCAGAAGCAGGTCCAATTTGTCTTAAAGGTTATGACCCTCCTAATTCCTGTGGGGACACAGACAGAGGAGAGGAACAGAGATAGGGGGACAGAGTCACAGAGATGATCGAGTGTTACAGCGTTTTTACAGCTCTAGGTTCTGCTCTGTGAATCCTGACTCCATTCTGAGATGAAAAATGGTAGTGCCATTGACTTCTGCCTTCTGCTTTCGGGTTCTTAAAGATGGACTTCTCCTGACCTCCCCTTCTTCTCCCTTTTGGCCCAGACTTTCAGTGCAGTTGAGGCTGCGGGAGAATCCGGGCAGCACTGTAAGTGCCCTCGGCCCGAGTCAGGCCATCCAGTGTTTCGCCAGTCCTTCAAGGACCCTGGAGGAGAAGGGCTAGGCAGGGTCGGATACCACTGGCTCCAGAGAGTGTCAGAAAAACCTAAGCAGAAAGAAGAGAAGGGGGAGTGCAGGACATAGGAAGATGGCAAACAGACGCCCACAGAAGAGGAGAGTGCATGCATCCTATGAGGACGGAGCGTGGATTTATGATGCCAGAGAAACTGGAAGGTTTAGGAGTGGAGAGGTCAGTCTTAGCCTGGGTCCCACTGGATGGAGGCTGTGTGCTTCTCTCTGCCTTGGTTTCATCATTCACCATCATTGGGAATAATGTCTTTTGTCTCCTTACTTAAAGTGATCAGGCACTGAGTTGAAATCAGCATTCCTTCAGCAAACACTTCTTTTCATACTGGCTGTGTGCCAGGCTCTGGGCTAGGCACAGAGCCACAGAGATGAGCACGTCATGGCCTGCCCTGGAGATACTCACAGGTGCCCAGAGTGGAGCTTTTGGACAGGACTGAAACTGTGCAGAGATGAGGGGTTGATCTAACTTCCCATCAAACCAGCTCTCGCAGCCAGAGGTCCGATGCCTGATTTTTAACGGCGCTTGAGAAAACTGTTGATATATTTGAAGGTGAGTCTGGTTTTACTCAGTTGTGAAGGCATGTTTGTGCATGTGCACATATGATTTATTTGATATTTGAAAACAATTTATGACCAGAATTCTTTGCATCCTTCTCTGGGCCTATGTCATGTGCTGAGGGCTTGCCGGAAGCACTTGTATAGGGTAGAGACTTGTCCTGCCACATATCTCTCCTCTGGACTGGCCTAAAGTCTATCCTCCCATCTCCTTCCTGAAGGACAGCTTCCAAATGCCTTCCCCTCTGGTTCTTTTCCTGAGGACAGACCTCTTTCTCTTTCCTCTTGGGATGTTCTTCCAAGTATTCTGAGTCTCTTTGGCTTTTTAAAACACATTAAATTGAGGTAACTTTTTGTTATGGTAAAATATATGCAACATAAAAATTATCATTTTAACCATTTTAAGTGTACAATTTAGTGGCATTAAGTACGTTCACCATGTTGTATAACCATCAAGCACTATCTGTCTCTAGAACTTTTTGTCATTCCAAACCAAAACTTTATAACCATTAACTCCCATTTTCTCTTCCTCCCCAGCCCTGGCAAACTCTATTCTACTTTCTCTCTTTACAACTATTCTAGGTACCTCATATAAGTAGAATTATTCAATACATGTTCTTGTGTGTATGGCTTACTTCACTCAGCACCATGTCCTCAAGGCTCATCCATGTTGTAGCCTGTAGCAGTATTGTATTCTTTTTAAGGCTGAATAATACTCCATTGTATGGATAGACCACACTATGTTTGCCCATCCATTTGTTGACGGACACTTGGGTTGTTTCTATCTTTTGTCTCTTTGGATAATGCTGCTATGGACATGGGTGTACAAGTATCTGTTCAAGTCCTCGCCTTCAATTCTTTTGGGTATATACCCAGAAATGGAATTGCTGGTTCATATGGTAATTTTATGTTTAATTTTTAAATTTTTATTTATTTATTTTTTTGAGATGGAGTCTTGCTCTGTCACCCAGGCTGGAGTGCAGTGGCGCGATCTCGGCTCACTGCAAGCTCCGCCTCCCAGGTTCACACCATTCTCCTGCCTCAGCCTCCCGTGTAGCTGGGACTACAGGCGCCTGCCACCACGCCCAGCTAATTTTTTTGTATTTTTAGTAGAGACGGGGTTTCACCATGTTAGCCAGGATAGTCTCGATCTCCTGACCTTGTGATCCGCCCGCCTCGACCTCCCAAAGTGCTGGGATTACAGATGTGAGCCACCGCGCCTGGCCACATTTAATTTTTTTGAGGAACTTTCATCCTGTTTTCCATAGCGGTTGCACCATTTTACATTCCCCACCAGCAACACATGAAGTTTCCAATTTTTCCACATGATTGCCAATACTTGTTATTTTCTGATTTTTTCGATAATAGCCGTCCTAAGGGGTTTGAAGAGCCATCTCTGGCTTTGAGGATTTCCATGTAAATTACAGTGAGCCGCCGGGGCTCTCTGTGTGGCTGTTCCTAGCTGGGGGCCCCTTGGGTTGAGCTTGCCCTGTAAGCACAGGTAGATTGGAGGCAGCCGCTCAGCATAGCTGAGTGTGCTCTCAGGCCACCTCTGCAGCTGGGAGAGCCCAGCCATGGGCAGAGCGGGGTGGCTGCTGGGCTGCACCTGGTTCAGCCCCTGCTTTGAGATCAGTAGGGGAGGAGATCCAGGCACCAGACAACTGGGAGTGGGGGATGAGGCCGGCTGGAGAGGCTGAGGGGAGCAGTGAGATGTCTGGACCAATGAGTTCTAGAACCTGAGCTGTCTGAACTAGAAGGACCTCGTACGGTATCTGGTGGAGCCTCCTCATTCTATGGAAGAGATTGAGAGCCAGAGAAGGAACGTGATTTGTCTGAGTGCGCAGAGCAAATGAGTGATGGGCCTGGGGCTGGAATTCAGATTTACTGACTTCTGGCCTAGTTCTTTTCCCACCGAACTTGGGGAGGAGTCAAGATAACTTCATGTCTATATGAAGTTTGATATTTACCAAGGAATGACAGCCTCAGGGGAGACTTGCATATTTTTTCGTTGCCTTCTACCTTCTTGTCTGCCTGCTGTCTGGTGGGGTTTTGTAGGGATTAATCAGATAAATAGCTTTGACTTTTCTAAATGAAAGAAGCATTGTATTTTATACAAAGCATTGTTATTAAACGGCCTGTGAGTGTGTAGAAATAAGCTGATGCTGTTTCTTTTGTCGTGCCTTAGTGAGAATTAGAGACTTCCAGGAGTGGCACAAATAGGCTGTGTGTGGGTACATTTGTGTATGTAATGTTTTTAGTGTGTACATATGCAGGGTGACCCACCTTCCCCATACAGTGCGATCCCCTGACAATGGAAGAATTTCAGAGCCTTTTACTAATAGAGGATCCTTGAGGAATGCAGCACCATTTTCAAGGATCTCTGGAATTCTGTGTTCTGAATTATCTGGAGAGATCCATTAATATCTGTGTATGGGATATAGCGATTGTTTTTAAGAGTTGGTTGCTTAACATGGAAAATGTGCTTCTGGGAAAAAGAGTTTTAAAAACCCAGCTTTCATGTTTTATTTTACTTCATTGAAATGAGGTTCTTCTTGCGTGCCCCGAGGCTTTATCTCTGGAATGATTTTTACTAAATAATTCTTCATATTCAGGTAGTACTTTCATAGACATAATCCCTTGTAGTCTTCACCATTGTTCTGTGAGGGGTGTGGTATCATCTC
The DNA here is from genome assembly GCF_000001405.40 of Homo sapiens. Classification (NCBI taxonomy): domain Eukaryota; kingdom Metazoa; phylum Chordata; class Mammalia; order Primates; family Hominidae; genus Homo; species Homo sapiens. The sequence goes on from NW_018654718.1 coordinate 441,045, forward strand.
AGTTTTACAGATGGGGACATTGAGGCGTGGAGAGCATGTGTCACTTGGCACTGGTAGCACTGCTCACCGTGTGAGGGGCGGCCGTAGAGCTAGGGCCTGCTTGCTGAAGCCACGTGGCTGTGTGGCTGGGGAAGCCCTCCCTCCCTGGAACCTGGTTCTGAGGTTATGTGCATGGTGCACTCTGGACCGGGGCTTAGTCTCGCTGCCGCTCACTCTGGGCGCATAGCCCTGCTCATGCTTCATGGAGGCGAGCAGATAGGAAACAGAATGGTTTTTAAACAAGACGAAAAGAAAAAGGAAAAGATGAAGAGAAAAAGGAAAGGATCTTGCCCATGTTTCTCAGCTAATTTTCAAACCAACCGTCTTACTGTGTTACTTTACCCTGAACCTAGATCCTTCTGCAGAGAACCACAGTTGGAAACCCAGGAGTGCAAGTGGCCCTCTGTCCAGAGCTTAGGCTGGAGTTGAGACGGCTGCCGAGAGGTGTGCTGAGTTCTTATGGGACTTCTTGCTTCTTTCTCTGTGGCTGCAGGGAGCTGCCTCTGTTTGCCTGCAGTGCTGGGGATGAGGAGGAAGTGGCCTCAGGCAGGTTGGGAGGCAGGCGGCCTGTCTGTCCCCTTCCAGAGGCAGGAATCTGGCACTGGGGTGGCCACAGTCATATTGGAAGTATACTTAAGCAACAAAACCAAACTGTAACTTGGTTTTCTTTCTGATTACCAAATAATTACTTATTGCACAGAATTTTGGAAAATTAATCACAAAAATACCTAGTACCATTTATTATATATTGTATTTTCTCTTACTGTGGCCACGCCAGTGCCAGATTCTTGCCCAGCCACGGACAGTCCCACTCTGGAAGGGGGCAGACACGCTGCCTGCCTGCCAACCTGCCTGAGGCCGCTTCCCCATTACCCCCAGCACCACAGGGAAACACAGGCAGCTCCTTGCAGCTCTGTCCTGAGAGTGTGATGTTCATTAACTCATTTGATTGTCACACAGTGCTATGAGATAGGCAGTGTTATTATCTGCTTTTTACAAGTGAGGAAGCTGAGGCACAGAGAGGCTAGGTACCTTTTCAAGTCTCACAGCTAGCAACTGACAGAGGCTCGAATTTGGATCCATTCTGCCTGGTTTCCAGGTCCATGCCCCTGAGTGCCAGGCTGTACTGCCTCTCAGCACGTGTATATTACCTGACACTTAAAAATAACACTAGTGTTTCCTTCTAGTATTTCTTCTATGAAAACAAACATAAAATTGGATGGGGGCCGGGTGCAGTGGCTCACACCTGTAATCCTAGCACTTTTGGAGGCTGAGGTGGGTGGATCACCTGAGGTCAGGACTTCGAGACCAGCCTGGCCAACATGGCAAAATCCCATCTCTAGTAAAAATACAAAAATTAGCTGGGTGTGGTGGCACGTGCCTGTAATCCCAGCTACTTGGGAGGCTGAGGAAGGAATTCCTTGAAGGAGGTTCAAGGAATTGCTTGAACCCGGGAGGCAGAAGATGCAGTGAGCCAAGATTGCACCACTACACTCCAGCCTGGGAGACAGAGCGAGACTCCATCTCAAAAAAAAAAAAACAAAAAAAAAAAACAACAAAAATTGGATGGGAGCCTGATGCAGGAGGATCACTTGAGCCTAGGGGTTCAGGACTGGCCTGGGCAACATAGCCCTGTTTCTACCAAAAAAAAAAAAAAAAAAAAAAAAATTAGCTGGGCACGGTGACTCATGCCTGTAGTCCCAGCTACTTGGGAGGCTAAGGTGGGAGGATTGCTTGAGCCCAGGGAGGTTGAGGCTGCAGTGAGCTGTGATCACGGCACTGCATTCCAGCCTGAGTGACAGAACGAGACTGTCTCAAAAAAAGAAAAAAAGGTCGGGGGCAGTGGCTCATACCTGTAATCCTAGCACTTTGGGAGGCCAAGGTGGATGGATTGCTTGAGCCCAGGAGTTGGAGACCAGCCTGGGCAACAGGGTGTCTCTACTAAAAACAAAACAAAAATCTGAGGTAGGAGGATCACCTGAGTCTGGGGGAGTCGTGGCTGCAGTGAGCCGTGATTCTGCCACTGCAGTCTAGCCTGGGCGACAAGGGTGAGACCCATCTCAAAAAAAAAAAAAAAAGAAAAAAGAAAAAAAATTGTGGTCCCATTGTATATACTTTTGTGGACCCTGTTTTTGCTTAATATTAGACTGTGGAAACAATTTCTGTATTATTTCATATTTTTCAAAATGTAATTTTCATGGCTTCCTAAAATGCTGTCAGTGGATGTGCATTGATTTCTCTAACCATTTCTCCAGTGACGGGCTTCTAGGTTGTCTTCAATTTGGTACTGGTATCATTCACACCGTGACGAGTACCCAGGCGCAGAGCTTTGCCAGACTCTTGGATTAGTTCTCTCAGGGTAGCTCCTGAGAAGGGTGGTGAATGTTGGAATTTCTTAACAACTCCCACCAGAGTGCTGAACTGCTGTCCTGACAGGGTGGAGCAGACCACGCTTCCCCCGGGCAAAGTGCAGGAGGCTCTAGGAGGGGTTAGGGGCTCAACCTCCCCCTCCCAGGTGGGGCTGTGGGAGCTACAGCTCCATCGTCGTCCTCACCGTGCAGAACAGAAATGCACGCTCCGCCTCCCTGAGTGTCAGGCCTGTGGGTCCGTGAGCTCCGAGCCTCAGGAGTAGGGGCAGCCTCTGCTGCAGGGACCACTGTGCCATCCCACTGAGTCCCGTGACCCACGAGGCTGGGTGTTCAGAGGCACGAGGTGGAGTGCGAGCAGGTCCTGCCGGTTCCCAAGGGTGCCCGCCCAGTTCAGTGGGTGACAGTGAATGCGCAGGGTGAGTGAGGATTAGCTGAGGGAGCCATTCTCTCGGATGGTGGCAGAAGGAGGCTGGGGCCACCGAGAATACTAAAAACTGCCCTCACAAGGTCGCTGCCTCCTGTGTTCTAGTTCTGCTGCCTGGGAAAGCTGTACTCACCCTCTGCCTCTGCCCTCCTACCAATAAACTGGGCCAGAGCAACAGAACCCCTGCATCATGGGACCAAAGTCCAAGTAATTACTATTATGGGGAAAAAAGCCTTGGGACAGTTACGTTTTGAGTCATCCTTTTATTCAACACATTGGTAGTGTGCACATACCACACTCCAGGCTGCCCTGGGCTCTGAGAATACAGTGGTGCAAAACAAAGGCTCATGCTTCCTGGGACTTCCCTCCTGTTGGGAACAAGAAACACATATTCATTTAACCAATGATAATAGATACATTGAACATATGGCAAACATACTAATTTAAAATAACGGAAGAGCATCTTCCCCGTATACTTCTGCACGGAAACCTTTGAAGGCCAAATTAAAGTTCTGTAAAAGAACTTCCATGCAGCCAATGTGTTTTGAGTGCCTCCTGGCAACACTGTACTAGGATTTGAGGCCACAGTGCTGTTTCCTGCTCTCAAGGAGCTTGTGAGTTGCTGGGAAAATAAGAGAAGGACCCAAGTATTAGACTTTAACTCATCTCAGGCGTTCAGCAGCTGAAGGAAAGGGGAGGCTGAGCCAGTGTCTGGGTCCCCTCAGTGTGGTACCTGGCTCTGGGGCATTCTTCCCCACTGTCTGCACACCCTCCCTTCTCCCCAGACATCAGCAACCTGAAGGATTTCTCCTTTTTGTAGATGGCTGTCTGTCCTCAGGCAGGCAGATTATTTTTTATTTTTTTTAATTACACTTAAATTCTGGGGTACATGTGCAGAATGTGCTTGTTTGTTACATAGGTATAGACATGCCGTGGTGGTTTGCTTCGCCCATCAACCCATCATCTACATTTGTATTTCTCCTAATGCTATCCCTCCCCTATCCCCGTACTCCCCGAAAGGCCCTGGTGTATGATGTTCCTTACCCTGTGTCCATGTGTTCTCATTGTTCAACTGGCCACGTATGAGTGAGAACACACAGTGTTTGGTTTTCTGTTCTTGCACTAGTTTGCTGAGAATGATGTTTTCCAGCATCATCCATGTCCCTGCAAAGGACATGAACTCATCCTTTTTTATGGCTGCATAGTATTCCATGGCATATATGTGCCACATTTTCTTTATCCAGTCTATCATTGATGGGCATTTGGGTTGGTTCCAAGTCTTTGCTATTGTGAACGGTGCCGCAGTAAACATATGTGTGCATGTGTGTTTATAGTAGAATGATTTATAATCCTTTGGCTATATACCCAGTAATGGGATTGCTGGGTCAAATGGTATTTCTAGTTCTAGTTCCTTGAGGAATCGCCACACTGTCTTCCACAATGGTTGAACTAATTTACACTCTCACCAACAGTGTAAAAGTGTTCCTATTTCTCCACATCCTTTCCAGCATCTGTTGTTTCCTGAGTTTTTAATGATAACCATTCTAACTGGCATGAGATGGTACCTCATTGTGGTTTTGATTTGCATTTCTTTAATGACCAGTGATGATGAGCTTTTTTTATATAGTTGCCTGCATAAATGTCTTCTTTTGAGAAGTGTCTGTTCATATCCTTTACCTAGTTTTTGATGGGATTTTTTTTTCTTGTAAATCTGTTTAAGTTCTTTGTAGATTCTGGATATTAGCGCTTTGTCAGATGAGTAGATTGTAAAAATTTTCTTCCATTCTGTAGGTTGCCTGTTCACTCAGATGATAATTTCTTTTGGTGTGCAGAAGCTCTTCAGTTTAATCAGATCCCATTTGTCTATTCTGGCTTTTGTTGCCATTGCTTTTGGTGTTTTAGTCATGAAGTCTTTGCCCATGCCAATGTCCTTAATGGTATTGCCTAGGTTTTCTTCTAGGGTTTTTACGGTTTTAGGTCTTAAGTTTAAGTCTTTAATCCATCTTAAGTTAATTTTTGTATAAGGTATAAGGAAGGGATCCAGTTTCAGCTTTCCGCATATGGCTAGCCAATATTTCCAACACCATTTATTAAATAGGGAATCCTTTCCCCATTGCTTGTTTTTGTCAGATTTGTGAAAGATCAGATGGTTGTAGATGTGTGGCATTATTTCTGAGGGCCTCTGTTCTGTTCCATTGGTCTATATATCTGTTTTGGTACCAGTACCATGCCGTTTTGGTTACTGTAGCCTTGTAGATAGTTTGAAGTCAGGTAGCGTGATGCCCCCAGCTTTGCTCTTTCTGCTTAGGATTGTCTTGGCTATGCGGGCTCTTTTTTGGTTCCATATGAAATTTAAAGTAGTTTTTTCCAATTCTGTGAGGAAAGTCAACGGTAGCTTGATAAGGATAGCATTATATCTATAAATTACTTTGGGCAGTATGGCCATTTTGATATTGATTCTTCCTATCTATGAGCATGGAATGTTTTCCCATTTGTTTGTGTCCTCTCTTATTTCCTTGAACAGTGGTTTGTAGTTCTCCTTGAAGAGGTCCTTCACATCCCTTGTAAGTTGTATTCCTAGGTATTTTATTCTCTTTGTTGCAGTTGTGAATGGGAGTTCACTCATGATTTGGCTGTCTGTCCGTTATTGGTGTATAGGAATGCTTGTGATTTTTGCACATTGATTTTGTATCCTGAGACTTTGCTGAAGTTGCTTATCAGCTTAAGGAGATTTGGGGCTGAGACAATGGAGTTTTCTAAATATATAATCATGTTATCTGCAAACAGAGACAATTTGACTTCCTCTGTTTGTATTTGAATACCCTTTATTTCTTTCTCTTGCCTGATTGCCCTGGCCAGAACTTCCAATACTATGTTGAATAGGAGTGGTGAGAGAGGGCATCCTTGTCTTGTGCCAGCTTTCAAAGGGAATGCTTCCAGTTTTTGCCCATTCCGTAATCTCTGCTGCCACACTAAAAAAGTTGAAATGCTGATTTTTCAATAAATGTGAATTAATCCTTAACTAGGGCCTGTAATTTAGATTTGCTATCACCAGGTGCTGATAGGCGCCTTAGTTCAAGTAGCAAGAGGTCTTGACTTCCTTCCTCTCCATGCTTGGAAATAAGTGGAGGAAGCATTTGGTTATTATGGCAAAAATTATGGCAATTTGTCATCTTCAGTTGAAGGCCGTGGCTTAGCTGTGTGTCTGTCAGTTTGTTTTCTTCCCTATGGTCTCTGATGTCAATATGAGAGCCCTCGAGTGCCAAGGGCGTTATATCAGGGTCCTCTCACCGAAGCAGTGTTGGCCTTGTGGTCATCGCAGGTGGTTTGCTTCCAGGCGTTCCTTACGAGGCTTCCTTTTCCTTTCTTTACCTTCTTTCAGCCAGCTGCCCCATAAATAACAGAGAGCAAGTGTGGTTTACTGGATCACTAGCAGGTGTGAATGCTGTAGCTTTTCCGCTTTTCCCATTGGCTTGGGCCTCTGAAGTGCTCCAGGCTCTTTGCCTTCTCCAGCCTTCATGTAGTCATCAGAGGCAGGTGGGTTGTAGGACAGAAAAGATACAGTTGTATTTGAGGGAGTACTCGTCAGTTGGGTTGGGGAGAGAGCCGCAGATCTCCTGGCGCCCTCACGGTCTCCTTGTTTTGGAGCACATTTGACTGCTGTGGTCATGGGGCCTGTTCTGGGCACCCCACCTCTCATGAACTGTGTCTGTAGCAGGATGGGGGAGAGGAGGACCGGCAGAGTGACAGAATGCTGCTGGAAATGGTGTGAAAATAGCTCAGGTAGGAGGAAGCGCAGTCAGATGCGGCATGGCGGCGGGCGCATCGGGAAACCACTGGGCGCCCACCCCGGGGAGGGTTTCCACCTCAGCTGGGCGTCCTGAAGCCACTGGGTGCCCACCCCGGGGAGGGTTTCCACCTCAGCTGGGCATCCTGAAGCCACTGGGCGCCCACCCCGGGGAGGGTTTCCACCTCAGCTGGGCATCGTGAAGCCACTGGGCGCCCACCCCGGGGAGGGTTTCCACCTCAGCTGGGCGTCCTGAAGCCACTGGGCGCCCACCCCGGGGAGGGTTTCCACCTCAGCTGGGCATCCTGAAGCCACTGGGCGCCCACCCTGGGGAGGGTTTCCACCTCAGCTGGGCATCGTGAAGCCACTGGGCGCCCACCCCGGGGAGGGTTTCCACCTCAGCTGGGCGTCCTGAAGCCACTGGGCGCCCACCCCGGGGAGGGTTTCCACCTCAGCTGGGGCGTCCTGAAGCCACTGGGCGCCCACCCCGGGGAGGGTTTCCACCTCAGCTGGGGCGTCCTGAAGCCACTGGGCGCCCACCCTGGAGAAGGTTTCCACCTCAGCTGGGCGTCCTGAAGCCACTGGGCGCCCACCCTGGAGAGGGTTTCCACCTGAGCTGGGCGTCCTGAAGCCACTGGGCGCCCACCCTGGAGAGAGTTTCCACCTCAGCTGGGCGTCCTGAAGCCACTGGGTGCCCACCCCGGAGAGGGTTTCCACCTGAGCTGGGCGTCCTGAAGCCACTGGGCGCCCACCCCGGGGAGGATTTCTACCTCATCTGGGGCGTCCTGAAGCCACTGGGCACCCACCCCGGGGAGGGTTTCCACCTCAGCTGGGCATCGTGAAGCCACTGGGCGCCCACCCCGGGGAGGGTTTCCACCTGAGCTGGGCGTCCTGAAGCCACTGGGCGCCCACCCTGGGGAGGGTTTCCACCTCAGCTGGGGTGTCCTGAAGCCACTGGGAGCCCACCCCGGGGAGGGTTTCCACCTCAGCTGGGTGTCCTGAAGCCACTGGGCGCCCACCCTGGAGAGGGTTTCCACCTCAGCTGGGCATCCTGAAGCCACTGGGTGCTCACCCTGGAGAGGGTTTCCACCTCAGCTGGGCATCCTGAAGCCACTGGGCGCCCACCCCGGGGAGGGTTTCCACCTCAGCTGGGGCGTCCTGAAGCCACTGGGCGCCCACCCCGGGGAGGGTTTCCACCTCAGCTGGGCGTCCTGAAGCCACTGGGTGCTCACCCTGGAGAGGGTTTCCACCTCAGCTGGGCGTCCTGAAGCCACTGGGTGCTCACCCCGGGGAGGGTTTCCACCTCAGCTGGGCGTCCTGAAGCCACTGGGCGCCCACCCTGGAGAGGGTTTCCACCTCAGCTGGGCATCCTGAAGCCACTGGGCGCCCACCCCGGGGAGGGTTTCCACCTCAGCTGGGGCGTCCTGAAGCCACTGGGCGCCCACCCCGGGGAGGGTTTCCACCTCAGCTGGGGTGTCCTGAAGCCACTGGGTGCCCACCCCGGGGAGGTTTTCCACCTCAGCTGGGGTGTCCTGAAACCACTGGGTGCTCACCCCAGGGAGGGTTTCCACTTCAGCTGGGGTGTCCTGAAGCCACTGGGTGCCCACCCCGGGGAGGGTTTCCACCTCAGCTGGGGTGTCCTGAAGCCACTGGGTGCTCACCCTGGAGAGGGTTTCCACCTCAGCTGGGGTGTCCTGAAGCCGCTGGGCGTCCTTAAGCCACTGGGCGCCCACCCTGGAGAGAGTTTCCACCTCAGCTGGGCGTCCTGAAGCCACTGGGTGCTCACCCTGGAGAGGGTTTCCACCTCAGCTGGGGTGTGCTGAAACCACTGGGCGCCCACCCCGGGGAGGGTTTCCACCTCAGCTGGGCGTCCTGAAGCCACTGGGTGCTCACCCTGGAGAGGGTTTCCACCTCAGCTGGGGTGTGCTGAAACCACTGGGCGCCCACCCCGGGGAGGGTTTCCACCTCAGCTGGGCGTCCTGAAGCCACTGGGTGCTCACCCTGGAGAGGGTTTCCACCTCAGCTGGGGTGTCCTGAGGATTTCTCTCGCTTAGGCTGGAGGGGAATGCCAGCTTCCCCATTTGGCCATTGAGAAGAAAGTCATCTCTCATTTATGTGATGAAAATATTAGACACTGAAAAAGGACTTTTGGTTTCTACATTGTTTTTTGGGTCTTAGACTCTCTTATGCTTTGAAAATATGTCTTTTTGCATAGGGTGGTTAATTCTTGATCAGAAAATCCACCCACCCATCAACATCTGAATTCATTCGCTATTGCCTTTTTAAAAAGTTTTCCCACAATTTTGAATTCAGTGCTCTGCTCGTTATCTTCCCCACTTCTCACATTTCTTTGTCACCATGCTCTTCCCACAAGGACTTTGTCTTAATACAGCACAACCTGTGTTGCCCAGTGTGGGCGCCTCTAGCCACATGTGACTATCTGAATGTACCGTAATTGAAAATTAAGTAAAATGCAAAATGCATTTTGTCAGACGTGCTAGCTACATTTCAGGTGCTCAGGAGCTGCGTATGACTGGTAGCAAGGGCTCCGTAATCCAGCCTAGGATTATAGAGCATTTCTATTACTGTAAATGTTGTATTGGACAGTGTTGCTATAGACTGGTCTATATATCTCAGTCAGGGTTCAGGCCTATAACAGAAACTTCTGTAGCCGTGTTTAGAGGAAAGATAGTACAGGAATTTAGGGGCTTATACAATAATTGGAAATGCTGCAAGAGCAGGCTTTAGGCCGGGTCTGTGGGAATGATTCCCAAAACAGTGCTGCAGAACAGGCCCCCCGAGGGAACTGCGGTTCGGGTACAATTATGAGGCTGGGGGACCTGGAAGCCACTGTGCCAAGGGCTGGCTCTGGGATCACACCGCCTTATGCATGATCCAGGAATCAGGAAGCCACTGGTGTGGCCCTGCCAGCCAGATACCTGCAAAATAGATGCTTCCCCACCTGACGTAGTTTTGATTCAGTTCTTGATTGGCAAAAGTTGTGTCAGGAATTCTCGCTCCAAGGGAGGTTGGGAGCCATTGTGTTTAGCCCTCTGGCCCCTGCAGTCCAGCGGGGCACCGTAGGAGGAGGGTGGAAGAGCTGCTGAGACCGCAAGTTTACCAGCCTCCCACCCACCACATGGTGCTCAGCACACACCATCCTTCCAGAGAGGAGTGCCACTGGGGTTGAGATGACAGGGCCTCGGGTTATCGTCTGAGATCGAGAGACGGTGTCCTCTCTGTTCACGTCCTCCAGCTATCTGTGTACTGCAATAGATAGGGAAGATTAATGGCCCAGCTTTCTAGTCATTGGGCCTTTAGTGGGTGGAGAAAGTCCGGTTTCTGTTCCAGGTTGTCTGCGATACTCTTAAAGGGAATGCAGGCCCCTTGTCACTACAGCAAGATGACAGACAGCAAGAGCCAAGTGGGCTTCTGGGTGACATGTTGGCCTGAGAGAAGGCATTTCCTTTGCCCTGCAGAGATTGCTCAGTGGTCAGGACTTTAGGGAGAAATTTATTTGCAGTTCTTCCCTTTCTAGGTGTGAGCTGCGGCTGCTCACCCTCTCTAAATCGATGTGGGTGTCTGTGTCTACGAAGGTGGAGGAGTGACCTGCTTTTGTGCTCACAGAAGGCACCAAGGCCAAGCAGGGTGACTGCTGCTGAAGCAGGCTGGCAGCCCCAGACCTTTTCCTACTCACGGCTGATTGGGGGGTCCCTTTCCAATGCCAGGGGCGTTGGGCATGTTTATTCAACGGTGGCATGGAGGCAGGGAAGTGGGGAGAACACTGGCAGCTAGTGTTTGAGTTCTGCTTGTTTGGAGTGGGGGCTTGAAGAAGGGATCACCTGAGCCCAAACCTGAAACGTGAGAAGGGATTGCCTAGCAAAGGGCAGAGGGAAGAACATGAAGGACATTCTAAGTACATGCAAAGGCACTGCGGCAGGCAAGAGCTGAGCATGTCTGAGGCATGAAATGAGCCACTGTGTCAGGAGTGCATTGGACCGGGCCCAGAGGGGAGTGAGGTGAACTCAGAGAAGTGGGCCAGGGCCAGTCTGTGCAGGTGTTGTAAGCTGTTGACAAGGAGTTTGGATTTTGAAGGGATCTAACTAGGGGAATGACAGGGCCCAATTTACGAGTTCTGTTTTTAAAAGGTGACTTTGGCTGCTGCATGGAGATTGGCTTGGGGATGGCCAAGAGTGGACTGAGGAAAAGGTCAGGGTGGCTACTGCAGCACTTGTGGGCAAGAGATAGGTAGTGGCCTGGACTAGGATGGAGATCTTCCTCACAACCCCTTTCCTTAGAACTTCTCCCCCATGGTTACATCCAAGAAATCAGTAGAAGAGCATATGGCTTGAGAATAAGCCCATTCTTTAGGGGTGGCTGGACTGACTCCAGCAGTGTTCCTTCTACAGTGTCACTGTAGTCCACCTTCACCTGTATCATGACAGCATTATCGTTACAGTCCTTAGCAAACTGTGTTGAGCATTTTCTGGGATATGGCCCTGAATCAGGTGCAGAAATAGAGATGGATTAAAGAAAAAAAAATTGTTTCATCACTGAACACCTTCCAAGTCCCCAGCACCAAGCCCCTCACTCACAGGGGACACCCAGGAGGCACATGCCACTGACTCCTAACTTGGACTCCTCACTTGGACCCTTGCAGAGCAGAATGACACGAGGCTGGCCAGACCGTGCTGGGGTCCTGCCCTCATCCTGGTCCCCAGCAGCAGCACCTGGGTGCAGGAGGAGGACGCAGATGCTGTCTTCAGGGGAGCTGGGCCATTTGACAGGTGGGAGGCATTTTCTTATGACTGGGGATGAGGTCACTGCTGGGGGCACCTACCTGTTGGTGTGTGGCCTGATCTGCGAGGCAGCTGCTCAGGGCCTTGTTCAGGGGTGGGAGCATCCGTGGAAACAGCCCAGTCAGACAGAGCCAGAGCAGACTTAAATGGTGGCATCCTTTCAGCTGGCAGCCAGGAGGCTGAGCTTTGAATCAGCTTTATAATTTGAAAATTGATCTCTTTGCATTGGGTGGTGATTTCGTGCTAACAAAAGCCGTCAGGGACACAATGCTGCCTGCCCTACCTTCATGGCACCACTCTGGATTCAAAACATTGAGCCAGAGATGGGGATTTTCCACTCCTGGGAGTCTTCGGTAGTTGTGCCACCCTGTTGTGGGTGACCCGGAGATACTGGTAGAACATTTCAAGTGCTCAGGAGCCACATATGACTGGTAGCCAGGGTATTGGACAGCCTAGGATTATAGAACGTTTCCATTACTGTAAGCATTGTATTAGACAGTGTTGCTACAGACTGGTCTATATGTCTGAGGTCAGGGTGGGGATCTACCGCAGTGGGTGGGAAAATTACTTGGAGAAGGGGAGGCCCAGGCCCGGAGGTGGTCAGTCCCGAGAGGCCATACCTGTCTCACCCGAGAGGCCACACCTGTCTCACCCGAGAGGCCACACCTGTCTCACCCGAGAGGCCATACCTGTCTGTCTCACCTGTGTGCGGCTCTGCACTCCTGTGCAGGGCCCTAGTCATGTCATGGGACCGCAGCAATGCGCAGAGCTGCCAGGACCAAAATAGTGTAGGTTGTTTTCTTGGCCTCTGGCTAGGGAGAGGTTGACATTCCATTTTTCCCCATGGGCTGGTTCATATGTGCTTTCTCCAGATGGTGTGCTCCAGAAAGGTCCTTGCGCTCTGGGAATGGTTTACAATATAAATAAGGTCCCTCATGGAGTTTTGGGAGGGCTCAGAAGGCAGCCCACCAGGATGTGGTTTTCAGAGCTGCCCCAGGGCTCTGCACAGCCAGCTGCCGTCTTGGTAGCTTCTACCTCGTGCTCCGGGTGCAGGGATGCTCCCCTCACGCAGCTTTTCTGGGTGGTGGATGTGTTCTCAGGCTGGGGCTTCCTGCCCTCTTTCCAAGTGTTGTCCCCAAACTCCTGGGACTCTTGGTTTTTGGAACTGGCAGCCCGTATGAGATGGGGGGATTAAGGGCAATGCAGGGGGGTGAGTACAAAGATTAAGGTCTGGGGACAGCCGTCTCAGGGGAGGCGTGAGCTGTGGAGGGCTTACCATGAGTGAATTGGGGGCTGGGAATGCCAACAGTTGGGGACAGGGCAGCTTTTATGTATCTGAGGGAAAAGGAGAAGTTAGTCTGGGAACTAAAATAGTCTATTAAATTTTGTCAGTGCCAAACAGAGAGTCTAGGAAGAAAAAATTATATACCACAGATTGAATGGAGCAAAATTAGAGTTCCAGCCTTCCCTGGCAAGCCAGAGAAGCAGGAGTTGCTCAGTGGCTCCAGTACAGCAGATGGAAACAGGGCGCTTTCCACTTTTGCCTAAGAGGCGCCCCGAGGTTACTGCGGGGGCAGGTGGTGTAGTGGATGCTGTCACGTGGAGATCATAGTAAACAGAAAGAATGTTCTTGGGGTCAGAAATCCAGCCCCTTGTATCTCGAGGCCTGGAGAAGCCCAGGAGGAGGCGTGCACCTTGTCTGTCACCATGTACACGAGCACATGTGTGCGTGCATGTGGAGTGTGTGAGAGAGGGCTGAGGAGGCAGGGGTAGAGTCTAGCAGCTCACCGTGAGCCCTGTGCCTGCTGCAGCAACCCTCCGTCGCCCCATTCTGTGACCTTTAGTGAGTCAGACACTCCTTTGTCTTCTTATGTGTTAAATGGAGACACGCATGCTTGCTGGGTGTTCAAGCAGTTCTCATGCTTTGGGTGCCTTCATTAATTCCAATGCACTCTTTACATCTTTTCCTGCTGGATCTTATGAGAAAGGTTAAGGTCCCGGCCTTATTGGGGTCTTCCTCACGTTAGGCTTGGGATCTACACAGTGAGTGCAGGGAGGACAGGGACGAGTTACAGGAGAGATGAGACGTCTCATTGTAGGGAGTGTCACGTCCTCCGTGAGCCTGATGTTCTGTTTAATGCAGTTTATCCCTGGGGCAGAGAACAGGAGGAAGGTGAAGGGAATATATATGGTGAGGTGAGAGTCGGTGTCACATTGAGAATGTGGCTATGAACTGGGTGTGGCAGAGAGGCAATTTTCCAGGCCTTGAGGAGTGGAGGCGGGGCTGTAATGCTACAGGGGCCAGATGGCGGTAGAGCAGGTGGCAACTGTTGCGGGACAGGAGGCAGCTGACCAGCTGGTCTCCAAGAGGACCTGAGGGGTCTTCTTGGGATCATGCAGGGGTGGTAGCTATGTGGCATGAGTGATGCCATTCCCTGCCCTTTGTGCCCATGGTGGGCAACACTAATCTATCATCCTCAGAGTCCCTTAAGTATATAGCATTGTGGACAGTGATGTCAATCAATTGGCATAAAAGTTGAAACTTATTGTCTGTCACTGGTGTGATGGAAAGGATATAGACTGGAGTCCAGCAGAAATGACAGCCCCACCAGGTCCAAGCTTTGGGCACCTACCAAGCATATTAGCTCGTTTTTCGGTTGCAAGGGACAGAGACCCAATTCACATTAGCTTTAGCTAAGTCACTTAAGTCACTTAAACATCACAGTGTGTGGGGGAAAATCACTTGGAGAAGGGGAGGCTCAGCCAGCCTTGCAGTACAGCCCTAATGGAGGTCAGCCCCAAGAGGCCACACCTGTCTCACCTGCCTCACCTGCGTGTGGCTCAGGTAAGGGCTAACTTCAGGTGTGGCTGGATGAGGAATCTGGTGAGGTTGCTCGGGCTCTGCCTCTGGGGCAGGCTCTCTCTAGGTGAAAATGTTCACATGGCTAAGCCAGGTCATGTGCTCTTCACAGGTTCCTGTGGGGACGGGGTGGAGGTGGGGGTGATAGGTTCTGGAAAGCAGGTCACATGGGGAGCAAAGTTATCTTGGAGGTCAAACATAGAAGGATCAGCCCAAGATAAGAGTTGGGGAGGTGGCTGGGAGAGGCGCCAAGTGTTCATCTGTGTCTTAACAGGTGAGGAGAGGGAGGGGGTCAATAAGGTTGAGCCAGCAACCTTAGGACCCAGCAGCTTCCCTGGAAGACCCTGTGCACATGGACCAGAAAAGGCCACTGTGGGCGGCCTTGGGTGTCATGTATGTGCAACTGGTCTGGCTGCTTCGGCCACAGTCTCTGGGCAGCTGAAGTGTCCTCAGATGCCAACCTCACCGCCCACAGTAGCACCCTCTTATCTGCGGCTTTTCTTGATCCTGCGGCACCTGGCCAATTGACTAGCGGTACCACGTCTCAAGGTCATGCATGTGTTCTGGGAGATTCAGGTTTGGGCCAGGCTGAGCTGATCGCTTGGCAAACCTTACAGACTCTAGAGCGAGGCATCCAGCCTAACAGGCCAAAGAGTGTTTGCCAAGCATATGTGCTGTCTTAGGGACAGTCTCAGAGGCTTCGTTGCCTAGACACCAGAGCAGGGCAGCTGTCCCTGCGCAGGTTGGAGCCCTGGGTTGCACTGGTTCCAATCAGGTTTCCTTCCTGACACTGTCCCTCTCCCCTACCCCATCAACCCCTGCCACTCACAGCTCCTTTTCCCAGATAGCAAATGCTGTCTAATGAATCACCCCAAAACAAAGTGGCTCACAACAGCAGACACCCTGTTACTGCTCAGTCTCTGTGGCTCAGGAATTCAGGAAGTTCTTGTGTGGGTCAGTAATTCAAAAAGTTACTGATTTGGGGCAGTCCTGACTTGGGGTCTCTCCTGGGGTGGCAGTCAGATGGTGATTGGAGCAGCTGGGGGCTGGCCAGGGCTCCCTCTTGCCACATGGCCTCTCTGTTGAGGCTAGTCTGGGCTTCCTCACAGCATGGCAGCTCAGGGCTGAAAGGCTGCCTTGTGTGGGGGCTGGCTTCCTCCAGGACGACCATCCAGAGACAGTCAGGGGGATGCAACGTGGCTTTTTTTTTAACCTATCCTTGGAAGTCACACAGTGTCACTTTTGCTGTACTTTATTGGTAAAACAGTCACCAAAGGCTGACCTCATTTCAAGAGGAGGGCCTAGATCTTTCTCAATGAAAAGGGATGTCAGATATAAAGGGATTTGTTGACATGATTTAAAACCATCACAGCTCCCCTGGCCCCTCCTGGTCAACCAACACTTAAAGCCCAGATGGCTTTGAGGTAGCTGGATGTGACCTTACTCTAGTCCAGCCCTTCTCATTTTATTATATTTATTTTTGTTTATTGGAACTCAGGTGCAGAGAGTTGAGTGAATCATACTCCAGTTCATTGTACGTTTTCCATCATTGATTCATGCAGTGACCTCTCATATTCACTCACTCATTCATTTATGCTTCCTCCTTGCCCCTGTATCTTATGCTCATTTTCCTCCTCACCTTCCTTAAACAATCATTCTATTCGATTTCATGAATATCCTTTCATTTGCATGGGTTCTTAAAATATGTATTTTAATTTCTAGGTAATGTGTTGTGTTGTATCTGTTTCTGCTGAGGTCCATACGTGCTGTAATGCACGGATCTCATCTCTTGCCCACCTAAGGTGAGGCAAGGAGACTAGAGCGGAGTGACACGCCCAAGGTCACCCAGCTAAACCAGGACCGCAACGATCCTGGCCCTCTTCCCTCAGCATCTCACACTCATGTTTCCACGTGCCACCTCCTAACCGCCTGCAATAGCTTGAAATAAGGTTTTGAAAAAATTGTGAATCTGGGGTCCAGAGAGTGTCGGAAGTGCCCCTGTTTTCTATCTAGTAACTGTTGTGTTCTTTTCTCTTTTGCCACAGGTTCCAACTATGGGAGCCCACGCCCCGCCCATGCCAACATGAATGCCAATGCGGCAGCGGGGCTGGCCCCTGAGCACATCCCCACCCCGGGGGCTGCCCTGTCGTGGCAGGCGGCCATCGACGCAGCCCGGCAGGCTAAGCTGATGGGCAGCGCTGGCAATGCGACCATCTCCACAGTCAGCTCCACGCAGCGGAAGCGGCAGCAATATGGGAAACCCAAGAAGCAGGGCAGCACCACGGCCACACGCCCGCCCCGAGCCCTGCTCTGCCTGACCCTGAAGAACCCCATCCGGAGGGCCTGCATCAGCATTGTCGAATGGAAATATCCTTTGTTCACCGGGCTGGGCATGCTCCTGGGACCTGCACGCTGGGTCCAGCCCTCCGAGGCTCCCTGGGCCACGAGCTGTGTCAGCTGTGCTGGGCTACAAACGGGGCCTCGGGCCTACTGCATCTGCATCACTGGGGTGCTGTGAAATGCAGAGTTCTGGGCCCCGCCCTAGACTGGATGAATCAGAATATCTGGGGACGGGGCCCAGCAATCTGCTTGTATAATAAGCTGCCTGGGTTGGGTTTTTGTTTTTTGTTTTTTTCATATAATAAGCAACATTTGAGAAAATCAGCCTAAGAAGTTATGAAATATCATCTCCTGTAGCTGAGCTTGCCCAGGGGCCCACTCATGTGTTGGGGTAACAGTCGTTAGTTACATGCTGCCTCATTCCCTTCTTTCCCTTCTGTGCCATGGCGCTGGATGCTTTCACGGCCTTCCCTCTCTCTAGGGTGAAGGGGCTCAGGAGATGGAAGAGCGTAGTGGTCAGGGCCCCTGGCTGTTGGCTGGAGGGCCCTGAAGCAGTGGTTCTCAGCCCTGATTGCACATTAGAGTCTCCTGGAAAGTTATAACAAACTACAGACCACTCAGTTCCACCTAGGCATAAAAACAAACAAACAAAAAACAACAACGGAAAACTCTCTGGGTAATTCTAATGTGCAGACAAAGTTGAGAACACTGTCTGGAAGTGTTCTGTTTGTCCATATAGAAACAAGCAAATGGGTCCTTCAGAAACAGTGGCTTTGAAGGGATGGGCGCTCGCTGTGGAGTTACAAGCCCCTTACTTCATCAGAATCCTGGGGCTGTAGAAATTGGGAAGGACTTTTTTTTTTTTTTTTTTGAGACGGAGTCTCGCTCTGTCACCCAGGCTGGAGTGCAGTGGTGCCGTCTCGGCTCACTGCAAGCTCCTGGGTTCGCACCATTGTCCTGCCTCAGCCTCCTGTATAGCCGGGACCACAGGTGCCCGCCACCACGCTCGGCTATTCTTTTTTGTATTTTTAGTAGAAACGGGGTTTCACCGTGTTAGCCAGGATGGTCTCGATCTCCTAACCTCGTGATCTGCCTGCCTCGGCCTCCCAAAGTGTTGGGATTACAGGTGTAATCTGCCACCGTGCCCAGCCCAGAAAGGACCTTTAAGTGCTGAAGTTCCTCCCCCACTTCCACGAGTGATGAAATTGAGCCCCACAGGAGAGGCTCCCCAGGGTCATGTGGTCAGGAACAGATGGGACTAGAACCCTGGTACTGACTGTGGGAATTTTTATAATAAGGATTCCTCCAGGCAGGACTGCTGTGTCTCTCAAGGGCCAGGATGGGAGCATTAGGCTTCATCGATGAGTTTCTATGGAAAGATTTAAAAGTCTCAGGTACTGGTTGAAAGAAGGTAGCCTAGAGATAAAGAAAGTTTCTATTGAGACAGAAATGTTCTATAAATGTTTGAGGCCAGGTGCGGTGGCTCACGCCTGTAATCCCAGCACTTTGGGAAGCCAAGGCAGGTGGATCACCTGAGGTCAGGAGTTCGAGACCAGCCTGGCCAACATGAGGTGAAACCTTATCTCTGCTAATAATACAAAAATTAGCCAGGCGTTGGGGCACATGCCAGTAATTCCAGCTGCTCGGGAGGCTGAGGCAAGAGAATTGCTTGAACTCGGGACGAAGAGGTTGCAGTGAGCTGAGATCATGCCACTGCACTCCAGCCTGAGGAAAAGAGTGAAACTCTGTCTCAAATAAATAAATAAATAAATATAAATGTTTGAGCCCCTCAACTTAAAAGTATTTTAAGAAAATGCATTTTAAAACAAGTGGCTGCAGCTGCCTGAGTGGCCAAGCATGGTTTTAGTGCCCGGGGTACTGGATGGGAGACTAGGCTTTAGTCAGCCCCATAGGACTGCTTGCATATCTGCTCACGGTGGAGTCAGGGAGTGGGAGAGCTGAGGGCCCTGCAGGTCAGGCACCCCTGAGAGAAGGGCAGCAAGGCCCAGAGAAGACAAAGGGCTTGCCCTAAATCACGCAGCTGGCAACTGACAGAGCTGGACTTCAAATCCAGGTTCCCCTGACCCCGAAGTCCATGCCCATCCCACACCCCATGCATCCATAGTACTGGGTAGGACTAGGCAGGTACTAGTAGATACTAGGTGGGACCGGTGAGGTCTTAGGAGGATGCTCAGGGCCTGCAGTCCAGGTGCACTGGGACACGCCGGACCTGGATCCGGGCCTAACACCTACTCCCTGGGTGCTGTGGCCACCCCTCCGGGGGAGTGTGCCTTCCCACCTGGAGGAGAGGAAGGGGGCCCAGCCTTAGCAGTGCCAGGTGGGTGGCATTCCAAGATTGCTTGGGAAGACTGGCTGGACAGGGAAGGAGATAGCCTGGAGTACTAGCCAGCCAGTTCTTCTTGAAGAAGTGGAATCCGACCCTGTCATTAGGAAGGGAACTCAGCTTAAAAAGTAATCTGGGCCTCAAAAGGCGACACAGAGCACTTCCCAGGGCTTACCTGGGTTCTCTGCTTTTCAGCCAGTGGCTTTTCTTCTCTGCCTGATTGGTTTTTACACATGATCTTCTCTGGCATTAGCCCAGTGCCTTTAGCATGAAGTGAAGGATGGATAGGTGGAGAGTCTGAATGAGGGGAGGGGAACTGATAGTGCCAGAAACCCCAAGCTCAGCTGTGCCCCACTGTGGTGGAGGCAATGAAGTGACATGTTCTGGGTGTGTGTGCACGGGTCTGGTTTGGCTGGGTTGTTGCATCCTTGTCCCGATGGGGAGAGCACAGGCACCAGCTGATGGAATGAAACTGGCCAGCCTGTGGGCTCGGTGTCACTTTCCTAAGCAGGCGAGAAAAGGTTTGGGAGGCAAGAGGTGGCGTGGTAGGAGGGCTAAAAGAACTGCCTATGAAGGCTTCAAGGTAACTTTAGAGTGGATCAGTATAGAATAGTCCTTAACACTGAGACTGCCTGAGCTTGGATCCCATCCTACTACTTGCTCTGTGACCTGGCACAAGTTAACGTCTGACCCTTCTGTGCCTCAGTTTTCTCATTTAGAAAGTGGGGATCACAAGCGTACATTCCACACAGAGCATTTCTGTTGGGCCGTAAGAATGTGCCTGGCACTGAGCAAGCTCTTGGCAGAGGTCAGCTTCTGTCCTTACTGTCACCAGCACCAGCATCAGCGTCTGTCTCCCATCATCACTACTTGTGCCTCATCCAACACAAGGGCAGCAGAATGTAAAAGCTTAGTCCGTCTGGGTTCCGGTCCAGGCTCTGCTATATGCCAGCTTGGGGTCTTGGACTGGCTGCTTTACTTTTCACCCCTGCAAAGTTGGGAGATTGACAGGTCCACTGTGTGGCATCTTTTTTGATATCAAGGTGGACATAGAAAATGTTCTACAGGAAAATGGATCCTCAGAAGTACCCACAGGACTAGGGAGACTAGTGCTAAGATAATCACTCGGGTTCCTCCCAGTTCAGAATTCTGTGACGCTGGCCCAGGGCTGCCCCTTAACACGTCAGAAGGCCGTCTGTGGCAGGGGAGTGAACACTGGACTTGGTGATCGGGAAATCCGGGCTCTAGTCTCAGCTGGTCATTAACTTGCTGTGGGGCCTTGGGAAAGTTCCTCAGGCTCTCTGGGCCTCAGAGGGTTAGACTAGATCATCTCTAAGGTCTCTTTCTGCCTCAATATTCACTAACTTTGTGAGTATGGATTTCCCTGAGAGAATTATGGTGGTCCCTTCACCCCGGATCTCCACCCCTCTCTGTCTTCCTCCTCCTCCTCCTGTGAGACTCCATGAACTGGGCTGCAAACTTGGCAGTGGGAGCGGGGTAGGTGGGAGTGGAGCTGGAAGAGCATAGACGGGCCCTTCCTGGGAAGCTTCCCCTTGCTGGCCTTCCATGGAGGGTGTGGGGTGGTCCCGTCGGAAGGGGTATTATCACATTAGCTCATTTTTCTCTTGAGAGCGTGTCCTGCCCTGAAAATGTGATGAAGAAGTCAGGGCATGGGAACCTCTGCCTGCACTACTACTGGTGAGGGAACCTTGGGCTGTCCCACTAGAGCCCAGCACACACCAAGGAAAAATCAGGAGGCCTTGGAATCAAAGCTTTGCCTGCTGAAGCGGGACCTCTGCAGACCAGAGGGGTTTCTATGCTGTCTGTGAGACTCAGCCTTAAAGAGGAGACAGCTTTCCTTCCCTACACTCAGGACGGACCCCCTGCCGTACTCTTGGGGGTCTTCAGGATCTCTGGAACCTGCCAGAGAATGAGAGAGAAGAAATGGAAACCACTCTTAACCTTAGTTTAAAAGATTAAAAATAAAATCTCCAAATTTCAATGAAACCCAGAGAAAGTCTCTCTGTCTTGGAATCCTGTTCCACCCATGTCCCCCGTTCCAGGTGGGCGTGGGCCCACAGGCCGTTCGGCATAAACTGTGAAGAAACGGGGTGCTTGGCGCAGGCCATGCTCTTTAGAGGCAACCTCAGGCACACATTGGGGAGAATGAAGACCAATGCAATCTAAATAAATGAAAGGAGGGGAACAAGTTTTTAGAAATCTGTGTTTACTCTGGCACGCGACTGGCCTCCACTGCTTTTGACATATTAGGGAAAATTTTGGCGGGGACCCACTAGAAGCACTTAAAAAGGCATATGTTTCTTTTCAGAATACAAGGGGCTTGGAATGCATTGTTTAAACAAAATTCTTATGAATCTTTGATTCATTTTAAAAAATATGTAGATTATGTTTGTTTCACTTGTACTTTCTGTGGCATTAACTTCCTTGACTCCCTTTCTCAGACCATTTGAAATAATTATTTTACTGACTATTTTTGCCAATTGTGTGGCCTTAGCGATCTATATTCCCTTTCCAGAAGATGATTCCAACGCCACCAATTCCAACCTGGTAAGTCCACCATCCTCAAGTCTCTGCTTTTTCACTCGATGGAGAACTGCGTTCAGATCACATAGATGCATGGAATGTGGGAGAGAAGTGAGACGTGTGTTTGGCATGTGCAGGAGCCCTGCAGAGCTCACATCCCGAGTGCTGTTTTACTCTTTATTCAAATCAGCACCTGTCTCATTCCGGCCTGTTTTCCAAAAGAATATTCCAGTTAGGTGGTGGTGAGCTCTGTGTGTGTGTGTGTGTGTGTGTGTGTGTGTGTGTGTGTGTTTAGTAGCAAATCCCGTGACTGCTACAAAATGTGCTGCAAAAGTTGTGAGTGCAGGTGTTCGCTGCAGCGAACATCTGTTCTTGGATTGTGTTGTATTTCCTTTGAATGTCTTTGTTCCATTGGTGGGGTTTGCTCAGGTGATCTGGAGTGTTGCTGCACGATAAATAATTTCTAGGAAGCTTTTAGGAACATTTGCTTTTGCAGCCAACATGTATTATTGAGTTAGAAGGGCCTTATTTTATTGGGAAAGGCGGCTTTCCATTTGGATTGTTGAGGGGCCAGCTCTGGCAATTTGGGGTTAGAATTGGTCCATGGAAAAAGTGGAGAGTGTGTTTACTTTTGGCTGAGCTTGAAGTCATTACAAAGACTTTTGCTCCATCTGGGCATGTGAGGAAAAGAGCTCTGGAATGCAGTTGGCAAAATTGGGGCACTCCAGGATGCCTCTGCAAAAGGCATGCAGGGAAAATCCCGTCTCTTTCTCCCCCTCCATTGCAGAGACACCGTCACTCTCCACGTGATTTCCACATGGCGTGTTTGGTCATCAGAGCCACCGTCTTTCCCCTGCCGTCAGTACCTTCCTTTAATTACTGAGATGGAACCGTCCAATGAGATGGTTTTTAAAAGAAGCAGGCAGCTTATAGGATTCTCCTTTCCACAGCTGCTGGGCTGATGCCATCACAGGGTGGTTCTTGTATTTTGTAACCTTTGACATTTTCTTGGGCCCTTTCAGCAAAAAAAAATATGATGCACGTTTTAACTTCTCAGCTGTCGCCCCAGTTTTTTCAGGTAACCGCTGATGCATAGCAGGTAAGGTGTTCACCGCCTGCGGGCTGTGGTGTCTTGTGGCTCGGCTTGGGGCCCTTTGTTGGGGACAGGCTCCAAAAATTTCAAAGCTGGGCACACCACTGAGTGATGGCATGGCCAGAGTCGGAAGGCAGAGCATCGGCCGCCGTCCGTGAGGCCATCCGAAGCGTGACCTCATCTCTTAAGGGGCAAGAAATCTTTACTGTGTCAAAATAAATACAAGCCAAAGTGTCTCCCTGAAGCAGGAACTCCTTCCCTTGGTTCCATTTCTTCCCTGTGTAGCCACCTCCTTCCTCTGCCATGGTCCTCCCAACCCTCCTACAGTTTCACATTTAATCTGCAACTTTTAAAGAGGAGCCTTCGTTCCACATAGAATCCGTATCTTGTTCTTAAGCTGATGACACTTGGGGCTGCTCAAGGCCCATGCAGTGGTGAAGGTGTGTAGAGGAGTTTGGTTTTTCTTAGGTCCTGAGATGGCCACATGTAGCCCCTTCACCCCTCGGTTTCCAGGAGGATTAAGGGAGCCACTTGGCTTGCTGAGCTAGAGGGAAGCCCTGGGCTGGCTGAGACCCCTCAACTCTGGACCTCCTGGAGGCAGAGGGGCTCGTAGGAGAGGACAAGAGGTCACCCTGGACTTCTTCTGGAGCTGGAGTGAGGTTGCTGTGTACAGATGAGGTGGGAGGGATGGCAGGTTTTTATCACATCACAGAGTGATGGAAGAATTCTAAAGGAGGTGGTGGGGCTGCTTGCACAACTGTGTAACTTTACCAAACATCATCGAATTGTGTACTTACAGGGGGTGAACTTTATGGTATGGTAATGATACCTCAAAAAAGCTGCAGATGACTTCTCATTCTCTGCATTCCACAATGTCGCACTTCCCCTGGGGCAGTGAATGCTGCCAGCTGAAGGTGGGGGGTGGCATCAGAAAACCCTTAAAACAGATGAATAAATACGACCTCATATCAGCTAATAAATCAGAACACGATTCTGCCCCATGGAGAAACCCATCGCGAGTGCTGTGACCCGGCCTCCCGGTCCTTGCTCTCTACAGCATCTTGAAGCTGCAGCATCTTTGCAGATGCCCCCTTTACAAAGCACATTCTCCCCTTGCTTCTTCCAGCCTCTCCTCCTGTGTCTACACGAACGTTTACTAGGCTTTTGTCCTGAGCCCTCTGATTTTCTTCTTCTGCACTCTCCCTTTGGGGAGCTCATCTGTGTCCACAGATTTAAGTTACCTTTCCAAGTAAATTGTTGCTAAGACTGACATCTCCAGTGCTAAGCCTTTCCAAAGGCCTGGCCCCATATTTCCCGCATTGGAGAGGCCTGTGGACCGGTGCAGCGACCGCTGAGGCCTGCACATCATTACAACCCGAGAGAACTCCAACTGTGCAGACCCCAGCTCCCCTGCGGATCTGATTCACATTTAGTAGTTCTGGGGCATGGTCTGGGGATGCGCATCAAAAAATTTCCTCGCAGGGATGCCGATGATTAGTCAGCTTTGGGAACAACCGGCCTCTTGGGCAGAGCAAAATTTGAGTTGGACAGACCTGACTTCAAATCTTGGCTTCTCCACTTTAAGATTAAGTCTGGGCCGGGCGCAGTGGCCCATGCCTGTAATCCCAGCACTTTGGGAGGTTGAGGCAGGTGGATCATGAGGTCAGGAGATCGAGACCAGCCTGGCTAACACGGTAAAACCCCATCTCTACTAAAAATACAAAAAATTAGCCAGGCGTGGTGGCGGGCACCTGTAGTCCCAGCTACTCAGGAGGCTGAGGCAGGAGAATGGTGTGAACGTGGGAGGCGGAGCTTGCAGTGAGCCGAGATCGCGCCACCGCACTCCAGCCTGGGTGACAGAAGGAGACTCCATCTCAAAAAAAAAAAAAAAAAAAAAAGGTTAAGTCTGAATCTTAGTCTGAGGTTATTTAGTCTTTCCAAACCTCAGTTCCCCAGCTTGTAAAATGGAAGTGACCTCAGAGGGTTCTAGGGAAGAGTAGGGCGGGCAGTGACAATTATATGTGCCAGGATGTCTTGCCAATACCTCAAACAAGCCCCAAATAGAACTCATTCTCTCTCCCACCACACGACCCTGTCCCCCTGAAGAAAACGAAACATAGCCCAGGTGAATGCTGCTCCTTTTCTTTTCCCTTGGCCGGGTTGATGGCATTGCTGGCCTTGCTGTCACATGGAACCATCTCTGACATCTTCTTCCCCTTGCCATGCCCATCTGAGCAGGAATCCAGTCTTGGAGATTGTAATTTGCAATGTATCACATTTAGCTTTCTTTCTATTCTCAAAGTCATTTGTTCAGACTTCCTGTGCCTTAGTTTCTTCATTTATAAAATGGAAATAACGATAATGACAGTACCTACCTCATAGGGTTGTTGTGAAGATTAAATGAGCCAAAATATGTAAAGCCCTTAGGAGAGCACCTTAGTAAGGGCGAAGTGTTGGGTCTTGTTAATAGTGCTGGATACTATTGTTATTATTGTCATCATCATCATCCTTGTCAACCTAACCCAGGCCCTGTTGCCTTTTTCATGGACTCTTACAGTCACCTCCTTCCTGCTGTCCTCCCTCTGGTCTCTCCTTCCACTGGTCTAGCTCGTGTGTGTGTGTGTGTGTGTGTGTGTGTGTGTGTGTGTGTGCAGTCATTTGCCAAACATCTATACCAACAGATAGGCACTATGATTAATAGGGAAGATGAAACTGTAAACAGTTGTTTCAAATAGTGAAAGGTCTTATAAAGGGCCAGGGTGTCAGGGTGGAAGAACTGATTCATTTTGCTGTAGAGAAAGGATTAATGGCAAGTTTCACATAGGTTGACATATTTGCATTGCGTCTCTCAAGAAGAGGATGCCATAAGAGATACTTCAGGTTGAAGTGTACTCATGTGCAAAGGCATGAGTATACATGTGGTCACATTCTTTAGGACCAGAGGAAGGGGTGCTGGTTTTGAGGGGATGAGAAGAGCCAGGTGATGGGGGCTTGATGGCCCATGCAAACTGTTGGACTTAACTGCAGGTGAGGAGGAGGCTCGAAGGCTTTAACGGCAGAGGAGTGCTCTTGCAGCATGAGGAAGATGGCTCAGACGGAGGCCTCACTGTTTGTGAAGAGAAAAAGAAAGCTTGCCAGAGTCCAGATGGTGGTGACAATAAGGATAGAGAGGGGGCAGTGGATTTAGGAGGCAAGCTTGCCTGGACGGGTAACCAGTTGGATATCATGGGTGGCGGAGAGAGCTGGCTCCCAGGATGGTGATACGAGGAGCCAGGTGCCCTTGGCCAGGAGAAAGACTTCAGGAGGAAGGTCATATTTGAGGGGCAGGGAATGATGCGTACGATTAGGGATTGTCAAGTGGAGGAGCCCGTGGAGCGTGAGGCTGGGGATGTCCTACCGGCGGTCGACAGGAGCCTGCAACCCAGGAGACTGTTTATGCTGAGGATGGAGACTTGGGGGCAACAGGAGGAGAGACACAAGGAGAAGCTGTAGGTATGGCCCAGAGCACCTGCATCAGGGTGGAGTGGGAGGGTAGCAGTGACCACAGCCAGACCCTGGAGAACAGTGACGTTTGCAGAGGGTGGAGGAAGAGGAGCAAAGGAAGGTCATACACCACGTGTCAGGAAGGCTTAGCCTGAGAGGTAGGAGGGGAACCTGCTGAGAGTGGAGTCTTAGAAGCTAAGGGAACAGAGAGTTTAAGATATTCAAGAGGGGCTGGTTGGTAGTTCAAAATCGTGGCTCATGGCAACTCAAGGCCAATGACAAGAGGATTGGCCTGACTGAGAAGAGCTGAGCTTAGGGCCAAAAGTACGAGAAGAGGATATTGATCTGTGTCTGTACCCCTATGGAGGCCCTGAAGTAGTAGGTGCATGACAACTGTTTGCTGAGGTTCAATGCTTGAAACATTCCCATTGTTGTGCCAGAGTGGGATGCCCCAAATCACTTATGTACCCCGAAAATGAAGCTTGAGAAATCCTCCATTAGTTTCATAGCTTTTTTTAAAAAATTAAAGAATTGCGATTTCAGAGCCCTACTCTGAGAAACAGCAAAGAAGAGATGCTGATGCACCTGAAGCAGGTGGCTCTCAACCCCTGTGGCATAAGTTCATAGAGATGATTAAAATGCATGTTCCCAGGCCCTGCTCCCAGAGATTCTGACTCTGGAGTGGGCCCTAGGAGTTTGAATTTTTAATAAGCTCCCCTGGGGTTCTGATGCAAGTGGTCCTGGGCTGCTCTTTGAGAACAGTGACCTAGAATGTTCCTCATGGTGTGATTGGATCCACCTTCAGCTCCCTCCGCAATCAGCTCTGTCTACCCACAGGTTCCCTTTAGGATCCAAGCAGAAAGACGACACACGTCAACTGCTGAGAGCTTTCCCACTCCATTGGGTTCAAGAATAATCTATTTAGCAAAGCACACTCACACTGTCACAGAATTAGAAAAGATTCTTCTTTTCACACACACTTGCAAATTCACATCTGTGCTTGCTCCTGCTCTCAGATTCCCTCGCAAACGCATCGGCTTCCACCCATTCTGTCGCAGGCCCTTTCCTTTCTCCCACTTATTTTTCTAACACTTTGCTTTCTTCTGTTTCCAAGAGATGAAAAGTATTCCAGAATAGAGTTTTTTTTTTAAAAGATCTCTCTCTCATTATTTAAATAAAAGTCTGTTTGTTGTATGCTCCATCTAACATACACTTTTGCACCAAAATCCATCATCTTTGTTATCTTTTCCTCATGCTAGTGAAGCATAATGAAAGCTGAACTGGGCCATGACATGACAATTCTTTCTTTAGATTTAGTGCTGTTATTGGCAATGCCACCTCTATGCAGCACATCGTTTATAATATAGCAGCTGTAACCCCTGTCTACCAAGAGCTATTACCTGTTAGGTAGATTGTCTGATGTCTGTTGAACAAGCTCTGCAAGCGGAGCCGACTCATTGTGTGTGGAAAACTTCCTGTCCTCTGCATACCCTGAAGCCCACGAAGACTTGGCTTGAGTTGAAATATTAAGAGAATATATTTGGCATTTGACCTTGTGCAAAGAACAGTGCATGTACTTTCTGGAGCAAGAGCCAAGCTTGAAGTGGAGGTGGAGAGAAGACGGGATGAGGCCATCAAAGGGATCATCTTTTGGCTGGGCTTTCTTCCTTCAGAGGTTGTGAGAGGAGAAGCCGTCCGTCAGAGGGGCTTGAGCTAGACTAGGAAGAAGGTTGAGATGTCAGATTTGCCCATTTATTGGTGTAAAATTGGGGCAACCAGAGTTGCCTCATAACCTGGCTGAGAGGATTAAGTGAGTTACCATAAGTAAACTTCACAGGACATGCCCAGCACAGGCGAATGTGTGTTGCTCTTTGGAACTCTAAGCCAGGCTGAGGGCCCCTCCCCTCTGCCTGGTCCCTGGGGGTAAGTCACAGTCATTGGCACCTTGTGCTAGCTTTGGCCTCAGAAGGGTGGGAAAGAAGAGACCAAAACGCTGTGCTTTTTGGCAGCTGTGACCCAGCAAGATTAGTGTCTGTGTGCTCACCCTTGCCTTCTGACTACACAGGGAGAGAAGCTGGGATCCATTAATGGCCAAAGAAGAGCCCCAGAGGGAGAGCACTGGTGGGGGACCCCACTCCCCCACCCCTGAGCTTTGTGTGTCTCTTGCCAGTCTGCTCAGGAGGTGCCTGTCAGCCTGAGGTTCCCCCATTCCCACACAGTGCTGGGTTGAATCACCCGACATGGGGCCCTGCACTTGGACCACCACCGCAAGTTCTGAGATGCGTCTGAGCCCTATCGCCCCCCGTGCTTTGAGAAGTGAATGGAAATGCCACTTTGGGTTCCCCTCCTCTCCCTGCAGTGAACTGTGTTTTCTTTTATTATCAGGTTTGCCTAAGAGTGAGAAGTATTTTTATAGGGCTTTCATGCATCAACAATAATGATGACAATGAAATGAGCTTTATTATTGCTATCTCTTATGTGTTGTCCTAATGCAGCAGGTGTTAGGGTTTGCAGAAATGCTAGGGTTATAAAATACACTAATAGATAACTACAAGCAACAAACCACATAGCTACTGTATCATGTACAAACACCCTGTCCTGTGCTGTGTAGTGGGGTGTGGAAGGCAGGGTGGAGAGCCTGTTTTTGGATGAGAGAATGAGCTTGACACAGCGCATTGGGAAAGTGCTTCTACGGAGTCAGTTCTCCCCTCAGATTTTCCGGCTGAATGGGTCTGAGTGGGACCTGGGTGTGGGTGTGTCTTAAAAGCTATACCAGAGCCAGAGTTGCAGGCACTGACCTAGGAAGAGAGATCTGAACTGTGTGGCCTTAGGTCAGTCACTTAACCTCTCTGTTGGTATCTCTTTTGGCACGTGGAGTAGTAATGCTTGCTTAGTCATTGTAATTGCCTTTATTGAGTGACCACCAGGTACCAGAGCTTTGCGTGCAATGTTTCTAATCTCCACAACTGTAAATTATGCTTTCTATTTATTTGTTTACTTGATGGTAGAGAATGTATCCCTCTTGTTCATGGCTGTATCCCCAGTGCTTTGGCAATAACTGGCACACGTAAGGCTCTCCATAAATATCTGCTGAGTGAACCCTGGGTGAATGAATGGATCCTGTGAAGTGTTATCCCTTTATTTCAGATAAGAAAGTAAAGTCTCAGAGAAGTAAAGTGACTTGGTGAGGCAGTGGCAGGGCTGTAGTTGGAACTTAGGACTGTATGAAACCACAGCTTGGGTTCTTTGCTCTGTTCCCTGGGATGTGTAGGGTCGCTGTGAGTATCCAATGAAGTATATGTGAAAATATTTTAAAGATTAAACACTCTGTAGCAGTATTAACAGATTTAAAATAAAAACAAACAAAATTTGGTTCTGTTGCAAAATAAATTCAGTAAGTACCAAGTTAGCCAAAGGTAAATACATTATTTTTTTACCTTTTTTTTGAGACAGAGTCTCTCTCTGTCGCCCAGGCTGGAGTGCAGTGGCGCGATCTCGGCTCACTGCAAGCTCCACCTCCCGGGTTCACGCCGTTCTCCCGTCTCAGCCTCCCGAGTAGCTGGGACTACACGCGCTCAGCACCATGCCCAGCTAATTTTTTTGTATTTTTAGTAGAGACGGGGTTTCACCGTGTTAGTCAGGATGGTCTCGATCTCCTGACCTCGTGATCTGCCCGCCTCGGCCTCCCAAAATGCTGGGATTACAGGCGTGAGCCACTGCGCCCGGCCAGGTAAATACATTATTATAAGACTTCTCCAAGCCTCTAACACAACAGCAACAGACACTACTTATGACTTCACACCATGTGCAGATGCTGTCCTAAGTGCCTTGCGTATAAATGCGTTTAAACATGATTATAGCACGATGAGATGTTATTATCCCATTCAATAGATGAGCACACACAAGCTCAGAGAAGGTAAATAATTCACCCTGTGAGATGTAGCCCTGAAGCGAAGTCATGGCCATGCAGAAGTGGGTGAGGCATCTCCCGGTCTGTGTTCTTAGCCATTCTGCTACAGCTGCCTCCTTGTGTGGTAAGGTGCTCCGTGAGTCCCTGGACTAGCCAGACAGCACATCACCTTTCCCACTCATACCATCACAGACATCTTGAAGAATGGTGTTCCCGGGCTCACACCTTTGGGAAATGCTGCTCTGTGTTGCCCCAAGAACCGATGCATTAGGAGAAAGGACAGAGCTGGAAACGGGATGAGACACGTTGCAAGGCTGGTGTAGGAAAGGAGCAAAGACCACAGGACTGTCTTCATCAGGAACATGGCATTTCAAAATAGATGGCAGCTTCTGGATGGGTCTGTGCTTCATCTCATGGTCATAAACCCGCAGAGAGCCTGGGGCAATTGTTTGACTCAGGGTTTACTCACTAAATATTTCAGAGAGAGGAGAAAGCATTGTCTGCTCTGCGTTTGCCAGCGGATGGGAAAAGAGAGATGATGATTTGAAGTCTAAATATGGTGACACCTCTTGCTCCAGTTTTATCCATCTTTATTCATTTTTTGGGGGAGAATCTTCCAAATAAATTCACTGTTTATGTAATAGAACCCCTTTCATGTACCAAACTTCTTGTAATTTAAGTATATTTGAAGGAAGTCTTTCCAGAATATAAAATACAAATCCCTGGATCCTTAAAAGAAAAATCTGAACATATTTCATCCTTTTTCTGGGACTATACAATTCTTAGGAATTTCAATGATTGCACCTGTTGTAATGCTGGGGAGCTGTCAGGAGAGCTAAGCAACCCGCACAGGGTCCCGGAACGTCCTGACCTGGGGAAGATTTGGGATGTGCCTTTCATGCACCACCCTGTTGGGGTGTCAGCCTCCTCCAGCACCAGCCTGATTAATTTGCTCCCCCCTCTCTCCTGCAGGCTTGGGAACCAGTTGATCAAGTCCATTACAGTTATGTGCAAAGTTAGAGTAAATAGATCCTGATTGAGGACCTATGGGGCTTACTTATGAATAAAGTGCATTAGCTTTAATTTATGGGTTTTATAACATTGATTTTGGCTTCTTAGAAGCCATTTTTCCCCTTTATTCTCTTTGTTCTCTCTAGTTTCTGTATGATTGAAGTTGTTGGATTGGCGCCTTCTAACTAATAATAATAGCAGCAATAACTTCAGCCCTTACGCTGCTGGCATTGCTCTATGGTCCGTGTGTTAACTCATTTAGTCCCCTCGACTACCCCATGAGACCTTTCTTTTTTTTTTTTTTTTTTTTAATGCCAAACATTACATTTTATTACCTTTGAGCTTATTAACCAGCTTTGCGTTTATTAGCAAATACATTTAAATATCTCTTTTTTTTTTCTTTTCTTTTTTTATTATACTTTAGGTTTTAGGGTACATGTGCACATTGTGCAGGTTAGTTACATATGTATACATGTGCCATGCTGGTGCGCTGCACCCACTAACTCATCATCTAGCATTAGGTATATCTCCCAATGCTATCCCTCCCCCCTCCCCCCACCCCACCACAGTCCCCAGAGTGTGATATTCCCTTTCCTGTGTCCATGTGATCTCATTGTTCAATTCCCACCTATGAGTGAGAATATGCGGTGTTTGGTTTTTTGTTCTTGTGATAGTTTACTGAGAATGATGATTTCCAATTTCATCCATGTCCCTACAAAGGACATGAACTCATCATTTTTTATGGCTGCATAGTATTCCATGGTGTATATGTGCCACATTTTCTTAATCCAGTCTATCATTGTTGGACATTTGGGTTGGTTCCAAGTCTTTGCTATTGTGAATAATGCCGCAATAAACATACGTGTGCATGTGTCTTTATAGCAGCATGATTTATAGTCATTTGGGTATATACCCAGTAATGGGATGGCTGGGTCAAATGGTATTTCTAGTTCTAGATCCCTGAGGAATCGCCACACTGACTTCCACAATGGTTGAACTAGTTTACAGTCCCACCAACAATGTAAAAGTGTTCGTATTTCTCCACATCCTCTCCAGCACCTGTTGTTTCCTGACTTTTTAATGATTGCCATTCTAACTGGTGTGAGATGGTATCTCATTGTGGTTTTGATTTGCATTTCTCTGATGGCCAGTGATGATGAGCATTTTTTCATGTGTTTTTTGGCTGCATAAATGTCTTCTTTTGAGAAGTGTCTGTTCATGTCCTTCGCCCACTTTTTGATGGGGTTGTTTGTTTTTTTCTTGTAAATTTGGTTGAGTTCATTGTAGATTCTGGATATTAGCCCTTTGTCAGATGAGTAGGTTGCGAAAATTTTCTCCCATGTTGTAGGTTGCCTGTTCACTCTGATGGTAGTTTCTTTTGCTGTGCAGAAGCTCTTTAGTTTAATTAGATCCCATTTGTCAATTTTGTCTTTTGTTGCCATTGCTTTTGGTGTTTTGGACATGAAGTCCTTGCCCATGCCTATGTCCTGAATGGTAATGCCTAGGTTTTCTTCTAGGGTTTTTATGGTTTTAGGTCTAACGTTTAAATCTTTAATCCATCTTGAATTGATTTTTGTATAAGGTGTAAGGAAGGGATCCAGTTTCAGCTTTCTACATATGGCTAGCCAGTTTTCCCAGCACCATTTATTAAATAGGGAATCCTTTCCCCATTTCTTGTTTTTCTCAGGTTTGTCAAAGATCAGACAGTTGTAGGTATGCGGTGTTATTTCTGAGGGCTCTGTTCTGTTCCATTGATCTATATCTCTGTTTTGGTACCAATACCATGCTGTTTTGGTTACTGTAGCCTTGTAGTAAAGTTTGAAGTCAGGTAGTGTGATGCCTCCAGCTTTGTTCTTTTGGCTTAGGATTGACTTGGCAATGCGGGCTCTTTTTTGGTTCCATATGAAGTTTAAAGTAGTTTTTTCCAATTCTGTGAAGAAAGTCATTGGTAGCTTGATGGGGATGGCATTGAATCTGTAAATTACCTTGGGCAGTATGGCCATTTTCACAATATTGATTCTTCCTACCCATGAGCATGGAATGTTCTTCCATTTGTTTGTATCCTCTTTTATTTCCTTGAGCAGTGGTTTGTAGTTCTCCTTGAAGAGGTCCTTCACAACCCTTGTAAGTTGGATTCCTAGGTATTTTATTCTCTTTGAGCAATTGTGAATGGGAGTTCACTTATGATTTGGCTCTCTGTTTGTCTGTTGTTGGTGTATAAGAATGCTTGTGATTTTTGTACATTGATTTTGTATCCTGAGACTTTGCTGAAATTGCTTATCAGCTTAAGGAGATTTTGGGCTGAGACAATGGGGTTTTGTAGATATACAATCATGTCATCTGCAAACAGGGACAATTTGACTTCCTCTTTTCCTAATTGAATACCCTTTATTTCCTTCTCCTGCCTAATTGCCCTGGCCAGAACTTCCAACACTATGTTGAATAGGAGTGGTGAGAGAGGGCATCCCTGTCTTGTGCCAGTTTTCAAAGGGAATGCTTCCAGTTTTTGCCCATTCAGTATGATATTGGCTGTGGGTTTTTCATAGATAGCTCTTATTATTTTGAAATACGTCCCATCAATACCTAATTTATTGAGAGTTTTTAGCATGAAGGGTTGTTGAATTTTGTCAAAGGCTTTTTCTGCATCTATTGAGATAATCATGTGGTTTTTGTCTTTGGTTCTGTTTATGTGCTGGATTACATTTATTGATTTGCGTATATTGAACCAGCCTTGCATCCCAGGGATGAAGCCCACTTGATCATGGTGGATAAGCTTTTTGATGTGCTGCTGGATTCGGTTTGCCAGTATTTTATTGAGGATTTTTGCATCAGTGTTCATCAAGGATATTGGTCTAAAATTCTCTTTTTTTGTTGTGTCTCTGCCCGGCTTTGGTATCAGAATGATGCTGGCCTCATAAAATGAGTTAGGGAGGATTCCCTCTTTTTCTATTGATTGGAATAGTTTCAGAAGGAATGGTACCAGTTCCTCCTTGTACCTCTGGTAGAATTCGGCTGTGAATCCATCTGGTCCTGGACTCTTTTTGGTTGGTAAGCTATTGATTATTGCCACAATTTCAGCTCCTGTTATTGGTCTATTAAGAGATTCAACTTCTTCCTGGTTTAGTCTTGGGAGAGTGTATGTGTCGAGGAATTTATCCATTTCTTCTAGATTTTCTAGTTTATTTGCGTAGAGGTGTTTGTAGTATTCTCTGATGGTAGTTTGTATTTCTGTGGGATCGGTGGTGATATCCCCTTTATCATTTTTTATTGTGTCTATTTGATTCTTCTCTCTTTTTTTCTTTATTAGTCTTGCTAGTGGTCTATCAATTTTGTTGATCCTTTCAAAAAACCAGCTCCTGGATTCATTGATTTTTTGAAGGGTTTTTTGTGTCTCTATTTCCTTCAGTTCTGCTCTGATTTTAGTTATTTCTTGCCTTCTGCTAGCTTTTGAATGTGTTTGCTCTTGCTTTTCTAGTTCTTTTAATTGTGATGTTAGGGTGTCAATTTTGGATCTTTCCTGCTTTCTCTTGTGGGCATTTAGTGCTATAAATTTCCCTCTACACACTGCTTTGAATGCATCCCAGAGATTCTGGTATGTTGTGTCTTTGTTCTCGTTGGTTTCAAAGAACATCTTTATTTCTGACTTCATTTCGTTATGTACCCAGTAGTCATTCAGGAGCAGGTTGTTCAGTTTCCATGTAGTTGAGTGGCTTTGAGTGAGATTCTTAATCCTGAGTTCTAGTTTGATTGCACTGTGGTCTGAGAGATAGTTTGTTATAATTTCTGTTCTTTTACATTTGCTGAGGAGAGCTTTACTTCCAACTATGTGGTCAATTTTGGAATAGGTGTGGTGTGGTGCTGAAAAAAATGTATATTCTGTTGATTTGGGGTGGAGAGTTCTGTAGATGTCTATTAGGTCCGCTTGGTGCAGAGCTGAGTTCAATTCCTGGGTATCCTTGTTGACTTTCTGTCTCGTTGATCTGTCTAATGTTGACAGTGGGGTGTTAAAGTCTCCCATTATTATTGTGTGGGAGTCTAAGTCAATTTGTAGGTCACTCAGGACTTGCTTTATGAATCTGGGTGCTCCTGTATTGGGTGCATATATATTTAGGATAGTTAGCTCTTCTTGTTGAATTGATCCCTTTACCATTATGTAATGGCCTTCTTTGTCTCTTTTGATCTTTGTTGGTTTAAAGTCTGTTTTATCAGAGACTAGGATTGCAACCCCTGCCTTTTTTTGTTTTCCATTGGCTTGGTAGATCTTCCTCCATCCTTTTATTTTGAGCCTATGTGTGTCTCTGCACGTGAGATGGGTTTCCTGAATACAGCACACTGATGGGTCTTGACTCTTTATCCAATTTGCCAGTCTGTGTCTTTTAATTGGAGCATTTAGTCCATTTACATTTAAAGTTAATATTGTTATGTGTGAATTTGATCCTGTCATTATGATGTTAGCTGGTTATTTTGCTCATTAGTTGATGCAGTTTCTTCCTAGTCTCGATGGTCTTTACATTTTGGCATGATTTTGCAGCGGCTGGTACTGGTTGTTCCTTTCCATGTTTAGCGCTTCCTTCAGGAGCTCTTTTAGGGCAGGTCTGGTGGTGACAAAATCTCTCAGCATTTGCTTGTCTGTAAAGTATTTTATTTCTCCTTCACTTATGAAGCTTAGCTTGGCTGGATATGAAATTCTGGGTTGGAAATTCTTTTCTTTAAGAATGTTGAATATTGGCCCCCACTCTCTTCTGGCTTGTAGGGTTTCTGCCGAGAGATCCGCTGTTAGTCTGATGGGCTTCCCTTTGAGGGTAACCCGACCTTTCTCTCTGGCTGCCCTTAACATTTTTTCCTTCATTTCAACTTTGGTGAATCTGACAATTATGTGTCTTGGAGTTGCTCTTCTCGAGGAGTATCTTTGTGGCGTTCTCTGTATTTCCTGAATCTGAACGTTGGCCTGCCTTGCTAGATTGGGGAAGTTCTCCTGGATAATATCCTGCAGAGTGTTTTCCAACTTGGTTCCATTCTCCCCATCACTTTCAGGTACACCAATCAGACGTAGATTTGGTCTTTTCACATAGTCCCATATTTCTTGGAGGCTTTGCTCATTTCTTTTTATTCTTTTTTCTCTAAACTTCCCTTCTCACTTCATTTCATTCATTTCATCTTCCATTGCTGACACCCTTTCTTCCAGTTGATCGCATCAGCTCCTGAGGCTTCTGCATTCTTCATGTAGTTCTTGAGCCTTGGTTTTCAGCTCCATCAGCTCCTTTAAGCACTTCTCTGTATTGGTTATTCTAGTTATACATTCTTCTAAATTTTTTTCAAAGTTTTCAACTTCTTTGCCTTTGGTTTGAGTGTCCTCCCGTAGCTCAGAGTAATTTGATTGTCTGAAGCCTTCTTCTCTCAGCTCGTCAAAGTCATTCTCCATCCAGCTTTGTTCTGTTGCTGGTGAGGAGCTGCGTTCCTTTGGAGGAGGAGAGGCGCTCTGATTTTTAGAGCTTCCAGTTTTTCTGTTCTGTTTTTTCCCCATCTTTGTGGTTTTATCTACTTTTGGTCTTTGATGATGGTGATGTACAGATGGGTTTTTGGTGTGGATGTCCTTTCTGTTTGTTAGTTTTCCTTCTAACAGACAGGACCCTCAGCTGCAGGTCTGTTGGAGTACCCTGCTGTGAGAGGTGTCAGTCTGCCCCTGCTGGGGGGTGCCTCCCAGTTAGGCTGCTCAGGGGTCAGGGGTCAGGGACCCACTTGAAGAGGCAGTCTGCCCGTTCTCAGATCTCCAGCCGCGTGCTGGGAGAACCACTGCTCTCTTCAAAGCTGTCAGACAGGGACATTTAAGTCTGCAGAAGTTACTGCTGTCTTTTTGTTTGTCTGTGCCCTGCCCCCAGAGGTGGAGCCTACAGAGGCAGGCAGGCCTCCTTGAGCTGTGGTAGGCTCCACCCAGTTCGAGCTTCCCGGCTGCTTTGTTTACCTAATCAAGCCCGGGCAATGGCGGGCGCCCCTCCCCCAGCCTCGCTGCCGCCTTGCAGTTTGATCTCAGACTGCTGTGCTAGCAATCAGCGAGACTCCGTGGGCGTAGGACCCTCCGAGCCAGGTGTGGGATATAGTCTCGTGGTGCGCCGTTTTTTAAGCCGGTCTGAAAAGCGCAATATTCGGGTGGGAGTGACCCAATTTTCCAGGTGCGTCCGTCACCCCTTTCTTTGACTCGGAAAGGGAACTCCCTGACCGCTTGCGCTTCCCAGGTGAGGCAATGCCTCGCCCTGCTTTGGCTCGCGCACCCACTGGCCTGCGCCCACTGTCTGGCACTCCCTAGTGAGATGAACCCGGTACCTCAGATGGAAATGCAGAAATCACCCGTCTTCTGCGTCGGTCACGCTGAGAGCTGTAGACCGGAGCTGTTCCTATTCGGCCATCTTGGCTCCTCCTCGAGACCTTTCTTGTAATCACCCCATTTTAAAGATGAGGAAGGGGCACAGGGCAATGAACTAACTTGCCCAAGTTTGCATAGCTATGAAGCAGTGGAGCTGGGATTCCAGCCTGGGTGTGTGGCTCCCAAGTCTGTGCTTTTAACTGCTATGCTGTGTGGCCCCCAACTAAGGTATAAATGGGAGGGGTATTTTGCTTTGAATACGATGCCTTAATTATCAGGCCTTCAACTAGAGTTTATGCAGTGTGTGCGCTTCTGTCTTTACCAAGAGGACCAAGGGAGGAGCAACAGTGAAGGAGGGAGTGAACGTCCCCAGGCTGGGTGGTGTCTGTAGGGGTCCTGGGGGCATGCCATGGAGCCCCCAGGCCATGCCATTTGGAAAGCATAAGGGGTAGGCAAAGGGGAGGCCTTTTCATCTGCTACTACCTGAGAGGTAGACTTGGCTTTGAGGCCATATTTTCCCAGGGATCAGTGATTCATATTACCTGAGATCCTCAACCAAACAGGCCCCCGGGCCTCTTCCTAAATAGATGAGAATCTCTGGTTGGGGTGAGGGAACCCAGAATCAGCCTGACTTTCTGAGACAAACTTAAAACTTGAGGGACCCTTCTCGTGGACTGAGTCCTTGGAAGCAGATCTTGGGAGCTGCTGGGCCTGCATTTGAACTTGGGGCCTTCATGGGACCCCAGTCAGTACTGGTGGTTGGCAGGGCTCAGAGCATAACATGTGGGGGACCCCACGGCGCCCCGCCCAGGTGAGAGCAGTCCCCCTCTCGTGCCGAGAGGCTCCACAGGTTTTGCCTGTGCACCCTAGGCCCCACTGGAGACGTGGAAACATCGAAGAGCTACGGCCTGAACACCAGGATGTGGGATGGGTAGTAAGAGAGTGCTGAGCTGCATGTCCTAGCCCTGGGCTCTGGTTCCAGTTCTACCTCTGCCTGGTGGCACGGCCTTGTCACTTCACTTCTCTGAGTTTTAGGTTTCTCGGCTGTGAAATAAAGATAATAATTCCTACCTCACTGAGTTATGGCAAGGGCAAATGAGAATATAGATAGAAATGCTCCGCCCAGCTCTACCAAAAAAAAAAGTATATATATACACACACATACACACACATTAGCTGGGCATGGTGGCTTGCACCTGTAGTTTTAGCTGCTTGGGAGGCTGAGACGGGAGGAGTGCTTCAACCCAGGAGTTCAAGGCAGCAGTGAGCTATGATTACACCAGGGTGATGGGGCGAGACCCCATGTTTATTTTTTAAAATGCTCTGGAAAAATGCAAAGTGCCATATAAACATAGAGGCATTATTGTGATCATTATTACTGTTATGATTCAAACTAGACAGATATATTTGTCTCTAAAATACTTACTGTTTTTTTTTTTCTGGCACATTCCTCTGTGAACCTTTTTCCTCAGCCTCCTCTCAAGATAACTTAGAGATGCAAAAGAACTAGAAGCCAAGTTCCAAATTTAGTTCTTGACCTTTCCAAGATGGGTGGTGAGTGGTGTGGCTGCAACCTGCCTGCTGCCAAGAGTCTGGCAGGGCTGCCGGGGTCCGGGAGCGCCAGGCCAGTGGACCCTGTCTTTGTGTGCAGTCCTGGAGCCGACACATCGCCTCACACAGGCGCCCCTGCCGGGAGCTCATGCGGGCCACTCCCTGTTTTCTCACTGGGTCTAGCTGAACTCTGGCACAGCGAGTGTAGCTGCTGAGTAGTTCGTTTGGTGCTGTCCTGTGACTTGCAAACCCCTTCCTCAAATGCATAGCAGAAATAGTGGGAAAACCCCAGGGCTTTTATTATCTGGGCTCTCGGGCACACAGTCAGAAACATGGCCTGGGGCAGCCTCTCTTCTCTGTGCCTTTGAGTCCTGAGGAACAAGGTCAGGCATCAAGAATAAGGAAGGCCAGGATATCCAGGAGGAGACCTCACGTCTGCACCGAGGCTTCATCAGATCTGACTGGAAGTGCTGTGGTCCCTGTGGCCAGGCCAGCCTTCACAGGGCTGGGGAGCACAAGCCTTGGTGTGGCCTGTGCTTGCAGATGGATCCTGGTTGTGTGGGGGAAGGCAGGTGGCAGGTGGTGGATGCTATGCTTGAGGGCTGGGCTGTGTACGCAGCTCACAGTGTGGAGGTGCTTGAACCCTGGCAGTTGGGCACGGTTGATAGGGACGGGCCTTGTGGGAGAAGGTGTCGAAGGCCAGGGTGTGGCTCCGAGTCCCACTTCTGCTAGACTGACCAGAGAGAGCAGGTAAGAGAGTGACCAGCAGCAGGCCGGGGTCACTTCCACGCTTCCTGCCCATCGGAGGAATGTTCCAGAGGTTATCCCAGAGAGAGGTGAAGCCCAACATGGTCTTTCAGCCACACGCCGGGCTCCCCTTCCCCTTCTGCCATGAGTGGAAGCAGCCTGAGGCCCTCACCAGAAGCAGATGCTAGAGCCATGCCTCTTGTGCGGCCTGCAGAACCGTGAGCCAAATACGCCTCTTTTCTTTTTAAGTAACCCTGCCTCAGGTATTCCTTTATAGCAACACAAATGGACTTAGACAATCCCCAAGGCCCAGACTTGGAGTCCCTTCTTGTAGGAAGTTTTCTCTGCTCCTCCATGACTGGCTTTGGTGCTGCCCTCTGTGTTTCCATAGCATTCTAGATGACCCCTATCAAAGCACATTTAGCCTCCTGCTTACTCATCTGCGTCTCTCAGTGTGTTTGTTTTCTAGCACTGCTGTGAAAATACCATGCATTTGGTGGCTTAAAACAATAGAAATTTATTGTCTCACAGTTCCAGAGGCCAGAGTTTCAAAGTCCAGGTGTTAGTAGCATTGGTTCCTCTGGGCACTCTGAGGAGTGTGTTCCGTGCTCCTGCCCTGGCTCCAGTGTTGCCAGCAGCGCCTGGCATCCCTTGGCTTCTAGGTGCCTCACTCCAGATCTCTGCCTCCGTCTTCACATGGCGCGCTCCCCTGGGTGTTTGTGTCTCTGTGTCCAGCTTTCCCTCCTCTGATAAGGACAGCAGTCATTGGATTAGGGCTCCTTCACCTTAATCCAGTATAACCTCATTTTCACATGATTCCATCTGCAAAGACTTTATTTCCAAATAAAGTCCATCTGCAGCTCTCACCAGCAGCGAGCCCTGTGCAAGAAGGGATCACATCTACACAGATCCAGTGCAGTACCTGGAGTACAGCTGGGGCCTTGCGCATGTCTGTGAGGGCCAGGCCAGGCTGTTAGAGTGTTTCTTGAAGGAAGGTGTGCTTCAGTGTGGATGCTGGTCCTGACTGGGCCGCTGCCCTTGCCTGTTAGCTCCAGACAGGGTGGGCTTCTGTACCCGTTTACAGTATAGCCGCCTGAGGGACCGTGGCATGTGTGGCAGAGGAGATCTCTTGCGCCCCTGAGGTCCTCCAGTTATATCTTAGTCCTGCAGCTTAGCACCAATGCCTCCTCATTCTCTGCCTCCTCTGCCCGCTGGCCTCAGACATGCGCCCTAAAGATGGGAGCATGCAGTGTGAACTGGAGGTGTAAGGGGTGAGGCCGCTCCCAGGACACAGCGGGCCTCATGCGACATGCCCTGGCTTCTGGATCCCTAAGCACCGAGGCCATCCAGGGAAGGGCTGGCCTCCTCCCTGGCTCTCAGGGTGCTGTGAATCAGGTTTGGCAGGGGTCTCAGCAGGGGCTTATCTCTGCCACAGTTCAGTCCAAACAGGATGAGCAGCTCTTGGTGGACCAGCGGTGACCCAGGCAGCTCCTGGTGCTGTGTACTAGGCTAGGAGCTTTGGAGGGCGTCCCTCCCTGCA
Source organism: Homo sapiens (assembly GCF_000001405.40). Classification (NCBI taxonomy): domain Eukaryota; kingdom Metazoa; phylum Chordata; class Mammalia; order Primates; family Hominidae; genus Homo; species Homo sapiens. The sequence goes on from NW_018654718.1 coordinate 482,247, forward strand.
GACCCCTCTCTCACTGCCCATACGGCTGTGTGTTGTCATCATATTTTGGCAGAGAACCTGTCCCATAACCAGAGAACCTCTGTCCTGGGACAGGGACAGGCCCCAGCTCACTCTGGGAACAGTCACGGTGGGTGGACGATTTGCAGAATGGTCGGAGACCCTCCAGCAAGAGGATCCATTGTTCACGACTGCAGGGTGATTTCTTTGGGATTGCAGACAAGGGCCTCCCAGTCACTTTTGGTTTGGTGTCTGTTCTTAACACAGTTCCTGAAACATAGAAGGCACTCGATGAGTATTTGCTGAATAAATAACTGAATGAATATGTGAAGAAGAGAAGCTGTTCATGGACTAGGGATTCTGGCAAGGTGTGGCATGGCTGAGACAGCACCAGATGAGAGGCTAGGAGGCCTCCATCCCAGACCTCTCTCTGCTCCTCACCAGCTGAGTGACCTTGGGCAAATGTCTTTGCTTCTCTTGACCTCTGTTTGTTCATTTTTCTTAATCTAGGAGAGGAGTATATGTAGAGGATTCTTTTATGTTCTGTGCATCTGTGGTCTTTTGCCTGACAAGTAGACCATTTGACTTCATATGAGCACATTCCTTCATGCATTCCTTCTGTCATATTTATTAAATGCCTACTGTGTACCAGGCTAGGTGCTGGAAAAGCAAGATGTGCGGAAACAAGGGTGCGCAGGGTCTCTGCCCTCACAGAGCTTGTCAGGTTTGATAAGAGCTTACGTTCTTATGATGCCAGCCAATAAACAACTGGCAACTTCATACACACCATGCTTTCAGAGCACTGTGAATATTAATACCATGGAGAAAGTAAAGGAGATAATGAGATGGAGAGTTCCAGGGTAAGGGCCCACCTGGAGCGGGTAGGCAGGGAGGGTCTCTCTGAGGAGGTGGCACTGGGGCTGAGAGGTGGTGACAAGATGGGCTGGCTCTGGGCAGACCTGGGGAGGAGGCTGCGGGCAGGGGACAGCAGGGCCAGGACCCCGAGGTGAGCAGGGCCCACTGTGGCTGCTGCTCAGGAGGGGAGATGAAGGAGGATGTGAGTGGGGTTGGAGGGGCAGACAGGGGCTGAATTATGTGGGTCAGCATGAGGAGTTTGTTGTGAGTGTGACGTTGGCAGGTCTGTGTGCTTCCCAAGGCTCCAGAGGAGCAGGAAGGATCTGGAGGAGGGTTAGGAAGGTAGCAGAGATAGGCGAGGGTTACGGCCTTGACTTTAGCATTCCCAGAGCAGTTGATGTGGTTGCCAGAGGGCCTGGCCAGAGCTCACTGGGGAAGAAAGCCCTGGACGGTGCAAGCTGCCATTTCTTGAAGGGAAGTCGGTCATGGAAACATGTCAAAGGGACCTGCCAGAAGCTTCTGGGACACAAGGCTCTTGTGAGGTGTTTTCCCGTCTCTTTTGTGTACACTGTGGGCTTGGCCATCCAGCCTTCATTTCCCTAGCAACTTCTCTACATCCAGATCCATAAGAGAAACCTTTCTGGTCACCCCATAAGGGATGCAAGCTCCGTAACGAGCACTCAGGCTCCTCGCTGATGGGGGCTGCGAGGTTCCAGAAGGTTGGCCCATGCAGCAGGCCACTCCTTAGCGCCTCTGGCCCTGGGTAGACTTTGGCCTCAGGGGAAAGGAGCGTGGAGACAGCTGTGGACACCCAGATTGCTGTATATCTGACAGCGCTTGGCCCCCATCTATCTGGAAGTGGGGTGAGGCAGACTGCATTTTCAAGCTCAACCCTTTCCTTTATGGCAGCTGGGGTGGGTGACCAGCCCTGTGTAAGCCATAATAACCCAGCCTGCATGAGGATACCATAAAGCGGAAGCCGGGCGGCTCTTTGAAGGGATGACGTGGGAAGGGTATCCTCTCCTTTCCAGCATTCCTTCATTTGGGGAGCACTGCCTCCTTGGGACAAGACTCTGTATTGGGGAGGCAGCACTGAATGGGGAAGTCCCTGGTCTGGTGGGGGACAGCCACCACCTGGCACGTGATGGTGGCAAGAATGCCTAATGCTTATGAGTGCCGCAGTGTGCAGCTCTGTGCCTTACACACGTCACCTCCCACCATCTCCCAAGGACCGTGTGGGGTGGATCATACAGTCAGGCACTGCATAACAAGAGTCTGATCAAGGACAGAGCACATGTACGATGGTAGTCCCATAAAACTATCACGGAGCCGAAACCTCCCTATCTTTCTGCCGTCGTAATGGTGCAGTGGCACTCATTACTTACGTGTGTGTGGTGGTGTGGTGCTGTTGTAAACAAACCTACTGGGCTGACAGTCTTATCAAAGTCTAGCACAGACAGTTCTGTACAGTACTGTACAGTACACAATACTTGATAATAAATGACTGTTACTGATTTACGTATTTACTGTGCTATACTTTTAACTGTTATTTTAGAGTATACTCCTACTTATTAAAACAAACGTTAACTGTAAAACAGCCTCAGGCACGTCCTTCAGGAGGTAGCCATAAGAAGGCATTGTCATCTTAGGACATGCAGCTGTGTATTATTTTCCCCGAAGACCTTCCAGTGGCACAAGATGTGGAAGACAGTGATATGGATGATCCTGACCAAGGATCCTGATCCTTGATATCGACGATCCTGGCCTAGGCTAATGTGGACATTTGTGTGTTAGTTTTTAACAAAAACCTTGAAAGTTAAGAAAATGTTACAAATAGAAAAAAGCTTATAGAATATGGATAAAAGAAAAGTATTTTTGTACAGCTATACAGTGTGTTTGTGTTTTAAGCTAAGTGTTATTACAAAAGAGTCAAAAAGTTAAAAAAAATTAAAAGGTTTGTAAAGTAGAAAAGTTACAGTAAGCTGAGGTTAATTTTTAATTGAATAAAGAAAATCTTTAAATTTTTTTTTTTGTTTTTTGAGACGGAGTCTCTCTCTGTTGCCCAGGCTGGAGTGCAATGGTGCTATCTTGGCTCACTGCTACCTCCGCCTCCCAGGTTCAAGCAATTCTTCTGCCTCAGCCTCTCGAGTAGCTGAGATTACAGGTGCCTGCCACCATGCCCGGCTAAGTTTTGTATTTTTAGTAGAGACGGGGTTTCACCATGTTGGCCAGGCTGGTCTCGAACTCAGGTGATCCACCCGCTTTGGCCTCCCAAAGTGCTGGGATTCCAGGTGTGAGCCACCGCACCTGGCCTAGAAAATCTTTAAAATAAATGTAGTGTAGCCTAAGTGCACAATGTTTGTAAAGTCGACAGTAGTGTCCTGTAATGTCCTAGGCCCTCAAATTCACTCACCACTCACTCACTGACTCACACAGAGCAACTTTCAGTCCTGCAAGCTCCGTTCATGGTAAGTGCCCTATACAGGTGCACCATTTTTTGTCTTTTATAGATTATTTTTTATGTACCTTATCTATGTTTAGACATGTTTAGATACACAAATACTTACCATTGTGCGACAGTTGCTACAGTGTTCAGTACAGTCTCAGGCACGGTCAGAGGCCTGGGAGCACTAGGCTGTATGTAGCATACAGTCTGCGTGTGTCGTAGGCTGTGCCATCCAGGTTTGTGTAAGTGCACTTTCTGATGTTCACACAACAACAAAATCACCTAACGACTTATTTCTCAGAATGTATCCCTGTCATCAGGAGATACAAGACTATAATTAGGGGTAAACTTTAAAGGACTTTGTTGAGAAGACCATTCATGTGGGGCTTCCTGGATTTGGTTGGGTTGTGGTACCTCCTCTAGTGATGCAGAGCCTTCCTATGATTTTTCTCCCTGCCCCACCCCAATGCCCACCCTTTCGATTTGCTATTTCCTCTCTCCACCTCACCCCAACACCCAGTGCTATTTACATGCTATCTATATGATGTAAGTTGTGTCTTTACTTTTCAGCTGCCTGACTGTGAATTTATAATCACTGGTATTGGTAACAGTAGGCTAGTTAGTTGGTCCAGTCAAACAAAGATGAACTGATCCCTGCTCTGTTGCTTGTGGTCAGCACCACGTGGGCACACAGGAGGACTAATCATTCCTGTGTAAACGCTGAGAAAACAACTAAGACACATGGAAAAATTAGGAGCTATCTGCAGGATTCTGACTGTAATGTGATTATTAGAAAGCCAATAAGGCAGTGGTTAGCATGAATTGGAGTGGTAGAAAAGGATTTCTTGGAAGAAGCCGGGCTTGAGTGCCATCTTGAAGGGTGTAGAAGAATTGTCTGGACCAATGGTAGGAGTGCTGGGATTCCAGGTAAGGAAAAGAAGAGACACCATTCCATGTGAAAGATATCATTTTGACATATAAACACAGAATTTCCAAAGTTCAGTCTAAGATCATTCTTAGGGTGGTCTGTTTTCATTCATTCAACAATTACCTATCGAGCACCTATCATGTATGAGACACAGCAGTGCTTAAAACACACACAGTTCCTGCCTTCATAGGGCATCCTTCTATCTAAGGGAGACAGGTATTCAGTATCTATTTACATAATTATTTATTCATTTATAACTCACCTCTAAAATGTTTAGGTTTGGGGTGTGACTATATTTGTTTTAAGTTAATATTTTACGCGTGCTACTGAAAAAACAAAACCCAAACTAATGATCACTGTATTTCATGGAAGCGGGGGCTGTCTCATGAAGATGACATTTGTCTTAAATTATGATTGAAAAAAATGTTTTAGGGTAGATTGTTTGTAGAGTTTTTCATCCTGCTAAAGTGATCCCTAAATCATAAAACTTGAGACTTGCTGAATGAAAGGGATAAAAGAGTGAGGAGGACCTACAAATCTTCATGGGGAGTAGATTGTGTCTGTTTGAAGTAAAGCCACACCTGTCATGAGGGACCAGGAGAGGCTTCTAGGAGGAAAGAGAACATACCAGGGAAAGAACTGAGCAAACTTTCAACCCTCTGCAGTATTAGAGGTGGACAGGAGGGCAGCACTATATTGGAGAGATTGTTAAACTGAAAACTCAATTAGCATGCACAAAAAGTATATGTGTTTAAGGCTGTTTTAACTGTTGGTGAGATGCTGAGCTGCTAAGGGCTGCCTGCTGTCATTACCTATTAGCAAGACTTTAAATTCTGACTTGCTGAAGTACGTATTTCCCCCTGTAGCTAGCCATTTCTAGTAAAGCTTGTTTATTTTTATTTTTGTAAAAAAAATGGTTATAGTTAATTTATCCTTTTGGAATTGGAAGAGCTTCCTGCCTGAATAACTTTTTTTTCTTTTCATTTTCTCCAGTGTAGAATTGCTGGTTTTGGCCTTTTGGAGCTAAGTAATAAAACTCTTTGTTTATTCTGCTGGGTCTTTGCTTGTGTTAGAGCTGTTTTATCTCAAACATTTGTAATTCTATAAATTGAAATCAGCTTTTCTTACACTTGTGGATTCCTTTAGATTTGAAATCTATTCTTGGTTACGTTTATAGCTTCAACACGCCTCTCATTGTAGGTTTATACATGTGTTTGCTTGCTCATTTATTTTGTCATCATTTGCTCATTTTATTACCAGTTATTGAGTGCCTACTGTGTACCAGGCACTGGGCAAGGGGCATTCTGTGAGAGAGGGTATGGTACCTGCGGGCTTAAGTAGTCCGTGGGCTTGTGAGGAAAACGCTAGATTAAATCTTGATTACTGTAAATGTCAAGTATGGCCAAGTGTGGGATTTCGTGGCAGGAGTGAGCTTTCCTGGAATTTGTCTTTCTTGCCTCAATTTGCCTGATAGTCATTTCATGCTAGGGATGTTTTAAAGTCTCTGGGGAGGCCCTGCAGTGTAGAGGAAAATGCTGATCCACACCAGAAATGCGAACCTGGCTCTCTGCCCTTGGGCAAGTCACTTAACCCTCCTGAGCCTCAGTTTCCATCTGTCACTTAGAGCTGATTATACCTACTTAACACCCAGGCTTTTTGTGAGGGGCATTATCTCATTAGAGATAATGTTTTTAAAAGCTCTTTGTAAATTGTGTAGCATTCAAATGGAAGTTATTGTTATTTTTATTATTGAGTGCCTTCTAATTCAACACTGGGATAGTAACAAAAGAAGAGAGGGGTTATTATCACCCCTCTTCCCTGTCACGTTTAGATTGGGGCAAGGAAAGGTTCTCACCCTCGAGGAATTTATGATCAGACTGGGGAGACAAGAACCAGTTTGAGAAGCAGGTAATGGTAGTTGAGAGAAGGGATAGAGGGCTCAAGAATCTCTCCGCGCCTTTCTGGCTCCAAAATTCTACAGTAGGAGTCAGGAAAGGCTTCACTTGTGAAGTGGCACTTGAGTGAGGCCGTCATCAGCATAGGAATCAGAATCATCTTTGTGTGCTCATCATAGTAAAATAAATATTGATTGAGTAGCAGTATGTGGCAAGGGACTCACAAATACATTTTGGTTGAGGAGTCAGGTTACTTGGATAAAAAATGATAATGAATGGTACAAAATTCCCTCCACTGGCGCCACAGGAGGGGCAGCCCCGGGCCTGAGGTCTTTGGGAAAGGTGTGGGGAGGCGGTGGGCACAGGCCTAGGGAAGGGCAGGATTTAGACGAAAGCAGAGCCATTGGAAAGGCATATTCTGTGTTTCCACTATTGACAGCCTCAATTATTGGTTTTCCCATTCAGCTTTCTGCTCTCAGTACCCCATTCTGTTTACCTGCTGGTGGGCAGAGCGTCACACAACCAAACTCGCGTAGCCTTCTTCACCCTTTCCCCTCTTTTCTGCAGAATGGGTTTGTTATGACTTGACTGTGATTTTTCAGGCCTTTAATCATCCAAGGTGAATGTCTAAGGGTGGACCCAAGCAGGGCTGGACCCAAGCAGGGCTGAGTTAACTGGACCCAAGCAGGGCTGAGTTAGGGGAAGCAGGGAAGAGAGGGGAAGGACAGCCTGAGCCCTTCCAGACACAGGCAAAGGAGAGAGGACAGACATATCCTCCCTGAGAGCTCTCCAACCCCCCCAATTATCAAAGCAAATCAATGTCACTCTAAGTCATATCTCCATACTAGCTCTATCCTTTCTCCTGTCCCTATCTCTAGGTCTATAAATTCAGGGCTTAAGGGATTTCTAGGGAAATTACAGCAAACGAATCACTGAGAGAGGGGGGGAACCTCCAAAATGTTGTGAGTTGCTTGTTTAATGTTTCAGGAGCTTCAAAGAAATTGAGCAATTTAGATTAAATTTCAAGAAGTGGGGCTGACTAGAGAGAGAGGAAAGTTAGAAACAGCGTGCTATAGAGGTTGATGGTGGGAATAAACTCTGCTGTTTCAGCCAGGCCAGGCTTCCTTCCAGTGTGCTTCTGTATGATGTTAATAAATGGGAAAGTGATTGACAACTTCCTTAGGCAACTTTGGGGAGTGAAATGCCAAATTTGGGCAAAGCAGACCTCTAGCTTTATTGGTATTGGGGCTTTGCCAGAATTATCTGCTATTAAATACTTCCAGGGACCTGTTGCCTCTTTGTGACAAATGTTAGATAATTTCCATTAACTGCATTATTGATGGAGAAAGCAGAAAGGTGAGAGAGTGGAGAGAGTAAAGATTGAATGAGTGTCAGAACTAACTGGAGGAAGAGGGAAGATAAAGATGTGAAGAAGTATATATCTGAGGATAAAATGTAAAATGAAATTAATGAAAATACGATGGTCAGATTGGAAGGAGAGAAAATGCAAATTACAGAGTGAAAGAAGACTTCTTTCTACTCTCAAATGTTTTGGGGGGATTTTGGGGGGGCAAATAGGCAGTAGGTTTTCACACCTTTTGAAAAACCCACCTCTTCACACTTGAGTTTTCATGTTCTTGGTTCATAATCCTAGGATTACCATTGTCAGTTGTGCAGAATCCCATTGGAAAGCAATATGCCATCAGTACATCTGGTAACAGGAGGATGCTAGGAATGGGAATACAGAATATTTATGCAACTTCTAGGCTTCTAAAAATTGTATGTTTACATGCATATATACACATACATGCACACTTATATAAAACCTGTCAAATTTTTCAAAAATTTTTGAAAGGATTAGCATTATAAAGTCATAAGGAATCTCTGAAGGGACTTTAGAGTAGAGAAAGATGTGAGAAAAAGCCTAAATATATCACTCTGCAGCAAACCAATCATCCACACAACCACAGAAATCTCTGATAAATCTCTTATGAACTAAACTCCCTGTTGCCCGATGGTTCTTTTTGGAAACTTTGTCTCTGTCTTTCGTATTGAAATATCGCACTGAAAAGACCTGCCATGGAGATGTTGATCCCACTTATGGGCAAGAGGGCGTCTGAACTTGTCTTCCAGCCATGGCTCAAAGATTGCAGATGGAAATCCCTGCTGCTCACATTTGTATATTTGATCAAACTCTTTTCATGGCCAGACCAGGCTCCAGGGGTTCTGGGTCACATCTTCCCTCTAGCTGCCATTTACTTTGATCATACTAGTAATGATTACCATCTACAGCATGTATTATGTGCCAGGAACTTTGAATTTGTCATCTTTTTGGTTTTCTTGGGACAGGGTCTCACTCTGTCTCCCAGGCTGGAGGGCAGTGGCATGATCTCGGCTCACTGCAACCTCTGCCTCCTGGGCTCAAGCGATCTTCCCACCTCAGCCTCCTGAGTATCTGGGACTACAAGGCATGTGACACTACACCCGGCGAGTTTTTGTAATTTTTTGTAGAAACAGGGTCTTGCTGTCCTAAGCTGGTCTCAAACTCCCGGGCTCAAGCTGTCCTCCTGCCTCGACCTCCAAAGTACCCTCCCTCCCTGCGGTCTGGAGGAGTTGCCTTGGGACCTGTGCTTCCTTGGCTCTATGCACTACCAGACGCAGTCCAGTGGGCAGCCTGGCGGGTGGCCCTGGGACTCATTGCTTTGCAGCCTGTCTGGACCATCCCTAACAGTTTATTTTTTTGACTTTTCCAGTGGAGAGTCCACAGAGAATATGACTTTTCCTTGGGTCATCTGTAAAGACTTGGCAAGGGATGTCTTGCATCTGGGAAGATGTGGTCTTGGGGGTCACCTAAGCAGCAGAGGAAACCTTGCAAGATGACATTTGGGGCTAATGTGGAATTAACTAATAGACTGATGAGTTTGCTTGATCTGAGAACTCACAAAGGATGTTGAGGAAGAAAGGGCAGCTATGACCTATCTTGGGGTTTTGCATTTTGTTCTTGTGACCCTGTGGAAATGCTCAGATGAGTGCACATGTTCAGACTCATGCCAGGCCAGTGTGAAGAATCAAGCTGAGTATGCATCCTTCCGAGGCTCAAAGCCAAGAGAAAGAAAGAGAGGCCTGGTGAAATATCATAGGAAATGTCACGGTCTTTTCTGGACTCTCTTAAAAAGCCCAAGACCCATTTAATATTTCGATTGCAAGACATATCTCTACTGGATGGTGTTTTGGAAAGCTGGAGTTTAGGAAAATCCTGGCTGTAGGAATGCTCTACTGCTGTGAACATTCCCGCTTTAGGAATGCTCATAGCAGTAGAGAGTGGGCTACTGACTTTTCTGGTTTTCAACAGTATCTTATTTTTCCTGAACATTTATTAACTGTCTGCCCTATCAGAGAACTTCTCAGATTGGGACTTCCCTTGAGTAAGAGACAATGACCTGAAATGCAGGGCGAGAGAAATTTCTTTCAGTTTTAGGCGGAAGGTGGGACCCAAATTTAAGAGAGCCAACCCCAAGTAAGGAAGATCAGCTCTCACTGGGAGCTGTGTAGGACCCAGGGGGGAGCACACCCCAGGAAAGGGCTGCCGGTGGATCCGGAGGCCTGACCTGGGGCCCAGGCTGAAGTAGAACATCAGCACCTCTAGTAGCCCAGCAATTTGGATAGCAGGCAGAGTTTAAAGGACCAAACTGGAATTATGAGTCAAGACTGGGCAGGAAGCAGGAAGCAAGGATGAGGAGCCAGGTTATGATAACTAGTGATGCATGGGGTGTCCAGGCCCAGAGGCACTAAAAGGGGGTCAAGGACCCAGCATGGAGACTGGGTAACAGAGAGCCATGCTGTGCTCATGGAATCTGGGCAGCAAGAGTAGCAGCTCCCAGAGGGGCTGGCTGGCAACCTTTTGTATCAGCTTAGGAACTTTTCATGTTGGTCAGGAGCAGAGACGCAGTTCCAGTTTTGGCTGGCCTGGAGCTTGCAGGATAAGCCCGTGTCTGGCTGCACTGTAAAAATAACACGGAGAATAGGATGGGTCTTGTCCTTGGTCTCTAGAGCAGCCACTACATGGAAGAAAGAGGTAGAAGGCAGGTGTCTATCAAGTGACATCACAGAACTCAAGAGGAGTGAATGTCACCTCCATTCCCCAGTCTCCCAACATTCCCTGGGGAACAGGGCAGAGGGAAGACAGAGTAGGGGAATTCCAGGATAAGCTTCATGCACCCAGAATGTGGAATGCTCACCAAAGAAGAACAAGAGCCGTGTTCACATCATGATATTCCGCCCTCTTAATTCCCAAACAGGGCTCCCAGGCTACAGAGCAGCTTTGATAACAGCAGTGCACTCCCTCTCCTCTAGAAAGTTAGGTGGCTTTAAAATAGGTAAGGCTAATTTCATTCCTTCTGTGAGTTCTGATGAAAGGGGCATTTGGCGAAAAACACGTGTGGGTTGGCATGCAATGAATACTTATTTACATGGGTGTTTTGAAGACAATGACACAGAATCAAAATTTAACCCACAAGTTTAGGTTTTCAGTTTCCTTCTGCTTCTCTCCTTTGAGAGGTAGAGATGGAGAAACTGTCTCTACCGCTCTTATTTTCTCACTCTGATAACAATCTTTTCCATTAGTAGAGTGCTATATAAGGTACAGTGCACTTGGGAAATGCCTCTTGGGAAGGTGACATGTAAAAATGGTGGTCAACGCCACTTCTGGGCAGGTGCCAAGGCCTGTAGCAGCCTGTGTCTTTGGGTCCTGCATGCTTTCCTTTGTGTTGGCTGGTTCCTCTGGCTGAGTTCACTGTTGGTCTGTCTGTGGCAATTACGGAGAAGCATGACAGTCACAGCTTCCCTGAGTTCTACTGAACTCATGAACTTTGTTCATAACAGACTCTACAAGTGGTACAGGATTCCTATGGCCACAACTCAACTCAACTCCGTAGAAATCAATGTTTATGGATCATTGGAGCTAAAAGAAAACTTGCAGATCAGATCATCTCATCCAATTCCCTGACTTTACAGAATGAGGAAACTGAGGCACAGTAAGATTTTTTTTTTTATTTTTTGCCCAGGTCTGAATAAAATTGAAGGCACCCTTACCATAGCCAGGATTCTTTGTATATACCACTGGCTGACCAGTGGTAGCTGAAAAAAAAAAAAAAAGGGATTTGAGATGGTAGGAGGGGTGTCTGACTGAGGAGCCATTTTTATAGGTTTTTATAGACATTTGCATTGGTTTGGAGTAGCAGAACCAGAAATAGTCTTTCCCTTTTCAGGAGCAACTCTGCACAGAAGACTCACTGGCTTTGGACTCTGTCCCTATCACATACATTTCAGTAGCCAGGCCAAGGCATCTGGCTGGGAGGCTGGGTACGTCTCAGAGAATAAGCGCTTGTCATAGAATGGGTCGTGAAGCTGGGCAGAGAGCCAGGTTTGCAGAAATGGCTTTGTATTGATGAAGAAGGGAGATTTTTACCTTGTCTTGGCCTCCATCATGAAGAGAGTGTTACAAAAAAGTACAGATGACAGCAGGCCACTCTCGGAGACACACACGAAGCTTGTCTTCCTCCATCCCAAATACATAGGTCAGTGGACCCTCAGGAATCCATTCTGATGCACGGGTGGATGAGCCAAGGGCTGGGCAGAGGCCATTTCAATAGCTTAATGCTTGCCAGGTATATCTGAGCTAGTGCTGCCCCAGGGACAGAGTATCCTCTGGGAGATCTGAACCAAGCGAGGGTGTGGCAGCCGGTGGATGACTTACAGTCAGCCTATCTGGGCAGATTTTAAACCCTGGCGTTTTTAGTGCCTTGACTAGTGTGAGAAACTTGAAACTCAGTCTCATTGCTATTTGTGGTAATGGTCATTTAGTTTCAGGAAAACATCGATGGTGCCCTTCCCTAGATAGCTGCGTTGCAATGGACCACATTATGGCATGCACATTAATGTAGGGATTGTTCATACAAAAGAGGGCAAAGATGCCACTTGTGACAGAAATGACTGTTACCCAGTGTCTGTTCTCTACCTCTTTCATAGGGATAGAATTTTCAGCTGGGCACATGACTGCTTAGAATGAAGAACTACAGTTCTCATCCTCCCTTGTGGCTAAGTGAGGTTTTGTGACTAAGTTCTAGATAGTAGGATGTCAGCAGAGGTGATGCGTGTGACTTCCGGTGTGTGCCCTTGAAGGCAAAGTCATGCCTGCCCTTTCCCTTTCTCCCTCTGCAGGCGTGTTGCCGTCATGGTGAGGAGCCATTTCATATCATGCAGACTAAAAGACCCTTTCCAGGTGCTGGAGCAACCATTCAGAAGGCGGTGATGGCTGGGGGAGGGCTTCCATGGGAGAGAGGAAGTAAATGTCTCTCATGGGGAATCCCTGTTGTTTTGGTCTCTGTCAACCATGGTTCAATTCATAACTTAAGTTATACCCTACTTATTGGGAACTTTGATTTTGGAAGGCAAAGAAATTTAAAAATTAAGAAATAAAAATAAAACAACAGATAGCACTTGGATAAGTTGGCCAAGTTCAAGTAACACAAAAAAGTCAGGACATGGAACCAGGAGGTGGAAGTGCCTTGTTTCTCCTCCTCCTCTTTCCGTTTCCCATGTCACCCACAGGACTGGTGTGCCCGGTAGGAAAGATTGGTAGGTCCCACTGGTCCCGAGTGTCCTACGGCCCTTTATATTGGATAATATTGGAACTGGATTCTCCTAGAGATTGGGAATGGTGGCAGAAAAATTAAAATTGGGAGGTGAAAGCTCAAGGAGGTAGTTACAAAGCAAAGGAAAACAAACAGTTTTGGGCATCCAGCTGCCTTTCAGTGGTGGTCACTATGGCAGAGATCAGCAGAGTGAAGGGCTAGGAGATAGACTCATTTCGGATCTAACTTTAATAATCAATTTTAATGACCCTTGAGCGAATGGAGCAGTTGATTTTCCTCTCAATCCTCTCTCTGTGTCTGTTGTTCCTGCAAAGCCTATTGGGACTTGCCTGAGGAATTGGCCCTTATCCTTGAGGTTAATGAAAGACAACACTCAAGAAGCTTCCCACTTACAGAACTCTTTCTCCAATTTAGAATGGAGGCTACTTTTTTTTTTACTGTGGTAAAATATACATAATATAACATTCACATTTTAACCATTTTAAAGTGGCATTGAGTACATTCATACTGTTGTGCAACCATCACAACCATCCATCTCCAGGACTGTTTTCTTCCTGCAAAACTGAAACGCTCTACCTATTAAACAATCAGTTCCCATTCCCCCTTCCCCCAGCCCCTGGCACCCACCATTCTACTTTCTGTCTATGAATTTGACCACTCTGGGAACCTCATATAAGTGGAATCTCAGAGTATTTGTCCTTTTGTGACTGGAGCTAGTTTTGGCTAAGTCATGGGAGAGGCAAGTGGATCCCTTGCTGGTAGGAAGGACAGGGCCGTGTTGACAGGGACCATGAGGCCTCCGCCCTGCAGTTTTCCTTTGTCCTCTGCGTGGGGTGGGGCAGCCCTCTTGGGGAAAAGGCTCTCCTCATTTCATCTTTACTTTTCCTTCCTGGGAGATGGAGCAAATGGTGCCTGCCTTGTCTATTTGGAGCACACAGGCATAGATCATTAATAAGATAATTGGAAGGTACTTGGCAAAATCTGAAATATTAACTGTCTCAGAGAAGCTGAATAATCACAGGGTCTCACCAAGTGCCACCTCAACAAGTGCAGCTTTCACCCGTCCTTGGACATTTATTTCCCTTTGTCTGCACTCTGTTCCCTTTCTCCCAAAATGCTGGGTAGAGGTTCTTTAAAATTCAAGAAAAAAATCAGACTTCCCCTTCTCCCCAGTGACATTCCCGGCCTCTTCTCTCACTCGAGTGATTTCCTGTATGAAATTCAACAACAGGTCCACCCAGAGGAGTTCTTTTTCCTCCAGCTTCTCTGTTTAAAAATCTTGGGTTCTTCCTGACAAAAGGAGGCTTAGTCATCTTCCCCCAGTGACAGGCCCTACTTAAAAACAAACAACGAAGAAATCCTACATCCCACTCCAGCTTGTGCTGCAGAGCCTGGCCGGGGAGGGACAGGGGATGGTACACTTGGAAAGGCAATCAAAGAGTGGGCGGTCAGAAAACAAAACCTGCCAGGTTATCAAAAGGACACCACCTCCAATGCACAGAGCTGCTTCCTTCCCGCACACACGGAATCTTCCTGCTCCCTGCCCCACTCATCGTGGTCGTGGCCAGCTGTGTCCAGCAGCCTGGCGCCCACTTAACAAACAGGAGCAATGAGGGAGACTCCTCACCCGGGGCCAGCAGTGGGTCAGGGAAGAGGCTGGGGTTAGGGCTCAGGGGTCTCAACCTGGAGTCCTGTGTTTGCAGCTACAACTCCAAGGCCTTGGGATTTGCCTAGTGGGGAATCCTGGGCTCCAGGGAAGAAGTCACTGAAGGTTTACCAGGCAGACTTATAAATGGGGAGAAACTGAAGCCTAGAACGCCCCCCTCTCTGATGACTGCTGCCTACGCTGCCTCCTTCCTTCTCTCAGCTCCAAAGGCACAGAATGTCTGATCGGAGAGTTTAGCTGCTTTCTACTGTTTTCTCACAGTTTCGTTTATCAGCCTTGTCTTGCCAATGATACAGAAGCTCCCCGCAGGACAGTGGGTAGGTGGGAGCTTCCCGATGATCATGTTGGTGTTGACAAAGCTCCCCAAAGTGGGGTATTCCCTCAGGCTGGTCTCCGGAGCCGGCTCTGTGCTCTGAAAGCGGCCCATCCTGCCGTCCTAGAGTATAGGTGCCGTCTATCTCTGTGTGTTGAGTTATCGGGAGATGAAAGATTTTTTTCACTTGGTGAATCCTGGCATTGTGGGAAGACTCTCCTAACACAGACATAATTCTCTTGCAATCCCACAGGCGCACACATACACAGAGGCGTCACACACACACAGAGGCACACCCCTGGTGTGTCATGGGCGTTGTTTTGCGTGGAGAACGTGGAGCGTGAAGACACATTTTCTATGACAGTGGTTCCCTTGGTGTGGGATTGATGGACCTGTGGACAACAGGAGTTTTGTTAGTGCTCTTCAGGGTCCCGGAGATCATGTACTAGAACACCTTTCCTCCACAGAGGAAGAGACTGCAACCCAGAGAGCTTTGTCACTTAGACACACAATTTTACTTTGCTTGGGCTTCAGTTTCCCTATATGAAAAGAAAAAAAAAATAGAATTGCCCCAAAGGATCTTAAGGACTTTTTCAGAATTCCGTACATAATGAGTTTTTATTGTCATTTTCTCACCATTCTTTGGCCTTTGTGGAACTGACTAGAATAGCTCAATTGTTTGTTAAGGAATTTCTGACCTCAATCAGTTTTCCTTATATAAGGAGTTACCAGTTTTAGAGCCTCATGTCACTTGGGGCTGTGTCTCACTTAAAAGTGCTGTGAGAGCATATTGGATTGCTGAAAGGAGAAACTGACCACCTCTTAGAAGACATCACCAATTCAAATGAGGGTGTCTCCTTTCCTAGCGAAAACGGGCACTTAGACTAGTTTAGAGCCACCGGAGGTGGGAGGATGAGCCAGATGTCCCTGGAAAGCCAGTTTAGGGGTGCTTTTCTCATGTTTTCCAGGGTTTAATTATGCTCCGTGCTTGAGAGAAATATTTTTGAACCTGAGGATTTTTTATCTTAACGTTGAACAAATTATTTATCTTTCTTTTTCTGTCCCCTCCATAGTTCCCCAATGACTCTAATTTTTATTATTGTTATAAAGCATTTTTCCTTAAAGAGTAAAGACGCAAATAAAAAAAATCTGCAGCTTAGACACAAGAACAAGAGTGAATCTGACAGACCTAAGGTTGAGTGAAAGAAACATGGCAAAGGGGTGTGTTCAGCAGGACTCCATTCCTGTTAAGCTAAAAATGGGCCAAATGAAGCTATCTTTTAAGGTACACATACATACGTGGCAAAAGCATAAAGAAAGGTCAAGAAATGATGATCGCAAAGTCAAGGTAATGTTGTGTTTCTGGATTGATGGTAGTTACATGAAAGTATGCTTTATTATTCATTAAACTATAAAAATATGTCATATGTACCTTTTAAATAAAAATAGAATAAAGTGACATGGAAATCAGAAAAAAGCTAGTAGCGTAAAAATTGCAGATTCATATGGTGGGTTGAATGCTCTCTTCCAAAACCACACTAACATGATGGTAAAGGAATCGTTAAAAAATGCATAAACCACAAAGACAAAATGAATCCAAAGAAGACATCACCCACCGGTGTTTATTTGTTCATTTTTTTGTATTTGAAATACTCTTTGATGACATATTTGGCTTTGATTCTTTGGCGCTGGCCTTAACAACCATACAGCTGCAACCAGTTGCTTACAGGGCTTTGCTTTTCTGCTGATTTTGCAGAGGCCTTCTCCATTCCTTTAGTTTGACCAACCTCAGTTAAGCTGATGTGGGTGTCAACAAACAGTTCCTCAACCAGGTTTTTCTACATAGACTCATGAGGGTCAGATGCAAGTACCCGTGAATTCCACAAGCTAAGCCATCGGGGATGAGGGTGGTCTTCAGCACCCTTTTGAAGCAGTGTTAATGTCCATTTCTCCCCCAGCAGCAATGCCTTTCTTGGCCATGGTGGAGGCTTAAGGTTGGAGCTGAATGTTGAACTCACTGGAGATGTTCTGCCTTCATGCAGCCCAGTGGCAGCTGGGAAAGCTGGAAAGTAGATGGACAAGTAGTAACAGACTTTGCATGTACTGTATGAGACAGCTGAATCCTAAGCGGCAGTGGGGAAAATTGAGACACAATTAAACTTGCAGCTCACAACCTCCAAAAGGCTTGGAAATTGTGGTATCAGGTATTTTTGGAAGTGACGGTTAAAATGGGGCTAAGAACTGGAGAATTGGTTCAACGTTTGTATTCTTAGAAAATGCTAAGAGTAGATGGCACAGTGTTCTCACCACAAAAATAATAACTATGTGAGGTGGTGCATATGTTAATTAGCTAGATTGAGTAATTCCACAATGTAAACATGCTTCAAAACATGTTGTACACAGTAAATATATATAATTTTATCTGTCCATTGAAAAAAATTAATTAGACCTCAGACCCCTACTCCTATTCTCAGCAACTAATACTCTTCCCATTTCAGCTGAGGACTGGAGGATAAAGCGGAATGTTCTCTAATGGGGATAAAGCAAGAGGTCTGCATGGGGGCACCACTGGCACAATGGAGGGCAGCACGCCCGGGGCGAATACAGGGCTGAGACTTCTGGAGTATCTCCCACTTGCTCTCAGAGTGCTGTCCCATAAGCCTGTACTCTCTAGGCAGAAGATCTGCGTGGCTTTCCCTGGCAGAGTGGACCAGCCTAAAGAGGACAGCCCTAAGGGGGCCCTAAGATCTAGCCAACAGGGCGTTCCAGCTGTGGGGCCTTAGAGCAAAGCCTAGTGCATCATAAGCCACACCTGTGCTCACAATGTCCCATCAGTTTTTGGTGGTTCTCTCTTAAATAAGGTCCATCAGTTAAGGATCCCTAAATGTCCCTAAATATCTTAGGAAGGCCTTGAAAATAGAAACCAAAGCTAACAAGCAAAGGATGCCTATTTAAATCAGAATATACACGAGGAAAACTTAAAAAAAACACATTATTTTCTGTCTTTAGAGGGATAAGATATTATATCCTTGATACAGAAGCTGATTGCTATGTAAAGGGAAAAATTAAAACATTGATAATTAAGAAATGTGATGACTGAGTGCTATGAATGGTTAGAAAACAAAATTGAAGAATATCCAAGAAAGTAGGGCAAAAAATCAGAGATGGAAATTAGGAGTAAAAAAAATATGACCATTAGACAGTCCAGGAAGTCCAGTATCTGAATACTAGGAGTTCCAGAAAGAGATAACTACAAAAACAGAGGGGAGGAAATCACCAATGAGACAGTTCTAGTACATTTGCTAGAACAGAAGGATATTAGTATCCAGATTGAAATGGCTCATTAAGTGCCCTTACAAATAGATGAAACAGGCCTATCCCAAGGGTACATCTTTGTGACATCTCAGAAAAGTAGGGACAATTGGATCTTACAAGTTTCTAGGCTGGGCACAGTGGCTCACGCCTGTAATCCCAGTACCAGAGGCAGAGGCGGGTGGATCGCTTGAGCTCAGGAGTTCGAGACCAGCCTGGGCAACATGGCGAAACCATGTCTTTACCAAAGATACAAAAAATTAGCGAGGCTTGGTGGTACGTGCCTGTAGTCCCAGCTACTCAGGAGGTTGAGATGGGAGGATTGCTTGAGCCTGGGCGATGGAGCAAGACTCTGTCTCAAAGAAAAAAAAAGTTTCTAGAAAGAAGAAATGTATTACAAAAGGTCAGGAATCAGCCTGATTTACCCGCAGCCATGTGGGAAGCTAGAAGGCGAAGGAGAATTGCCCTCAAAGTTCTGAAGAAAAATGATTTCCAGTTGACAATTTTATATCTGATCAAACTATCACTCAAGCAAGAAGGTAAAAGAGAAACATTTTCAGATAGGTAAAAATATAAAACAAAAAGAAAAAAATAAAACTTAGCCCGATGCACCTTCTCTCAGGAAGCTATTGGAGTTCTTCACCATGAGGAGGGAGTAAACCAAGGGAAACATAGGATCCCGGAAATGGGGGCCAACACAGAAGATGGAGTATGTGAGAGGGGGCCCTTCATAGTCGTGATAAAGTGGATGCAGGACATTGATCTAAACTAAATCATGACAAAACTATTGCAGAGGATAGGGAAGAGGTGAAAGAGGGCTAAACCCTTACCTTCTATGATGAGGAAAAAACCTTAAAAATCACCAAGGGGCTACATAAGCATATTATTAAAAATATGGAATGGAATACCAAAAGAAACAGCTAAGGAATTGAAAGCTTATTGTTGTTGAGGGGCAGGTTGGGGAGGGGGGTAAGAAGAGAACTGTGGATTTTTTTTCTTCAATGAACCTTTTAGAACAAATTGACTCTTTAAATTATGTGTATAGGCCGGGCATGGTGGCTCATGCCTGTAATCCCAGCAGTTTGGGAGGCCAAGGTTGGGAGGATTACTTGAGCCCAGGAGTTTGAGACCAGCCTGGACAACATGGCGAGACCCCGTCTCTACAGAAAATACAAAAATTAGCTGGGTGTGGTAACGTGTGCCTGTGGTCCCAGCTACTCAGGAGGCTGAGGTGGGAGGATTGCTTGAGTCTGGGAGGTTGAGGCTGCAGTGAGTGCAGTGAGCTGTGATTGTACCAGCCTTGGGGACAGAGTGAGACCCTGTCAATAAATAAATAAATAAATAAATTAAATGTATGCATAAGAGATAAAGATTAAAACTAGA
Organism: Homo sapiens; assembly: GCF_000001405.40. Lineage (NCBI taxonomy): Eukaryota > Metazoa > Chordata > Mammalia > Primates > Hominidae > Homo > Homo sapiens. The sequence goes on from NW_018654718.1 coordinate 501,695, forward strand.
AAAATGAATAGCTGATTATTGGTGTTTATCTCCTTTAGATTTCTTTCTTTCTCTTTTTTTTTTTTTTTTTGAGATGGGAGTTTCGCTCTCATTGCCCAGGCTGGAGTGCAACGGCATAATCTCGGCTCACTGCAACCTTCACCTCCCGGGTTCAAGCAATTCTCCTGCCTCAACCTCCCAAGTAGCTGAGATTACAGGCATGTGCCATTACGCCTGGCTAATCTTTTGTATTTAGTAGAGACGGGGTTTCACCATGTTGGCCAGGCTGGTAGCGAACTCCTGACCTCAGGTGATCTGCCCGCCTCGGCCTCCCAAAGTGCTGGGATTATAGGCGTGAGCCACCGCTCCTGGCCTAGACTTATTTCATGTAAGTAAAACAAGAGTCCTGTGTTGTCCATTCATTTATTCCACAGATTTTGTTTTGAGTATCTGTTATGTGCTGGGCATTGAGGCAATTTCTTTTCTCCTTATTTCCCCTTGTTTTCATTGCTCCTGTTCTGGACCGTCCTGCTGGGATCCTATTTAATTTGCTAGTTACCACCTGCCCTATACGCCTCTGGATTTCTGCTGGGTGTGGCTGTGGCCCTAGTGCGATGTCAGGGAGGTCTTACTTAATGCTTCTCTCATGCTCTCCAGTGGTGAGTTGTCAGAAGTGGTACGTTTTGCTTTTTCTTCTGAGATGGGAGAAGCGTGCTGTATCCACAGATTCCTAGCTGGCACAGTTGACTGTTTATTTGCTTAGCACATGGCCTGACACATAGCAGACACTCAGTGGCTGAATAAACATGGTAACTGTGACATGTACTCACTTTCTCTCTCCTGTCTCTGATCCTCAAAGAGGACCAAATATCTGCCACCCTGCATCCTCAGACGGCTCGTAACTTTGGCAAAAAGGGGCCACCACAGAGGGCCTGCTGCAGCCTTCCCAGTTCCCTGTTGTTTCCACTTTTGCTACCTGAAATCTAATGATTTGAGATCCAGTAGTTTGCGTCTTGAAGAATATTTGGAAATTAAGGAAAATACAGGTGTCCCTAAGAGGAAAAATACTATGACCCATCATCACAGTAATTTCCAACCTGGAGCTCCCACATGCTGGGATCTCATAACAGGCATAATGGTGGCCAGAGAGCACTTCTTAATATTTCAAAACACCTAATGGAAACTGCCCATTTATTTAAGATAAGGCTGCAAAGAGTAACTAAAATGGCAAGTTTCTTTGCTTTCCAGTGAAAGAGTATCGATTTGGTATGGTAGCTCTGGTTATTTTTTATTTTATTATTATTATTTTTGAGACGGAGTCTTGGTCTGTCACCCAGGCGGGAGTGCAGTGGCTTGATCTTGGCTCACTGCAACCTCCGCCTCCCAGGTTCAAGCGATTCTCCTGCCTCAGCCTCCTGAGTAGCTGGGACTACAGGCGTGCGCCACCACACTTGACTAATTTTTATATTTTCAGTGCAGACAGGGTTTCACCATGTTAGCCAGACTGGTCTCGAACTTCTGGCCTCGTGATCCACCCTCCTCGGCCTCCCAAAGTGTTGGGATAACAGGCGTGAGCCACCGCACCCGGCTAGCTCTGGTTATCCTTTGCTGAACAGATGCTTGAGTTGATAGCTGTCTATCTGTGATAAACACAAGAATGGAAGGAGAGAATAATGATCAATAACAGCTTATGTGATTGACAAGACCTTGCCAAAGGCAGTGTGGATGTGGTGGGATGGGAAGGGGGTCTCTGGGAGGGGAGAGACGGGGGCACTGCATGCTACTTAGTTATTCCTGGGGTTTGTTGGCAGCTGCACTGAGGACAGAGGGCTCCAGACAGGGGCAGAGCAGGGGCACAGAGAGTGGTGTGAGGCTCTAAACGCCAGCTTGGTCGGCCCACTTTGTCATTTTGCTGAGGGCTGGTGGAGGTGCCGGTGTGGCTGTGCCAGGGGCCCCGCCTGTCACCTCTCCCTGCAATCCAGACCCCATCACAGAGCCCATGGCAGCGGAGATAAATGCTTCGGCAAGGCAAACGAATCTAGAGGGAATGGGAGCCTCAAGCCGTGAAAAATGATGGGGACTGTGGCCTACTTTCTTGCTTTGTAAGAGTCACTTGCACTTTTCTGGGGCACAGCCAAACTGACGGTGCTGTAGAACAGGATGTGCGAGAATGCTGTTTGGCAAACAAAGAGCGCTCTCTGGCCCCCAGAGGTTCTGGCTTTTGAGCCCAGACTAAAGAAAGCCAGGCTGGAGACCGTATATCAAACTTTGCAAGCCCGTTTATATACCTTGCTGGTGCCTCAGGGGGCAGAAATGCTGGTTGGGGATCTTTGTGTTTTGTTTTGAAAGAGTGATGTTTGGAAGCAGAAGCACTCAAAAATATATCCTGACCTCTGGCACTTAGAACCTCCACCAGAGCTTGGCACTTAACTGTTCTGTTTCTCGTGATATGTTCTAATTATCTGTTTCCAGCCAGATTGTAAGGTCAACAATGGTAGTTTATTTACGAGTAAGTCTTAGTTTTCTCATCTGTAGGAATGGGGATAAAAATGCAGGTTTGCTATGAGTGTTAGGGGTTCAGGGTTTAGTTTTGGGCCTAACTGCTCCTGTCTACCTGTCTACCCTTCCAGGGCCTCTCAGGACACACCTTACTCCCAAAGCACAATATCCAAATGGCAAAGAGGTTGTCCCTTTCTTAATGAGCTCCACAAGCACCTGACCACCACCCCCTCCCATTCGAGGCCTCCCTGTCCCCTCCCGCTGAACCTAAACCGCTCTGAGGAGCAGCTCTCCAGCCATCAGTCCTGCTTGGATGAGGATGCTGATTTTGTGTCTAGGGAAACAAGTCTGCCCCGTTTGCCTTCCACATGGAGGCTGAGGGTACAAGAGAAAGTTGGGGGAAATAGCAAGCAAAGTTCAGAGGGCAGTGGTCCATTTTTTCTTATCAGCCACAAAACAAAAAATAAATAAAAGAAGGAGGAGGCCGTGTCTTTGAGGCACAGTAAGCCTGCCCACTGAATGTCCCTGAGAGTAACTAGTTATAATAGCTACTCCTTCTACAGGGAGACCTAGAGACGGGGCAGAGAGAGGAAAGGACGTGCCCCCGTGAATAGCAGAGGGGTGAACAGTAGGCCTGGGGGAGAAATTGCCTTCCTGACAAGAAGAGTTGGAGATGATGAATACAAAACCCCTGGGACACTGCCTGGCCCATAGTGATGTTACCATCAGTAGTGGCTTTGCCGTTTCCAGATTGACATCCATGCCCTAAACAGAGAACTTTGCTGAGATGAAATTTCCTTGTTGGTATACTTTTGTGAACCACTCCATTGAGAACCAGCACAAAGCCATTGCCTTCTTGAACGTCTTCATTAAAACTAGAATAATCTCTGCCCCTCATTTGCCCATGCACATGGAAAACCCACGGATATGCCTTCCCTGATGGAAAATATGACCACTGACTGGAGTTCGAGACCAGCCTGACCAATATGGAGAAACCCCATCTCTACTAAAAATACAAAATTAGCCAGGCGTGGTGGTGCATGCTTGTAATTCCAGCTACTTGGGAGGCTGAGGCAGGAGAATCACTTGAACCCAGGAGGCAGGGGCTACCGTGAGCCGAGCCGAGATCACGCCATTGCACTCTAGTCTGGGCAACAAGAGTGAAATTCCATCTCAAAAAAAAAAAAAAAAAAGTGACCACTGAAATGTGTATAATGCTTTAAAATTGACAGTGCATTTTCTCATCCATCATTTGAGCCTCACAACAGCCTTGTGACGTAGGCAGTATTCGTATTCTCACTTCAAAGATAAGGAAGCGGATGCTGGAATGGCTTGGGCACCAGGCCAGGTTCATACAGTAAGTAAATGGCCAAGGCAGGGTGTAATCTTTGGACTCCACACCCAGCGCTCCTTTTTTTTTTCTGTCATCTGTGATGCTTCTTCCACCCTGCTATTGATAGCCTAGGAACAAGATGTGTGACTTTTCTTACCACCCCCTGGTGGGTACATCCTGGGTACACTTTTCTGTTTTCTAGTGGGGGTAAGGAAAATGGCTTTCAGTGGTGAAGGTTCACAGAAAGAATGGGATCCAGAAGCGTCTTCCAGCATGGTCCAGGTGCCAGAAGACTTTGGCAGGCGAGTTGACCATGGCTGAGTCAGGCCCTCCTCCCCCGCTCCCTGGATTTTGGATCGATTTTGCAGCGGCTCTGGCGGCTGCATGTGTTTCCCTTGGCCTCTGAGGCATTCCAGTGATGATGATGGCTCGGCGGGGTCACGGCCCTGTACAAAGCAAGGGCTATTTGTGGCTGATCTAAAACATAACTGGAGCCACCTGCATCCGAGGCTGGCTTCTCGGGCTCTGGGTCCCATAACCCAGCTGGAGTAAAAAGTTCACGTTCCCGTGTGGAGTAGATACCAAAAGTGACGTCTCTTTCTTTCTTTAGGTTTGGCTGCGTAATTGGAAAACCAAGCTGCCCGCCACCTTGCCGTGGCTTCTTCTATCCCTAGGGCCTGGAGTGGGCTTCCTCCCTCCCCTCCTCTATCTAAACCCTCCTTGCTGCAAGACCCTGCTCCTTTCACGGAGTCTCCATTCCCAGAATGTATGTGACCTCATTGTTTGTCATCCATGTTGGGGCTTTTAAGAATATCCCCTTGCACCATTTTATGACTGCTTCATGGACAATAATCCTGACTGTGTTCTTTGGGGCCAGACACTGGGTCTGCTTTCCTTCCTCTCTCACAGTGCCTGGCTGTGCTGGGTACACATGAAGGCTGACGGTTCACTGAATGAGGCATTGTGGAGGGCGTAGAAAACATGGAGACCTGGGAACCCAGAGACCAGGTTTTGTTGCCAGGGCAAATCCCTTTGCCTCTCTGGGTTGCTCAGTCCATATCTGTAAAATGAGAGTTGAACTGGATGATCTTTAAGGTCCATTTCAAATTCAAAGTTCTGGAACTAATTGTAGACTAAGCCGAAGAGATGCTCATTGCCTTTACCTGTCTCTCTCTGCTCCCCATATTGCAGCCTGGTAAGCTGTTGTGGCTTATCACCCGCACCTCTGATTTGCCTGAATGTAACTTAAAAACTTGTCTTCATAATATCAGGAAGGTCACAAAAGAGAATGAGGGAGTGTTGAGTAGTGTTTAGAAGCAGAGACTGGGGAATCAGACAAACTTGGGTTTCAGTCTTAGCCCTACCACTTAATAGTTGTGTGGCCTTGAGCAAGTCACCTTGTTAAGTACCACTTTCTTTTCAGAAACATGGAGTTAATGCCAGTCTCACAAGGCAATGGAGGAATATGTGAGATAATACAGGTATGGCGCACACACAGTGTCAGAGCTCACTCAATGGTGGCAGTCATCGTCATTGAAGTGGGGAGGGGAAAGAAGCAGAGGGGTGTGTTTTCTAGTCCTTTGGTGAGCATTTTCTGACTTGTAAACTATTGGTTGCATTTTAAGACAGTGCCTTTATCATTTTCATAAGCAGTGTAATGATTTGAGGAAAACCATTTTAGTTCTAATAAGAACACTAGCAGTACTAATTGTGCACATGATAGCATTTTAATAGAGTTCCATAATTTATGGAATTGGGAAGACTTACAAAAACATGGGTTGACTCTCTAGAGTCTTAGGTTTCTGGTGAGTGATTCAAACAGGCTGCTCTTGCTTCCTGCCAGTGCAAATAAATCAATTGTAAACCTGCACTTTTAAACAAAATTGTGAAAAAGGAAACAAATCCAGTGATAAGAAACTATTTTAACAAGACACTTCATTCTTGAGGTGATTTGCTAAGGAGAGATTTTCCAGATTGTCCCTGAACTACCAAAAGCAACAGACACACTGTGGTACTTGCTTCTCTTTTTCTAGCTGCTCTGGGTTTAAGTAACTGAAGCCTTCTCAAGTATTAAATTTGGAGGGTGGCTCAGTGATCTAAGCAATGAAGACCCAAGAAAGACTTTGGGTCTGAATCAAAGTTTTCCAACTGCCTTGCTTTGAGTGCTTGGAAAGTCACTTCCTAACCTTGGATACCTCAATCTTACCAACTAAAAGAGTGGTAGATGGCGGGATGAACATCGCCCAGCTTTAGACAGTGAAACCTGGATGAACTTAACCTGGCTTAAGATGATCCCTTTCTGTTTAAGTGGAAAATGCATGGTGAGTGAACATTACCTTTCAAGCAACTTCTGGACAGAGTCCATATGTGTGTGTGTGTGTATGTGTGTGTATTAGCCTGAAGTTCAAGTACTTGCAAAGGTTTCTAGCACACAGTGTGCAGTAGGTGAGCTAGACTTAGTTAGACTTAGGACTTCCAGATCTCCCATGTCTTGACAATTGTGTTTAACTGAGTTTTAACATTGACTCTCAGAGTCAGAAAGAATTCCAGAAGATAAAGGAAAACCAGAAAGCCAAACTTTAATAAATACTCAGAGAGCAAAAAGAAATAATGGAAATGGCATACGTGCAGAGGGCACGTAGTTAGTGAAGAAATAGCTTTTGATGAAACAGGACAGGGTGAAACTTCAAAGACTTGTCTTTTATCCATTAATCCCATTAGTGCTCCAGCGATTTCTCAAAGATTGATTATCTCTGGGGAAATGTGTTACATCAGCCCTCAGCTTTCCAGTCCCATTAGACCCAGCAAACATTCTGTGCTGCTGGGATGATGGGCTTCTGTGCCATGTTTACCCATATTCCTCCAGCTTGGCCCCCTCCTCACCAGCTCCAGTCAGGAACAGAGAGAGGCCTCTACCATCAGTAGTCATTCTTTGGGATTATCACTCACACCCCTTTGGAAGGGAAGAGAAACATAAAGATAATGGGCAAGCAGCATGTGCTCAGGTTAACTTTACATTGGCTGATCAATTCTTCATATAGCCTTGGGCGTTTATTAGGACTTTCATGGTGGATAGACACACTGTCCCCATTCAAAGTGCCTCTAAATTAGAAGTGAGATACCTAAGGAGTGTCAGCAATGAGGAACAATGGGCTTCTCTTGAAGTCTTGCTCTCTGTCTAGTATGGTGGGCAAAGGAATTTATCGGTTACTAATTTTATAAATAACCTTCTCACAGTCTCTGTTTTGTCATATGTAAAATGGCAGCAATGTAATGTATCCCTCATAGCGTTGTTAGGAGGACTAAATGGGTTAGTATTTGTTAAATGCTTGGCATTGTGCCTGCCTCACACCATACAGGCACTCAATAAAAGTTAGCTGAAATTATGTTAACTAGTCTAAGCAGAGGATTAGTAGGCACGTTGGAACTGATGCTAAGAAGGAATAAGACTCACCTTGGGAAAAGTGGGGATCAGGGAGAAGACTAGGCAGCAGGCTTCTGAGTGTGGGAGTGTGCAGGATGTGAGCACATCTCTGCAGTGCCTGCGCCCTCCTTGCCACAGAAATAACCTACACCAGACGTAGTAACAGAAAAAGAACCCAAGCATTTTCAAGACAATGTGAGCAAGGTAGAAAAGGGCGACCCATGAGTCAACAATACTCAAGCTTTTATCAGTCTCAGTTTCTTCATTCTTTGTTTCATTCATTCAACCCACGTTTATCATCAAACCTGTGCTGTTGATTGATGTTATAGATAAAAATGAACCACTCCCTACTCTCAAGAAAGCAGAAGAAGGAAGCAGGTAAGTAACTAGACAATTATATAACAAGTTCCTGAGTGATCAGGAGGAATGAAGTGCCCTGGGAAGGCTTCTGGGAGGAGTTGATTCCTAAGATTAGATGAGTGAGAGTTATCTAGTGAGGGGAAAGGCATGGATGACAGAGCATTGTGTGTGACAAATCCTTGTCTGCTAATTCTCACATTTAACTCATCTCAGAGTCAGTCTCCATTGATTGCCTATTAAGTATGGGCCATATTTTTATGTCTAGTAATTTTGGATTATATTCTAGACATTGTTGATGGTCTAGTGTAGAGACTATGGATTCTATTATGTTTCTCTGGAGAGTGTTGACTTTTTATTTTAGCAGGCATTTAATTTGACTGAACTCAAACACCAAACTATCTCCTCCATGGGGGGCAGAAGCTGAAATCTCTGATCAGTTCTATTAATTTTAGATGGGTTGCTTGGAATCTGCCCCATGCATGTATAGCTCAGGAGTCAGCCACAGATTTGGATGGAGTTTATATGCAGAATTTGGAGCATCCCTTCTGAGGCTTTCTCCTTTTGGGGATTTCTGCTTCCATTTTCCAGCTGCCCCAACCATTTGCTCCTTCCATTTTCCAGCTGCCCTTCTGATCCTGCAGATTTCTATCTAGTTTCTAATCACTCTATATACTACAGATTGGGTTCTGCTCTCAAGCAAAAAACTGTGAAACCCAGAAACTCATCCAATGCTCCCTTCTCCCAGGTTCTGCCTGCTTTGAGTTGCTCTCTAGTGCATGCAAATAGGTATTTTTAATTTTTTGCTAAGTAATAGTTATGTTCAGATGATAGGTCCAATATACACTACTCTGAGATATTGGAAGCAAAACTCCCACAATGGATATTTCAAGAACTGCAAGTAGGTCAGTTTGTGTGTGGGGGGGAGTGTTTGTGTACATGTGTGCATGCGTGTGTTACAGGGGCATGGAAATATGCACAGCTTAAAGAAAGGCAGAGGTCAGATCATCAAAAGCCTTCTGGGTTATATTAAGGAATTTGAACTAGATCCTGAAGGCTGTGATGGAGAGCTTTAATCTTAAGAGTAAAATGATCACAACTGTTCTTAGAAACATTGCTGGGCATCTGTATGAAGGATGAATCAAAAGAGGTAGAAAGATAGGGGATTGATGGGGAAACAGAATTCAGTTTTTGTCCTCTGGAAGATGAGGGGTTGAACTAGATGATCATTAATGTCTCTTATGGCTCTAGTATTCCGATCTTCCCATTAATGACTTTACTTGGTCCTACTGTAGCCAGGAGTTCCCACAAGGCTGTTTTTTGCAGAGCACTATACACAGCCCTTGAAGCCCAGGCTTTAAAAAATGCCATTTAGTGATATTTTATGGCTTGTGAATAGATTAAGGTAATGGAGGCACAAAACAACACAAATGAATGCACCACGGGTGGGTAACAGCCTTTGAATTTCTCCAGCTCTCCCTTCAGACCTCCTGTATCACAACAGGTATTTGGTCATTTTATGTGATCTTAAATGGCCTACTATTAACCTGACTTTGATTTTTTTTCAGTCCTCAGAGAGGTGGAGGTGGGCCTAGCAAGAACCCAATGCTAGGGATTCATTGCAAAGTGTACCCAAATTGGGAAGGGTGAGAAGCTATTCTATGATGGTCTTATGAGAACCTCAGGAGATGCTGGTGGTGGTGTGATGGGCATGTTGGTTTCATCCTTTCCTGTTTCTGAACCAATAGGAAAATGAGGCTTCCTGAGCCTCAGGATGCCCTACCCTTTCTAAGGCTTCCTGGAGAGCAAAGAGTTCCTGCTCTGCCCTGGTGTGAGTCAGAGACTGTGATGACACACTGAACAGCAACACCTGTCCTTGCTGGGGAGGGGATCCAAAGTCCAGCCGCTCGCCTTCAGCATGACACATTTTTCTGTGCTTTGCCTCGTTAAGAGCTCAGGTCCTTTAGTGCTTGAAAGTAGCTGAGTGCACCACCTCTGTAAATCGATCCCGCACTCAGTTCGTGAAACATCAGGTTTTAGGAATTGGAGAGGCAGCAATATAATTTTTGTGTGCTGTTGCTTGAGTGAACTGTAAACCAAGGCTTTCTACCCAGGATTGCACGGCTTTTTACTTTGATGAATGTCATTTTACTCAGAGCTGACTAAATGATATTGTCTTATATGGCTCTCAAATTTTTCTCTGATCTGTTCCCAATCTGAAACGTGTGAGTACATCACTTCAGATATTTGCTAGGCATCTGAGCTTGGCCTGAGGATATTCACCAGCATGATTGAGAAAACATGCTTGTCCTCAGGAAGGCCCAAGTCTAAGCACCTGCTCATGCCCCTTCCTTGGCTGTGTGGCTTTTCTACGCTGCAAACCAAGCTTGTAGACATGGTGTACCTTTCCATAACAGGTCTCTCTCTTCTGTCATGTTGTGGTCACTGAATTGGATTTGGCAGAAATACCAGAAAGTGGAACATGTGGTCGCAGCATGTGACCTTCAAGTCAGGTCACGGCTGGCATTTGCCAGCCTCTGTTTGTTGGTTCTGGTGGAATCAGGCCTATGTGTGGACTCTGCTCCTACTATTTGAGGGCATTGTGAGGCCTTTTCTGAGTGTGTCTCCTGCCTCCTTGACTCCGGGCCTGAAGTTTCTGCCATTGATGTAACTCATATGTGTTACAGCATTGCCTCCAGAATTCTCCTATTTGTGAAGGCCTATTCTGTTAGAACAGGTTGATTGAGGAGCACATTACCTACTTCTGGTGCTCCATCTGGGGACTGTGGACAGCAGAAGAGTGGGGTGAGGTGAGCTTGAGGGGTTGAGGGAGAGTGACACAGAAGAGCAGGGCTGGCTCCCCTGAAACAGGAGGCTCCCCTGTCAGTTGTGGCAGGCTCTCTGCCTGGTTTTTTCCACTCCTTTATCCCCAGCACTTAACCTCATGTTTGGCTCATAGTAGATGCTTAGGAGATGAAAGCCTCATGTCCAACCATGGCCAACAGTTAAATCTGTGAATCTCAGGCTTGATTTCAGCTTGGCCAGGTCTGAGTCATTAAAGGACGCTTTGCATTTTTGGATAGTGGAACTTTTGCCATCTTATTCTTTTTCCATGGTGTCATGGCTTTGGCATGATCAGGGTTATGAAAAAAGGGGGATAAGCCCTCTACTCTGCTTTACCTGCCGTGACTGAGATCAGACACTGGTTTTTAGAGGGAAATGTCCATTTTAGAGCAAGAGAGAGAAGACCTTAAGCATGACCTAAAGAAAAGAGAGAGGCCAGGCTGTCCCACCACTTCATGCTTGGTTGACTGAGCCAAGTTTGACTGCAAGACTGGGTCTTGGCCCAGGATGGAGAATATTCACTAATGAGGCAATTGACTTCAAGAAGATCAAAATAATTAGTCAGTTTTCACTGCTATAGTGAGTCACCCTTGTGAAGACATTATGTTCCAACTGAAGAGTGAGGGAGTTGAGGTGGAAGTCTCCTGGCTCCTGCTCCCTGGGGAGTGCAGAGTGTGTCTAGAAGCCTGGGCTGGTAGGCCATGGAGTGGGGACCTGAGCTGTTTCCTTCTGCCTGTGCTTTTTCTCTTTCCTCTCCCACGTTCACTGGGAAGCAAGGAAGTTGAGGACACGTTACCTCAGTACGTACCACAATACGCATTAGAGGTCTGCTTCCTAGGCCCGTAGATTCTAGGGAGGGCACTCCAGGCCTGCAGGGGCCCTGAGGCAGGGGTTGGTGGGCATGAGAATGGGACCCACCCCTGCTGCTTGGGAGGGTATGTGTTGCCCTTGGAGGCAGGGAGAAGGGCTGGTCTGTCCCTGTGCTTGGGCACTCCCATCTGCACAGTGCCCTGTGGCAGGGAGAGATGGCCTCAGAGCCTGTGGTTCCTTTACCGTGGATGGCTTTTCACGTGTGGGGCTGGATTGCTGAGAACATCTTTTACCTGGCGGATCCCTGAATAGGTGAGGTGGACTCGGGTCTGGAAAGTTAATTTACATCTTTTCTGAAGGCCAGGGAAGGGCAGGGGCAGCCTGACCTGTCAGGGCGATACAGTCTGTAGCTGTTTGGCCAGAGTGAGAGGAGTGTCTGATGGAACAGGACTTGCCTTGGAACTGAGCAAACTGGCCCCGTAGAGATTAAGCCTTGGACCTTTGTTCGCCTGAGTCCCCCACCCCAGCCAGCTCACAGATAGGAGGCTGGAGAAGGGAGTGGGGTGGATCACACGCCATCCCCACATGCTCTCTGTGGGCCTGTTCTCTCCACGTGCGAGGAGGGATGAGCATTCTGCAGGGAGTCCGTCAAGATGAGTCCATGGTGGAAAAGCTCACAGACGGGGAGGTGGGGACTCCACAGGGTTCCGCCATTTCCTGGGAAGGGAACCTTAGGAATGTCACTTAAACTCTTTGAGCCTTCTTTCTCTTCTTTCCTCCCTCCCTTCTTCGTTTTCTCCCTCTCTTCCTTTTCCCCACAAATATTTTCTGAGTGCCCATCAGGAGTTGTAAATGCTGGAAATGCAGTGAAGAATAGCATAGACAAGGCTGGTGCTATGGCAGGAAGAGAGGGAAAAATGAAGCAAACAGCTAAGTCAGTCAGACTTTCAAATACGGGTAAGTGCTTTCAAGAAACTAGGATAACAGGTGGAGAGGGGCATGCGACTATCTCAGATAGCAGAGGAGAGGAAGGCCTCCCCGAGGGAATTCCACTTGGGCTGTGACCCTGTGATAAAGAGCCACTCATGATAGGTCTGGGAGGACGGCCACTATGCACAGAGGCAGCAGCACATGCCATGGCCCTGAGGAGGGAAGACCAGTATGCAGATGACCACAGGGCCCTATGGGAGGACAGAGACCAGTCTCTGAACCGAGCTGTGGGAGAGCGTGAATGCAGGGTTGTTCCTGCTTTGGACCGTGGACAATAAATAAACTCCTATTGTGCCTAGAAACCGCCTCAGTGTTGGGGTGTGTTTGCTGCAGCAGCTAGTGCCACCCTAACGACTGCAGTCTAATCATTGTGTGTGGCAGTACACACAGGACCTGAAGCAACCAGGAGCTTGAGCGCAGGGAAGTAAAGCTCATTATCACCTCAGCAACAGGGGCCCTGGGAGAACCAAAGGCCTGCTCCTCTCTGCCGCTGGCTGTTTCTGCTAGTCTGAGCCAGAGGCTCTATCCTGCTGTAATGTCAGTTTAAAAGGCAGCCTTTCCAGACTCTTGTCACATCACCAGGAGCTCTTGGTCCTCTAATTAAGTAGTAATGTGCTTGTCCAATAAGTGCCATATGGTTGCAATGAATCAAACCCAAATTATCTTAGCTCTAAAAATTAATATTACTAATTATGATAATCTCACAATTTTATGTCTGCTTTTCTTCTGAAGAGCTCAAAATGCAAGTATTAAAATAATATGTCCAAATATCCTACATTAGGAAGAAAGGAGGACCCACGGAGAAGTTGGGAAGATGGCATCCAACGTTAAGATAAGGCTCCCGTCTTTCTCTTGTCTTTATCTCTGACTTCATAAAGATAGCTAGTCTTTCCTGGCAATAAGCCAGAATAGTGATAGGATTAGGGAAACGGGATTATCTTAACGTCACAGAAAGGAGATGAGGCACAAATAAGGGAATGAAGCTAATTAGATACTGCAAAATGCCAAGATTGGAGAAAACTGGAATAGACTTACCCTGATGGACCTTGTCTGTGGAGAACGGATATAGGGTGGGTCCAGGGAGACTGGCCAGCCTTGGCTGGGGCCTCATGGGACCAGAAGTGGCAGTGGACAGCAGAGTTGGTGAGGAGCTGGGAGGGGGATTCACCAGGAAGGACTGAGTTCTGAATGGCAGGGACGTTTGCAGACAGGAGACTGGCGTCTGTCCAGGAGAGAGCAGGGCTTACTGTGAGCGAGGGAAGCAGTGGGATGAGTGTGTCCGGCGGTGTCTCTTACTTAAGAGTGACAAAGGAAGAGTGCAGGAGTTTCCGTGTTTGGCCCTAACCCAGGTCCACTTCACTGCCCTGAGAGATGTAGTGGGATGATGGAGGGGACTGGGGGCAGAGTGGATATTTAAGTCTGAGGGGAGAAGTTAGGAAAGGGTTGTGGGTCACAGAATTAGAGAGTTACCAAGGAAACTGCAGAGACCATTACTTAGTCAGTTCTCCATTTCCAGGAAGGTTTGTCACCATAGGAAAGAAATTCATTAACCTTTTATTCAACGGGTATTAATTGGCTATCATGTGCTTTTCTTACCCCACAAGAGCTTATGATGGAAGGTGATCATACAATTTATCATCCAAATTGGGATACATTTGAGAAGGAAAGGCGGCAGATTATGTGGGAACAAAGACTGGCCCATGCCAGCTGGGACATGTGGTCACCTTACTTATGATCTATGAGATGTATAATCACCCCATTTGTTGATACCAGGTGCAGTGAGATGCATGCTCTATGTGCAGTGTGTGTTTTCACCCTGTATCCCCATCTTCTGCTGGGAGCGGGACTCCCTTTCTCCCCGCCTGAGCCTGTTCTCCTCAGTAGCAGGATCCAGCTCAAGCCCTACCCCCACCTGCTCCACCACAACTGCCCCACTGCCACCACCACTAGGCTTGCTCCTTAACCTTTCTGTGCCTCAGTTCCCTGATCAGTAAAACGGGGCTAACTATAGTACCTACTACTAGAACTGTGCCTGACTCAAAGTAGGCACCAGATGTGTCCTGCTATGATGATGGGGAGCCCTGTGATTTGGTAACTTCCCCAATCTCTCTGCACTTTTGTTTCCTCATGTGGGAATCAGGGACAATATTACCTACCTTTTAAGGGCCTGGAATTTAAGAAAAATTAGCCCCCTTCCCCCTTAGAATCAGCAGCAGACATCAAAGGGCGAGTTTTAATACTTCCCACACAAGTTCACAGATTTATTACATAATATGTTTAGTTGTGGTTAAAGAACATCTAAGGGGCGAAGGAGCTGCCCAAGGGGAAGGAGGCAGACGAGAGGGACATGTGTGGCTTTGCATGGAAAAGGGAAGTGGTATCCCAGATAAATGGTGGCCAGCCTTCGAGGGCTCTCAGGCAAGAGAGAAAACTCTAGACATCACCAGTGCCTGGGCTTTGTTGCAGGCAGAGGTGCTTTCTCTAGAAGGGAAAGCAAGTCCCTATAGTCATAAAATGAGCAGCTCTTCAGCTGCTAGTACTTGACCTCCAACCAGAATTGATGGGGTGCTCAGAACTATTCTAGGTACTTTGAATTTTTTTAACCTCATTAAGTTCATCTATAAGACAGGTAGTTTTTATATTTTAAAATGATTTTATAACAGAAAATTTCAAATGTAATCAAAGAGACATAGATAATGAGTTCCCGTGCTCCAGCTTCAACAGTTATAAACAGTTGCTGATTTGGTTTTATCTATTTCCCTCAAGATTTTTTTTTCTTTTCTGGGATGTTTGGAAGCAAATTCCAGCAATTATATAATTTCACCTGTAAGTACAGTTTACCCTTGAACAACATGGGGGTTAGAGATGCTGACCCTTGGATGGTCAAAAATCTGCACATAAATTTTGACTCCCGCAAAGCCTAACTACTAACAATCTACTGTTTACCTGAAGCCTGACTGATAACATAAACAGTCGATGAACACATATTTTGTATGTTGTATGTATTATTTAGTGTATTCTTACAATAAAGTAGGCTAGAGAAAAGCAAATGTCATTAAGAAAATCCTAAGGAAGGTAAAATATATTTACTATTCATTAAGTGGAAGTGAACCATTGTAAAGGTCTTCATCCTCCTTGTCTTCACATTGAGCAGACTGAGGAAGAGAAGTAGGAAGAGGAGGAGGAGGAGGGCGGCTAGGTCTTGCCATCTCGGGTGGCAGAGGCAGAAGAAAATCCACATGTAAGTGACCCACGCTGTTCAAACCTGTGTTGTTCAAGGTCAGCTGTACTTTGGCATGCATCTCTAACAGACAAGATTTAAAAAAATATATATCACCAAATGCCTCTATCACTCCAGACAACAATAACAGTAAAACGCAAGAGATCCTTAACATCATCTAATATTCAGTTCATATGTAAATTTCCCTTATTATGTCGAAATATCTTTGCCGGTTGGTTTGAATCAGGATTCTAATAAAGTCTACACATTACATTTGCTTGTAGGTTTGTAAATCTCTTTTTATCTATGATTGTTCCCCCTCCCATTTTGCATGTCATTTGTTTGTTGAAGAAACTAGGTCAGTTGTCCTGCAGAATGTCCCTCATTTTGATTTGGTTGGCTGCTTCCTTATTGTCCCTTAATTTATTCCTTCATCCTCCATGTTTTCTGTGACCTCGGAGTTAGATTCAGGTTCCGTTTGTTTTGAAGGGAGGGTCAAGGATGTGCCAGCTGTGGTTATGCCCCTTCCTGTTGTGACACTGAGATGGGTGGGTGGGCTCCGGGATTGGCAGCCTCATCCTTCATCTATTACTGAGGCCCCATCAGCCTTTCCCCTGATGGTTTTCACATCCATTGACGATTGTTGCCCAGATCCATTATTTCATTAGGGCTTGAAATGCTCATTTTCTGATTCTGTCATTCCTTTTGCGTTGAGTAGCTGGAATTCTTCTATAAAGAAGAACGCTCTCTCATCAACAGTTTGGTTACCCTGAAATACCATGTGGCAGAAAAAGCAGGACAGGTGCTTTCTCATCACTTACCGGCTTTCAAAGTAATGAGTTGGTCCCTTGCAAAGGAGGATAGGTCTTTAATTAATTGATTAAACAAGTATTTATTGAGTTCCTGCTATATGCTGGGTATCGTTCTAACATCCTGATGGTTCAGCAGTGAACAAAACAGATAAAAATCCCTGCATTCTTGGAATTTACATTCCAATGGGGGAAGATGGATAGTGAACAAATTGGTGTGCTATATATTTAGTTCAGGGATGATACAGGCTATGGAGGAAAGCAAAGCAGGACAGGGACATGAGGATGCTAGAGGGGTGGGATGCTAGAGGATGCTAGGAATTTGGGTTTGCAATCTTGAATAGGGTAAGCAGGCTCAGGAGGTGACATTTAAGCAAACTCTTGAGAAGGTGAGAAATTGCTGGAGAGGAGCAGGCCAGGCAGAAGGCTGGAGTGCGTGAGGTAGGGATGCTGGTGTGGAGCCCGTGTGGGGAAGATGGTAGGAGACGGGCCTAGAGAGGTGGTTGCAGGGGCAGACCAGGCAGAGTCTTAGAAACCATTTTCAGGGCCTTGGTTTTCCCCTGGATGAGATGGGCAGCCCTGGAGGACTGTAAGCAGAGGTATAGTCTGACTCACGTTTTTAAAGGGTCCTGCTGGCCGCTTGGGGAGAAGATGGAGAAGTCAAGTAAGGGTAGAACTGAGTTTAGGCTTGAAAGCAGAGAGCCTTCAGCCCTGGTCAAGCTTCCTTCCATGTCAGCTAGGGCCTATTGGGGGGGTTGGAGCTGGGGGGCAGCAAGTGCTTCACCTGTTCCTAGGGGTTCTCTGTGCATGTGGCATTACAGGAAATGCTTCCAACTCAATCCCGTCCTTTAAAATTCCTAGGCATAGCATTCTCGAGCGCTTCAGGACATAAAATCCCGGAGCAGAAACCTTCCTCCCCGAGTCTCTAAACAATGGCTACATGTCCATCACCCCAGAGAACTGGAATTCCATTTTATACTGAAAGTGGGATACACGAGGACAATGCTATCACTTGACCCATCTTCTTTCATGGTTGGTGGTGAGTCTTTTGGACCGTCTTTACCATCACTGAAGAATTGGCATTGGCTAGCAAGGCACATTCAGGGGGAACTTCTCATGATTCCAGAACTCAGCATTTGTGGTGGGATCGGCCATCAGTCTACGGAGGGTGACCCCTCCACCCATGGCCAGGTCGGCTTAATCAATAGGTGTCTGATGGCATAAGGTGCAGAGCAACAGGGCACCTTTTCCTTTCCATCCAGATTTTCCCAGCCAGCTTGGAGAGCACTTTTTACCCAGGCTGCCTTCCCAACACCCAGAGAGCCCTTCTGTGGATGAGCATCTCTCCTTGCCTGTAACTCTCTCCTATCAAAGGCTGCTCGTGAATTTCTGGGTGCTTAGCAACCAGGAGAGGGGACGATACAAGCCGCCTCTATCCCTGTCAGGTAGCTGCTCCCGTTGTTCGTCTTCTCCTCTGGGTTTGTATATGCAGTGAAAGTAGCCAGAGAGACACTCCACCTCAACTTAAACAGCAACTTCCTAAATAAATAAAAAATACACAGAATCCAGTTCAAGCAGATCTTGCCTCAAAGACAGCTTGAAAGCATCCCTTCTCATTATTCCCTGCCTGATTTCCAGTGTTTCTCTCCCTTTCTTTCTTTCTCTTTCTTTTCTTGTCTTTCCCTCCCTCCCTCTCTCTTTCTTCCTTCCTCTCCTCTCCCTTCCCTTTCCTTCCTTCCCTTTCCTTCCCTCCCTCCCTCCCTCCCTCCCTCCCTTCCTTCCTTCCTTCCTTCCTTCCTTCCTTCCTTCCTTCTCTCTCTCTTTCTTTCTTTCTTTCTTTTTCTTTCTTCTCGCTCTGTTGCCCAGGCTGGAGTGCAGTGGCACGATCTTGGCTCACTGCAACCTGCGCCTCCTGGGTTCAAGTGATTCTCCTGCCTCTGCCTCCCAAGTAGCTGGGATTATAGGCTTCTGCCACCACACCAGCCTAATTTTTGCATTTTTAGTAGAGATGGGATTTTGCCATGTTGGCCAGGCAGGTCTTGAACTCCTGACCTCGGGTGATCCATCCGCCTCTGCCTCCCAAAGTGCTGGAATTACAGGCATGAGCCACTGCCCGTGGCTGATTTCCAGTGTTTCTATGTAACCCTCTGAGATTCCCACAAGCCTAGCATGAAGATGAGACACACCAAGGGAGGTGAGGAGCTAGGAGAAGGGCAGGCATCTCCAAATTGCAAGTTTCTTCTCAAACTGCAGATCTGCAGAGAAAAGGAAGGACACAGTGAAGGAAGCAGATTCTCCAAGGAAGGGATATCAGGACTTAGGAATGGACTCTTTGCCTCTTATTAAAAGGAAAGTTGCTTGCTGGGGAAGTAGCAGATTATTTCAAATGGGTATCCGTCCTTGGTAGCCACCAATATCCATCAGTTTAACAGGAGAGGAAATAGAGTTGTCATGCCAGGAGGATTTTGGAGGAGCCAGCGGCTGGCTATCGAGAAGGGAAGGGAGCTAGCACTTGCTGAGTTTCTTCAAGGGGCCATGCACTAACTGTAGGAAGCATGGACTTTGCTTTTTGCATGGGATGAACCTAACTCAGAGTTGATGCTGCATGTAGGATTATGTTTTTCCGACAATCCAGGGATCTGCAGAAGGCTTGCTACAGGATCTGAGCAGGAGTCTAAGCAGTTGTCTTGTGGTATCAATGCTCCTGTGTCTGGAGAGCTGGTCGCTAAGACCTGGAGTCTGGGCCCCTTGTGGGGGTGTCACAGAAGGCTGTGAACACCTCTCTGCTCCTGGAAAATGCCTTCCTTTCCTGGCCCCAGGACAGACTCTCCGACTTCCTTCATGACCGGGTTCCCACTCGGGAGCCTTTGGAACCGCTTGAGTACCAGATTATTAACAGGACCCGTGATTGTGATTTCTTCCCCCGTACAAATTCACAGACCCTGAGAAGAAAAGGAGAAGATAGGCTGGGCACAGTGGCTCTTGCTTTTAATCTCAGCACTTTGGGAGGCCGAGGCGGGCAGATCACCCGAGGTCAGGAGTTCAAGACCAGCCTGGCCAACATGACAAAACCCTGTCTGTACTAAAAATACAAAAATTAGCTAGTTGAGGTGACAGGCGCTTGCAGTCCCAGTTACCCAGGAGGCTAAGGCAGGAGAATCGCTTGAACCCAGAAGGTAAAGGTTGCAGTGAGCCGTGATTGCACCACTGCACTGCAGCCTGGTTGACAGAGCAAGACTCTGTCTCAAAATAAATAAATAAATAAATAATTTAAAAGAGGAGATAGATGTGATGGCGGTCTTTTCTGTACTTAGAACAACCTAATAGTTATTTAATGGATAAACAGGCATTAAAATGAATGTTTGATGACTTGGAATCCAGTCTTTTATAAAACTCTCAGTGTTCTGTGATTCCAGGCACTCATGGCTGTGGCAGGCATCCTGCCAGGTGGAGCTGGGAGTTCAGCACAGAAGTAAGTCGGGGAGGAGGTATGCATTGCCACAGACTTAGGAAGTGTTCCCTGGACCTGCTGATGATAGGTTGGTCTTAGCCATGTTCCTGAACAAGTAAGTTGTCTAATGAAAGGAAAACATACCAACCTGTTAGTGGAGTTAGCACCCTAGACCCATAGACTCTAAGGTTGGAAGGACTTTTGAAGTCATCTAGCCCCTTGCCCCACTCGATGCGTGATTAATACGCACCACAGAAACTCCGGGCTCTGAATACTGAACATTGACCCAGACCCCTATTGCGTTAGAAAATATTATTGCAATTAGTGGAATGCTGCTAGAATATTGGCTCCAGACCTGAGTCTCAAAGTTGGAAGAGATTTAGAAAGAAGGATGTCCAGAGGAAGGAACAGACATGAGTGAAGTTGGAAAATGGAGACTGGCAAAGAGTAGCTCGAAAAAGAACAAAGTTTCCTAATAATGACCACAAATGAGTATTTGGCTGTTCAATGGATATATGCTTGCTCCACGCTCATTGGATGCTAGCCTGCTCTCAGGAAGAGCTCTTGCCTTCCTGCCTCCAAACCACTGTACACACCGTTGCTAGATTGATCTCCCAAGAATCAGCTTCTACCATGCTCTTTCTCTGCTTCAAATGAAATTTTGATCATTTCTCTTCATCTGACAGGTGAAAATCAAAATTTTCTGAGCTTGGTCCTCAAGGCCCTTCCTTCTCCACTCATCCTTTGGCCAGGCAGGCCCTCCAACTGCCTCCTGAGCAGCCTCACTCAGGTCTTTGCTCATACTTGCTAGAATGGAGAGCACGTCTTCTCGTTCCCTGTAACCCCAACAGTGTCTGTTGTAAGGTTGAGCACACGGTAGATGGATGGATGAAGCCTTCATTCTGAGTAAACACGCATGCAAGTATAAACACATACCTACACACAGAAACACCACACACTCTTAAGTGTAGATGAAGAGAAAGAACCCTTTCTTTCTTCCCTGGTGTCTGGCAAAGGCCAAAGGGGTGGTGGGGAAAGCATTAGGATACAGAGGCTCTGGTTCTTGTTCCTCCCTGGAACTGGCTTCTGCTAGGAAGCCCAGCAGGGCCTGAGTGCTGGCAAGCCTGGCATGGAGCCCTCCTGCTTTGGAGGAAGCGAAATGTCCCAGCAGGATGAGTCAGTGGGAGAATGGAACCAGAAAGTGAGTCATTTTGGGAGCAGAGGCTAAAGGATCTTCTCTGCTCAAAGATATTTTAGGTCTTGGTAGGTTTTCCCCACTTCTCTTGTTTAGATATAAGTTTGGGGCATGTGACTACAGTGGCTCAGTTCCCAGATGTAATGCTGAGAGACTGTCCAGTGCGCTGCGTTCTAGAACATTTTTGCTGATAGGGAGGCCGTAAAGTGAGGGGCTGGTTTTGGAGCCAGGCAGATTGGGTTCTAATCACAGCGTGTCCCAGAATCAGCTGGGGACCTAGAGTGAGTTGTTTAATCTCTTAAAGTATAGTTTTTATCATTTTCAAAATGAGGGTTGTTGGAAATGTCAAATGGTTGTTCAGCAAGTGTTTGTTGAGTCCCTAGTGTGTGTCTGGCACAGAGCTGAGTGCAGAGTATGGGGTGCTGAATACTGCAGCCACGCATCCTGCCCTCTGGGGACGGGTGCAGCTTGGGATTGTGTTATATTTGTAGCAGTTCTGATGACAACAAGAATAAAATAAAACACCTGGATTTGTTTCATGAACATAACCCTCAAATCTGCACTCCCCTATTACGTGTTTGGGCAACTGAGTTTTGGAACCTACATATCAGACTCAAATGTTTTCTTCTGGGGGGTTACAGTCTGGGGAAGACCCCTGTGTAAAGCATGTAGCATAGTGCCTGTGGACAGGAGAGCCCAGTCCGTGACGGCGGTAACAATGATCATTACTACCTCTGTTATTTCCTGTAGCCAACTGACATCTTTGCACCTCTGTTTCCTCATCCAGAAAATGTTCAGCTGAATTGCAGTCCTTTCACAGAGGCAGTTCCTGAGTCTCTAGTCTTGGGGCTCATGCTTGAAGTTATTTAGAGAATCTCTAAGATACAAGTGGAGAGACAGCTGGAAGGGGCAGCACCCAGGCCTTCAGTGTGGGGACAGAGTTAAGATCAACATGATCACAGCAGACTGACACGGCGAGCTGAAACAAACAGGAAAACATTTGAGCCTGATGTTAGGTTCCAAAACTCAGTTGCTGAAAGGCGTAATAGGGGAGCGCAGATTTGAGGGTCATGCCCATGAAAACAAATCCAGGTGTTTTATTTTATTCTTGTTGCCATCAGAACTGCTACAAATATGACACAATTCCATGCTGCACCCACAGAATAGTGAGTAGTGTGTAGGCCAGGGCAAGAAAAAGAAGAGCAATAATATTCTAGTTATTGTAGGCCAGGGGACCCACATCCACGATATCGTTTTTTTACAGCTCATTACTGAATCCTCACAATAACCCCATGGGGTAGATATTACTGTTATTACCCTTTTATAGATGAGAACACTGGAGCTTAGCGAGGGTAAGTAATGGACTGCAAGGACACTCTGTCTCTGGCCCAGAGGAACAGCTGGAGGATGCAGGCAAGATGTGTGTTAAGGGGGTCCTGCAGAGTGGGGGTAAACTGATTCTGGATTACTCATTAATGTAGAACTCCGACCAGTGGGTGGAGGGTATGGGTTCAATAGGGAGCTCTTCAGAAATGGAACATGTTGAGAGGCCAGGAGTTCTCCATCCCTGAAAGCATTCAAGGAGAGGTTGGGTGGCTGTGGGAGGTATTGGAGAAGGGATTTTAACATCGGGAGGGAACTGGGGAGATTGTGTGTGAGTTTCTGTCTGCAAAAAAAAAAAAAAAAAAAAAAAATGACGGTACCAACCTTGAACCCATGTAATCTTCTTCAGTAATATTCAAGCAAGAACAGCCACCATAAAATTGTGTGAGCAAATCAGGTAATACTGGTGAAAGCCAAACACAGGCTCCCCGTTGTGTGAGTGAGAACATGACATTGTTACAGTGATGGGTTCATGCACCCTGGGGTGGGTATGCTGATGGTTTCTTCTGCTTCTGCTTCTACGAGGCCCCTCTCCCAATGCCTTTCCCAAATCTCTCCTTATGGGGTTTTTTTCCCCCTCCTAAACCACCTTAAATCGAAATCCACTCACATTTGTAGCCATTTCACAGTCTCTTTGCATATTGGTGAGCCCTGTCGGGGGTCGCTGGTATCTTATAGTATTGATGTTACAAAATGTAAAGTTACTTTGGGGAAATGACTTCTCTTCTGAAGCTTTTATAGGGAGAAGGTGGTGAGCTTACCCCTACACTCTCTCCTTTCCTTTGTCTAATTCCTCCACAGAACATTTGTCCGGTGCTCACTGTGGACTGGAAGTGTGCTAGGGACTGTGTACTGCAAGGTGACTGGGATGTGCGCCTGAGCATCCCTGAGTCCAAGGTAGGGGAAAGAGGAAGTGGTCCACGATGACACTGTGATGACGGCCATCCTGATGAAGGCACACCCCACCCTGCAGCGGCTCAGGGAAGGGGCGCGTGTGCAGACATCTTGCAGGCAGGGTTTAGATGGTGCTGTCCTCGGAAGAGAGGACTTTGGAAGAAGGTGGTCTTGGTTTCGGTCCTTAGTCCACCGGATGCCAGGTAATCCTTAACCTTTCTGAGCCTCTGTTCTTCACCTCTTAAATGGGGATATCACTTCCCCCAGATGATCTTTTATTTTGTTTTTAAAAAATTATTATTTTTAGTATTTTTAATAGAAATGGGGTCTCACTATGTTGACCAGGCTTGTCTCCGACTCCTGGCCTCAAACAATCCTCCCATCTCGGCCTCCCAAAGTGCTGAGATTATAGGCGTGAGCCACCATGCCCAGCCCCCTGACGTGATTTCTATGAAAATGAAATTAAATGAGTTAATTTAGGGAAGCCACTTAACATAATTCCTGGCTCAAAAAAAAAAAGAAAAAAGAAAGTTTTCTTCCCTTCCTGACCTTGTAGGAGAACAGAGCTCCTTCGCCTGAGGGGCATGAGTCCCTATGCAGAGGTTCCCTAACACCTGCTCATAGGTCTGTGTCCCGCTGATCTGGTAAGCACCGGGAATGGTCTCTTAAACACAAAGTTTGGGCTGCCTTCTCTAGAGATTCTATTTCCACAAGTGTGGGAAGGGGCTGCACGGGAATCAGAAATGTTTCCCCAGTGATTCTGATGCATAGTTCAGTTTGAAGACGTGCTAACAATATATACCAACAAAAGTTGTCTGCGTCTTTTTCTGGGGACAGACCCCCCCCCGGCTTTCATCAGAATGTCACGGTCCCACACAAATGAAGATGCATCCTCTCATGGTATGTGCTAGCGGGCACAGAGAGTGGGGCTGGAGAATGAGGGCTTGGTAGGCGAAAGGCCCCAGGGCCAGCCCTGCTCTGCCCTCGTCTCTTGCCTTCCCGCCAGGTGGGTCAGGAAATAGGAACAGGTGGTTAGTCACGGGGCTCTCCAGCAGGTAGGGCAGTGGCTGAGGAAATAGCGGTATCTCATCAGCTCTGTCTCTAGAGGTTCTTAAGATACTTAGTTGTCACCAGCCTGAAAAGTCAGCGTGGAAAATGTTCCAGCCTGGTTCCTGTAAACGTAAAATCTGTTATGAATTATATCCATCCACGTGGAAGAGGGAGACAGAGTGATCTGGTATGTGCAGGAGAGGGCCAGCCTCTGCCTGGTCTGAAAGCTTTTGCAATTGTTCCTAATTGGCCCAGTCTTTTTCTGCAGGAATCTCCTCTCTTTTCTCCATCCCATCCCCCACTGCCTGCAGCTTCTGATTTCTTGGCAAGGCAAGCAGGCACCAGAGCTGGGGCTGCGGTTGTTCTGAAGGATTTTCAGGTGTGCGTGTTGAAAGCCGGCAGGAAGAGAATGCTGGCTCTGTGTTTAGCAGCCGAAGGGACTTGTTATTTAATGTGTCTTCTGAAGCCACGAGGCCTCGGCTTTGTAACTTGCTTTCTTTATTCTTATAAATCTTCTAGGATGCTCCATGGACTGTAGGAGGAGCTCTGACTTCCCGACCATACCCTTGTGTTTACCACTACAGGGACAGAGGTTCACAGCTGCTTCTGGTTGCTGTAGATGATCTGGTTCCCTGATAATTTGAGATAAGTTTGTGTTAGTTTGGAGTCTTCGGTGAATACGTTAGGGTACATGTTTCTTCGTCGTTCCTGGCAGGGCTGATCATAGACCACATCAACCCAAGAATGTGTTTGCCTCTCTGATGAGGCTACATCTAGAATATGAACTTGTCGAGTGCTTAAGTATCTTTCTACATAGTTTATTCATTAGCCTGTTCATTTATCTGTTCAACAACTATTTCTTGCTTGTCAACCATGTTCTAGGCATGTCATGGGCTCTGGAAGCAGAGTGAGAAGCAAGGCTAAGTCCTGGGCTCACGGAACTTAGGTTCTAATGAGGAAGACAGGCAAACAAGGCGCCGTGGAGAGGCAGGCAGAGAACCTTGCTTTCCAACCCTGCTCAGAGGTGCAGTCTCTTTATATATCCCACTTCCGCTATCCCCAAACATGCCCATTAGCACTGACATCTAAAGGGCTCATGGTGAATTAAAATGTGACCCCACCTCTGGGTATTTAGTCATTTAGTATTGAACTGGGGTTAAAGTCCTAAGGAAAGGCATGTGGAGCTAATATTTTTGGGGGGACAGGCCCTACTGGCAGCCATGGAATCTTACTCCGCGTGGCTCATTGCTCCTGGGCTTTACAACTCAACGCAGCTGTAGTTCATTCACCATGCTGTGGCCAAGCAGCAGGAGTTCAAATGTCCCCACTGCCATCTCCAAGTTGTCTCTCTCGGGTTCCTATTTCCCTGGCTTTTGTCACTCCCACCTCACCTGTGGCCCACATTCTTCTCTATTTGAATGTGTGGCAGGCAGGCGAGATAGACAATGGGGAGGAGTTGTTCTGCAGGAGAGAAGGGGACAGTCCTTCCTCCAGCCTGGAGCACTTCCTGCACCGCTCCCCACCCCGTCTACTCTCCATATCCCACCACGCCCTCAGGGCCTTGCCCTAACCCCGGAAGCCCACCTGTCTCTTGGCTGAAATCCTATGGGCTGAGTTGGGTCCCCCCAAAACTCATGTGTTGAAGCCCTGTCTCCTGTACTTCTAGAATGTGACTGCATTTGGAGACAGGGTCTTTAAAGAGGTGATTAAGTTAGCATGAGACCATTAGGGTGGGCCTACTCCAATATGATTGGATTTATAAAAAGAAGAAACTTGGACACAGACACACATGGACACAGACACACATAGAAGGAAAAGCATGTGAAGACATGGGGAGAAGAGGGGCAACTGCAAGCCATGGCGGGAGGCCTCATGAGACATCCACCCTGCTGGCACCTTGATCTTGGACTTCCAGCCTTCAGGAAGTTCATTTCTGTTGAGTAAGCTGCCCTGTCTGTGGCACTTTGTCAGGGCAGTCCCAGCACTGCCTCCTGCCCTGTCTGTGTGGCCCTGGGCAGAAGCGGCCTGGGAGTGTCACTCACCCTTCCTCCTGCACCACGTGTCTTTGCCCGGTGGGCTCCAGCCGCGCCTGGGCAGCAGTCTAGACTTCCTGCAGTCTCTCAGGCTTCTCTGTGGCTGTCCCGTGCCGAGCGCCCAATGCACACTTGTAGCCTGATTGATTGGTTTTCTCAGCCAGGGCACGGATCGTTTCCTGGCCGCTCTCTGGCTCCTTTTCCAGGCACCTCACTCGGTTCCCTACTCTGAGGTGGCTACGGCCAGACTCGCCTCAGCAGCTGCCTCCACTACGGGCTGTGGTTTTTGGTGAGCTTCTTTCAGTCCTCTCATCTTTATGGGAAAACTGCCCAGCCCAGGACCAATTAGCGTGGGATGGTTGCAATAAAGGTCTCCCTTCCCGACATGTGGCCAGCACAGAGCCTTCCCTGGTTCCCTCCCGGCATTTAGTCACAGTCCCCAGCTGTGTGGTCGGTCCTCTCGGCTCATGTTATGGGTGGCCGGGAAGGCAGGCTGTCTTGGGATCTAGGCCCAAGTGACTAGGTCCATTGTGGGTGAGGCAAGGTGGCCACCTCTGCATCCTCCTAGGGGTGTCCTGAAGCGGCTGCGGGCCATGGGCAGGTGGCCGCTGAGGGGGTAAGGGTTCCTTTCAGTGTGAAATGTGCCTGTACCCAAGAGAACTTGCCTTCACTTTTTTTTATTTTAAAGAAATGAAGGGAGAAATAGAGACTAAAAACCCTGGGGGTCAGGGTCTGTGAGACAAACTGAGATGTGCTGGAGACATTGCTTATGGATTTATTGATCCCTGACTTGTTCATACCATGTGCCTGGAATTCAGCACTTACACGTTTCCATAGCACAATGGACATCAGTTTAATCATAATGGGATTTCTTAAGTGATTACTATATGCCAGGTACTATGCTAAGTCAGTTATCAACACGACCTCCTTTAATCCTTTCGACAATCCGATGGGGAAGCTCTCATTAGCCCCACTTGCCAGAAGAGGAAACTGAGGCTCAGAGTAGGTTACATGACTAAAAGAGCAGGGGCTCTGCATTCAGGTCTGCCTGACCCAGAGTGTATTATCTTAAACATATGTGACACTTCTTGCTTGCCTTCCTGGTGCTGCACCATCTGTTTTTCCCTGTGAGGTCCCCTTTCCCCACAAACTGGCTGTGAGCACACCCGACCCCTTTCCTGTCCTGCTGCCCCCTTGCCTGTCCTGCTGCCCCCATCCCTCGGTGCTCAGCTTGTTGCCAGCAGAGTCAAACACACAGACTCATGGTAAAACGTTATCTTACATTTGTGTACCTTTTCATGTTTTCAGAACCTTTTCCAGGCAGTATCTAATTTAATTTTTACCATCATTCTGTGAGTGAATATTTTCTGTCTTATGGTTGGGGAAACTGAGGTCAGAGAGGTTAAATGATTGCCTGGGGTGGCACTGCCTAGCCTCTGTGTGGTGGAGCTAGGACCCAGTCGAGGCTCGGAGTTCTAATCCACCAGTCTACCCTGGTAGGAACCTCTGTGCAAAGCCAGCCCCCATAGCAGCCTCTCTGTCTTGGGCCAAAGATACAAATCAGCAACGGCCAGGAAATGATTTGCATGAGGAACTGAGGTGGGGCGGTGGGCAGGAGAGAGGCTGAGGCAGCAAGGGACAGAGTGGGCACACAGAAACTTCCCTCTGGAGGCCTCAGCCTCTTCCCAAGGCTGAGCATCTGCGCAGGGCTTAGTTTGTTCATTCCTGGGAGCTCCAGGTAAGTCTCCCTCTCAGAGGGAAAAGCTGATTCTTCCAGGCAAGGGTGAAGAGACCCACCTTTCTGAGTCAGTGACCGACAGGCCAGAGGGCTGAAGATGTGGGCACTGCGGTGAGAACCGGAGTAGCCAAGGAAGCAGGGTGGTCCCCACAGGGGCGGCGATTGGTTTGTGGGGTCCCTGCCTGTCCTCCGGAGAAAGATTACTAAGGAGCAAAAGCCGACTTTGCTCGGTGACCCCTCCTGGTGCCACATCCCTCATGCCTGCAGCAGAAGGTGGGGGGCTCCAGGCCCCTGACAGGTCATCCTGATCTCAGAGAAGAGTCTGCTGCCCCCAGGACGGGGACTGAGCTGAGGGCGAGGAGGATGCCAGGAGAGGCACCTTGGCCCCTGCTGTGGTATTGGCCACAGGTTGGGAGCTGCCTTTCCCCGAAGCCCTAGCTTTGCTTCTGTGAGAAGCAGACACCCAGCAGCATAAGCAGCCTGCCTAGGAGGCTTTTCACTAGGAATTAAAAACACCAAAAAGGAACTTCTTATCAGCAGGTACCCTAGGGGCCACATGGACTGGTAAGTGGTATCTTCCCCATGGTCTCTTAAGGCCTCTGAAGTCCCAGACCCTCAGATAGTTGGCAACTCTGCCTTTCCGCATATCAAACATCTGAAAATGCATCTACCTCGCACATCAAATAGAATATATTTGCTATAACACAATTGGGAAGAATGGTTGTATTTTTTATAATGTTGAGTTTTATTAAGAATAAATTATTCATTTTAGTCTTGCAACATAAACTCTTATTCTGATAGATAACTATGGATCGAGATGCATTTGACTAGTTGGCACAATGTTAATTTTTGTAGATGTTGTGTGAAATATTTATTTTGATTTTCTAGTTTTATATTTTGGACCCAATCTAGTTTTGTTTCTGATTTTCACATTTTTTTTCAGGACAGTGAAAAAGCTTATAGGATATAAGAGTTGAACCTATTGCACCTAATGGATAAAATCTCTTCTGTCTCTCCCCATCCCCAGAGAGAGAGAAAAAATAAAAATAAAAAGAGAAAGACACTGTTTCAGCAAATTGATATTCGGTTTTTAGGCCTATATTATACTTGGGTCTCAGGTCCTCTAATCTCCTATTTGGTGGTATCCTTATAAAATACAAGAAGTGTTCTCTGAGAAATGTGGAAAATTTCTGACGATCCCAGATGATACTAAATCAGTTGCCCCAAATCCTTTAGAAGAAGGAAGAATAAGGCCAGGCACGGTGTCTCACGCCTGTAATCCCAGCCCTTTGGGAGGCCGAGGCAGGCGGATCACGAGGTCAGGAGATCAAGACCATCCTGGCTAATATGGTGAAACCCCGTCTCTACTAAAAATACAAAAAAATTAGCCGGCCGTGGTGGCGGGTGCCTGTAGTCCCAGCTACTTGGGAGGCTGAGGCAGGAGAATGGTGTGAACCCAGGAGGCGGAGCTTGCAGTGAGCTGAGATCACACCACTACACTCCAGCCTGCGCGACAGAACGAGACTCCGTCTCAAAAAAAAAAAAAAAAAAAAAAAAAAGACACATTCCCAACGTGAAGCATCAAACAGCTCAGCTTTTCTAAGTGTTGGGAGAAGTGGAGAACACTGGTTCTCCTGGGATGGTGCCTGGGTTAGCACCATTGTGTGGATCTGGTGTAACCTGATACAGGATTTCTCCCCTTGCCCAGTAAGAGAGCCTTGTGCTAGATGGATGCAGCGAGGACAGAGGTCCCTTGCTGGCTGTGTGTGCAAATATTGAGCACCAAATGGCTACCAGAGGAATGGGGAAGAACTGACTCGGGATAAGAGTGGGATGCGTACAAGGAGAGAAGGCTGGAGAAAACCTTGCACGCTGCGGGAGCAGGCTCCCCAGGACGTGTCAGAAGGGCCCAGTCCATGGAAACAGGGAGACTTGCCATATGGGCCATCGTGGCTGCCTGTGTGGGGACTGAAGCTGGGCGCTGGCTGCTGCGCGAGATGAGGGGGCCAGGTCCAGCTTCCAAAGGGCAGCTTCCAGGCAGAGGGCTGCTAACTGGCTGGAAAACTATCAGCGTGTGGAGTGGAAACCTGTAGGGGCAGGGAAACCAAGGAACATTTGGCCATCTTCCGCCATTGTGATTTACCTGCCATAAGAGAAGCTAAAGTAAAACAGCATGAAGTTGTGGCCAGCCCCATTAAAATAACGTGCTCATTAAGGGCTCTTACAACTAGTGATATTTAAAGAAGAAAGAAAAAAACTCACAAAAGTACTTGAGGCAATTATCTACAGCAAAAGAAGATGCAGATCCCTTGAGATCACTGACGCAAGAGAACAAAGGAGGTCCCAAAAGAGGCTGCCTGTGATCCAGGTGAGAGCCGAAACCTTCAAGGCTGGGTACCAGTGCTTCTTACACCTGAGTGAAGCATCTTGGGACATGCCTTGTGGTTCAACGTTAAAGGAATAGCACAGCCAACCAGAACCTGCTCTTTGTTAATGGAATGGAATCCTCTTTCTGCACTAAAAATGAGATGATGTGAAATCCTTTAAAATTTATTGGAAGGAGGGAGGGCTTTTTGTGCATGATGCGTTACCAGGAAATGACACTGTCTCTCTCCTTATTGCCTAATTAGCAATGTTGTACTTCTGTGTGAAATGGCGTGTTTAAACATTGCCAATCGATTTAAACAAAAGATTTCAAAATACTGTAGGATGGAGCACAGTGAAAAATTCCTTGCCAGCCAGCGTTCTCCCAGGTAAGGTTTTTGTCATTCAAGGTGTGGCTGCACAGCAGGGAAGGCTTTGCTCATCCCCGCCCCGCAGTGCCCCATTCCCTCCATCAGCCGTTTATCTAGCATTGGGTCTGGTTTTCTGTTTTTTGTTGTTTGTTTGTTTTAATTTTTTCAGGGTATCGTAGACGTGTTGGGTTCCACTAGGCCCTGCCAGCCATTCACTTATTTATTCATTACGCACTCAATGAAGACATAAGCTGTGCATTCTAGGTGCAAAGGACGTAGAAATGAGTATAATACAGTTCCTTTCCTCAAGGAGGTCAATCCAGTGGGAAAACAGGTGTGTTTGTGGAAAATGGAAATACAGCCGGCAGGCGAGGAGGCTGTAGAGAGAGGAGCACAGTGCTCTGAGTAGCCTGTCTGCTGTAGCAAGTCACCCCCAGCAGCTGGTGGCTTCACAGAGTAAAGGTTAGTTTCTTGTTCACATCACAGCCCAGCTTGGATTGGTGGGGTGGCAAGAAGGGTTATTCAGGGTCTCAGAATACTTCTGCCGACAGGCTGTGCCATCCTCTCAGGCCTTGGAACCCGCCCCCTTTTAAACCCCTGAGTCTGGCTGACAGATAAGGGCCCAAGTCGCACCCATGTTTTAGGGTCTAGGCCTAGAAAGGGTGCCAGTCATTTCCTGCAAGTCCCATTGGCTGGGACTCAGCCTGTGGCCCTGCCTTGTCCAGGGATACTGGGAAGTGTGGTCCAGTGCCGTGCCCAGGAGGAAGAGCAGGTGTGGTGCACGTCAGCCATGTCCCCACTCCACGGAGCAGCCCGTTCACCCTGGGGCGTCAGGAGAGGCTCTGTCAGAGGGGATTTTGCCAGGGAGATGTGGGGTGTGGGGTGCTGGATGTGGGGTCCAGGAGAGCAGGGGCATGAGAAGAGCAGCAACCCAAGCAAGGAAGAGGAAAAGGCCTGGATGTGTCTTCAGATAGAGACAGACTGAAGCGCCGGCCCACACTCACCAGCAGCGTGGCTCTGGGCTTGGTCCTTAGGTGTCCCAGGTGTCTGTCTCCGCACATCTTCCCAGGCCTTCTCCAGCGTACCGGCATCACCTGGGGACTGGCCCTCTGCAGTCACGCTGGCTCCAGGCTCACCGGGAGTCACGTTCTCTGGCTGTGACTTTCCTTTTGCTGTGGATTAACCCAGACATGGGCCTGATGCTTTTTCTTTAATGTATACACACACATACACTCACACATACACACATGGACACATTCACTCACATGCACTCACATGTACTCAAGCATACACACATGCACTCACACACATGCGCTCAGGCACACATGCACTCACAGGCACACATGTAAACAGGCACACACACGCACATGTACTCATACAGGCACACACGTACACCCAGGCACATGCACACATGGTCTCATACAGGCACACACGTACACACAGGCACACACATGCACTCACACACAGGCACACCTCCACAGGCACATACATGCACATGATCTCACGTACACAGGCACACGTATGCACACACACATACACAGGCACACACATGCACTCACACATGTACTCGCATACACAGGCGCACACGTACACACAGGCACACACATGCACACATGGTCTCACACAGGCACACACCTACACATGGACACTCATACACGCACACATGTACTCACAGGCACACGTGTACACGCACGCACACATGTATTCACACACATACGTTCACACATATACACGCACTCACACATACAGGCACACACATACACACTCAGGCACAGACACACACACACACATGCACGCACATGGGCGCGCACACACACACCCCCTCCCTCCCTCTCACGGTTTTTGGTTCAGCCTGCACTCAAGTTTTTGGGAAGATGGAGCTGACATCACAGTAATGTGAATGTTGAATATCTGAAACTTCTGTGCTGAGAAATCCCCTCAGGCCTTTTTGCCAGGTTGGCTGCTGTGTCTTCCTATATTTCTTGCCCTTTCCACCTCTCCCACTTTGCTGCTCCCAAACAACTCTTAACACCCACCGCCCCCTGTTTTTGTTATACAGAGCAGTTCAGCCCTCTCCAGTCCCCACCCCTGAGCTCAGCTCCAAGCCTTCTTCTGCGCGTGGATTCCCGTGCCTGCGGACTCACAGCAGGCCGGGCCGGCTCACGTGGGATGGACCCTGTCTCCTTCCACAGGGAGAGGGGCAGTAAAGACGTCCATTTCCCATGCTTTGAAGGATGTCACTGTCTCAGAAGGCAGAAGCTAATTGTGTCGGTTTTAAGTACTTTTTCCTTTTATGTTTAATTTCATTAAAGTTAATTTTCCCTTATGTGAAATGTGAATGCTGCCATCACAACTGGAAAGTTGTCGTGAGAATTAAAGATGATAATGTATGAAAGTGTGTAACACGGTACCTGGCACTCCCCCCACTCTCCCCCTCCTCCACACGGTACCTGGCACTCCCCCCACTCTCCCCCTCCTCCACAGAGCCCTGGAAGACTTGGCGGTGCTGTGATACGTGTAGTGTGTGATGGGGAGCGGTGAGGGACAGCTGGAGAGGGTGCGCTGAGCCAGAGTTTCATGCTGTGTGTTTTTCCGAGGAGGTGGGCCTTTGTCCTCTGCATTCAGAGTCAGAAGAGAGTTCATCAGGTACAAATGGGAAGAGAACCTTTTAAACAGCTGTCTGTTTGAGCAGATTTCCCCACCTCGGATTCAAGATGTCATTCCATGTAGGTTTGCATTTGCAGGGTACACCCAGGAGAAGCTGTTAGTTGCTGTGATTCCACACCTGGAGTGAGGGGAGAACATCATGGTTTCCTGCCAGGTGTGCTGGGGCTTACTGGCCCTGCCAGGAACATCTGGTTGAAACTTGTCACGTCAAGGCCGGGTGCAGAGGCCCATGCCTGAAATTCCAGCACTTTGGGAGGCTGAGGCGGGTGGATCACTTGAACCCAGGAGTTTGAGATCAGCCTGGGAAACATGGCGAAACCCTGTCTCTACAAAAAGTACAAAAATTAGCCAGACCTGGTGGCACATACCTGTCATCCCAGCTACTTGGGAGGCTGAGGTGAGAGGATGGCTTGAGCCCAGGAGGCAGAGGTGGCAGTGAGCTGAGATTGCACCATTGAACTCCAGCCTGGGCAATCGAGCTAGACCCTGTCTCAAAAAAAAACAAAAAACAAAAAACTTGTAAAGGTTCCATGCACTCCTTCCCTGTAGAGGCTGGTGTTGAGAGCTCGCCACCTTTCCTTCTGTTTAGAGGTAGGAAGAGAACTCAGGCAAGCGATGAGCAAGCCGTCTGAATTGAGCAAGGGCCTTGGGTTGGAACCCTTCTCTCCCCTGCTTTCCTGGTATCACAGTGCTAGACTGGGCCTCTGCAGCCCACCCAGCCGAGGAGGCCCTTCTCCTACAGCAGCCTTGACAGGTCTGTCTGGCCTCTGCCCTGACACCTCCAGGGCTGGCCATCTATGTGGGGAAGATTATGATTGGAAGGAAGGTTTTTCTTAGAGCTGCCAGTCTTTATTTTCTACCTGCTGCTCTTCATTTTGTCCTCAGAGGAGGAACGTGTCCTCTCTTCCCTAGGACGTCTGTCTTGGTATTGAAGACAGTGCTTCTGTGCTTCTTACTTATCTTCCTTGAGGTTAGCCATCCTTGTCTCTGCACCCTCTCCCTCAGTCCTGGCCACTCCCATGTGAACCTCAGTGTTTATTCCTGACCCAGGATACCTCAGCTCCAACTGGACCCCAGGCAGTAAGAGGCTTCCTCTTAGAGTCAGCGGATTCCCACTGATGCAGCCCAAGATTACCTGCCCCGTCCTCCTCCTCCTGCTCCTCCTCTGGCTCCTCCCACTCTCCCTCCTCCTCCTAGTGCTTCTCCTCCTGTTCCTCTCCTCTTCTTCCCCTCCTGCTCCCCCCTGTGTTCCTCCTCCTCCTTCTACTCCTTTTGTTCCTCCTCCACTGCCTCCTCCTCCTCCTCCTCCTCCTCCTGCTCCTATCCCTCCTCCTCCTACACCTCCTCTGCCTCCTCCCGTTCCTCCTCCTCTGTGCTCTTCCTCCCTCTCCTCCTCCTCCCTGCTCTTCCCCTTCCCCTTCCTGCTCCCCCTCCTCTTCCTGATTGTCCCCTCTTCCCCCTCCTCTGAGCAGCCATATTACATAGCTTACTCACGTTGACCTTGTGCTGCTGGTGAGCTTTGTTTCTCCCTTTCTGTTCATGTACTGTTCTTTCTCTTGGATATTTTCTGCCAAATGTTTTTCATTGATGACTTTGCTCTTGGGTCTCCTTGCCTATCTTCCTTCCTTCCCCCTTCCTGCTCTGTGACATTCTTGTTTACATACCCTCTCCACTGTGAGCCTGGTATTTCAGTGACTGGAGAAGTTTTGGGCCTTATCTGAGCTGCTTTCCTTGTTATCACTTATGTTCCAGCAGCTCGATCCATCTTCCCATGCAGGAACGTTTCTCCCCAAAGTCCTGACCCTGCCGTGGAGCACCTGAGGGGAGGAGTCACTGGGTTTCTGGCCTCAGAGGAGCACAGTGTTCCCCAGGACTTACCCTGCATCCGTATTGGAATATCTGAAAATTTCATCACTGTTGAAAATAGGAATGTTTTCTGATCTAAGGTCTTCTGAGGACATTGGGGACACTTTATTCCCAAGAGCAAACACTGACTAGGATGTCTTTTTGGCTATGATGGGATCTGGTAGAAAGTTTCAAGCTACTAAAATAGGGAATGTATTCTAATGTTGTCTTGAAAATGAATCAAATACACTTCCCTGAATGAAAGAAGAGATGTGTGTGTGTGTGTATTTAAATCACCGA
The DNA here is from genome assembly GCF_000001405.40 of Homo sapiens. NCBI lineage: Eukaryota > Metazoa > Chordata > Mammalia > Primates > Hominidae > Homo > Homo sapiens. The sequence continues at coordinate 537,251 of NW_018654718.1, forward strand.
TAGCAGCAGTGATGATGGTGACAGTCACCCATGCCGTGCCTGGCACCTTGCTAAGTGCCTGCACACATTGTCAGTTGGTCCAGGCGGTAAGTCATGAGGAGTGGGTTTTAGTGTCCCAAAGCCTCAGGGAGGTTAAGGCATGTCCTGATCACAGCTGGAGGACCTCACCACGCCCCTCCCTGTGGAAGGAGGGATTCTTCCGCAGGAAATGGAGTTTTCCCACAGAACACAGGACAGGCAGGGAGGAACTCACTGGGGCTCATGGCTGTGCTACTGCTACTACCACTGGGCAAATCTCTGGGCCTCAGTTTCTCCTGTAGTAAAGTGGCAGGATTGAATTGGATGCACTTAAGTAGGTTTCCAGCTCTAAAGATCTATGATTTGTTGTTTCCCTTATTTCAGTGACAAGTTCCTTTGGAAAACATTGCTGTCACAAGAAAAAATGCCATCATCAAAATGTCTTCTGATGTTGGACAAACTGAATGGGGGTTAGGAAACCACTTCTGTAGGAAGCAGGGGTAGGGATGAAGGCAAGGAGGACAGATGGATGAGCATCCTAAACAGAATAGGGAAATAATTTTAGAACTGATTTTTCAGGGAGTCGCAAGATTATATTACTCTAGCTCTCGCTCTGCACCTGGAATTCGACAGTGCTTAGGATAGGGAATGTCGAAACCGGGAAGGGGCTTCCCCTCAGCCCCAAACTCAGAATTCGTATGTCAGATCTGGAAAGGGACCACAGTGACCACTTAGTCCACTCCTTCATTTTATGTCAGCATCCCTGGAGATCCCAGCCTTTGGGAGAAAAAGACTCCTGAGGCCACGTGGTCCGAGCTCCTGGAGCATCGCTGGCAGAGGAGTGTTCAGATCAGATGGTCCCCAGCCTGTGCACCAAGTGTACCATCCCTGCTAAGTAGATCTTAGTGGAGCAGGGCTTACTTCAGGGATGTGGAGCTTATTGGGATCCTTCAGCCTCTCTTCCAATAACTTCTGCTTTAGAGATTATGATGTAACTGATGAGAACTGTCTTGAGACTTCCTTTTGTACTTAAAGTGGATGGGGCAGGCTGGTTTAGGGCAGTGTACCTGGGGCAAGGAGTCTGGGGTCCTTCTGTTGGTTTAGGAAGCTCCTCTTGTCTGTCTGGCCTGGATACTTGTGATTTGCCAGCTTAGTCTAACAGTTAACCACCTCTTAGTGGGAAGTAATGAATCCAGGATTCTCTGCTACGCTCAGGTGATAAATTGTGATAAAGTCAAGTCAGAATTTCCCAGCTTAGGTGTTGTGAAAGCCCAAATGAGGCCTGATAAGATATTTTGAGTTTTTCACACAGAAGTAATTTATAGATGATTCCCAACTTTTGAACTGCTCTTTTATTTATTATTAAGTTGGTGTTTCAAACTTAGAAAACTGCAAATGGCATTTAGTTTTCCAGGCTGGCCTGTTTAGTGCATAACACAGCTGACACACTATATGGTTGCCATAAATCATAATGGAAAGTAGTATTTTTGCAAATGGATAATGTAGAATTGCAGTTGCAGACTCCCTGAAGGCCTTCAGTGGTTCCAGCCAGCACATGAACACATTTACACTGAAGCGTAAAAGACGGTTGCTTTATGCATCTTTACTCTGCTGTGAGGGCCATGAGGAGCAAGAGGTCACTGGGTGTCTGCAGGCAGTCCCAGGGAAGCAGCGACCAGAGCAGCAGGGTTTAGCCTTCTTATGGTCATGGGTGTGTGCAGCCACACGACCTCCTGAAAAACTGCTCCTGGGCTCTTCAGAACTGCCCCAGACCAAGGGTCCAGAGTTGTTAGGAGCCAGGGGGGCTGGGGAAAGCGAAGCCTCTAGGGCTTCTCAGATTTTGAGGAGGACAGAACCTGTTAGCCACCTGCCTTTTGCTCAGAAAAGGTGGGCTGGAGCTGCCCAGCAAAGTAAATGCAATGCCTACCTCCAGAGCCTGGCTTTCCACGAGGTACAGGCTGGCCCTGAACACCTGCCTCCTTCCAGGTGCTGTGCTGTGCTTTTGAGATCAGGAGTGGAAGCTGGCAGAACCAAGAGAATGCAACACACTGGCCTCCACCTTGGCCCAGAACATACCCACCACGCCCTCGGGAAGTTTAAATCCCATCACTCTCTCTGCTGCTTTTCCCTGTTACAGTGTGTAAACTGAGATTCCACACTTGGAAATGCATGTGTTCCTCTCTGGGAAGACCTCCTTGCTGCCCCCATCCCCCTGCATCTTGTGTCCACTGGATCCTCTCATTGACTGTTGACAATGCTCAGTTTAATGCCAGGCAGCGTACATTCAGACTGTACCCCAGGAAATCTGACACAAACTGTGTTTCCCATTGATTTTAAAAATTAAGACTCAGTGATATAATGTCACTTATTATTATGTAATAAAGCCCTATTATGGCTAGTAATTTTTCAGTGACTAGCTGAATTTTACTTATTAGTGTTCATTTAAGTCAGCCTGTAATATGTTCAGTGCAAGTACTAAAACTGCCTTTCTTCAAAAATCAGAAATTTGACATTTTTTAATCAGTCAGGACTTCCTTCCTTTCCCCTCCTCCAAAAACATCCAGAGAAGTGAGATTTTCTCACATTTAAGTCAATGATTGAATAGAACCAAATTGGGGGAAGATTAATTTTTGAACCAGTAACACCAAACTGAAATTAATTTTACTAATTTCAAAATCTGACAGTTTTGAGGACCCTTTAATAGAACCAGAGCTTCTGAAAATAAGCACCTACTGATGGGTTCAGTGCAGAAATGAACCCAGGTCTAGAACTGCAGTGTTAAGAGATGATTTCCAAACGAAGCTGTGGTTTCATTTGGAACGCTTTCTTGATTTACATGTTCTGGGTTTTGTAAGTTTAATTCAAATTTATTTTCTCCTAAATGCATTTTTACTACCGGAAGGCCCCCGTATGGAAATCACCTTCTCTCATTATGCAGCTTGCCTGGCCCAGAGGGTGAGCGGGCCTTGGAATGAGGACACCCGCCCTGGCTGGGAGTCGAGGCCGAGTTTGCATCCAAAGCTGTAGCACAGTGCGGCCCACAGCAAAGGGCATCCTCAGGAAGCAAGGTGCTTGTGTTTGTGCCTTCGTCCTTTAAGACAATACCCAGATCTGGCAGCATCTTCTGCAGCAAGCAGGAGCTGATTACCTGGAGCTCTGCCTGCCTCTCTCCCCGCCTCTGCCTCCCCCCGGAGAGGCGGCTTCTGAGGAGGCTGCTGTTGGCGGCCAGGAGAATTCCTTGTCTCTGTGGAACCGGAGGCCTCCCCTCTGCGGCTATTTAAATGTGTTCCTCCGGCATGAGGATGACTCACCGTTTAACAATTAATTACAGCTCCGCATATTGTAGGCACTGCACCTATATGGGGGTGTAATCTCCGTGCGGCACCATGTTGATGAGCTGCTTCTCCACATCACCAAATTGTGAGGACTTCGATTTTAAAAAACAGAAATTGAACCAGGCTTGGAGGAAAAGGCAAATTTATACAATGCCTTTGATATGAATTCTTTTTATTTTCTTCTCTGTGGCTTGCAGTTTCCACCAGGGTAAAGCAGGCAGAGGTGGGAGGTGGGGAGGGAGAGACAGGGGGTTCTGGCTAGGAAGGGAACGGGCAAGGAAACTGCCCACTACGTGCTGTCACCTGGTGGCTGCTGTGGCCGGCCCTCATTCCCACCACATCAGAGAGAGGCATAATAATCTTAGGTGATTTTTTTTAAGTTTTCAAGGTGAGGATGCATTTTACTATATGCTAATTTTTCTTAATCATATGTTATGGTTTATTATCGACAGATCTTTTAAGAACTTTTCCTGCAGTAAATATTTCAAACTTTATAAATTAAGTATTGGCTGCATAAAGTCCTGTTGCCTGAGATTTGTTGCAAGTTTGTCCTTTTTGAGATACATCGAGTGGCTCCAAGTCATTTGATCATGATCGTGTCCATGATATCTTGATAGACTTTTAAGCGTGAATCCCCCTGATCTCTGTCTTGCTGCCTTCCCCACACCATCCCCTCAACTCCCCTCCCAGCCACGAATTATACTTCCTCACTACCCAATTTCTTTTGGTACCAGGAGAGGGCCACTCTTGTTCTGGCCTCAGGGACGTTGCACTTGCTACAGCTGACTCTTGAACAGTACGGGTTTGAACTGTGTGGGTCACTTACACGTGGATTTCCTTCCATCTCTGCCACCCCTGAGATGGCAAGACCAACCCCTCCCCTTCCTCCTCCTCAGTCTACTCAATGTGAAGACGATGAGGGTGAAAACCTTTATGATGGTCCACTTCTACTTAATGAATAGTAAATATATTTTTTCTGCCTTAGGATTTTCTTAATATATTCTTTTCTCTAGCTTACTCTACTGTAAGAATATAACATAAAATATATATAACATATATAATATGTGTTCATCGACTATCCTGTTGGTGAGCCTTCTGGTCAATAGTAGGCTATGAGTAGTTAAGTCTCTGGGGAGTAAGAAGTTACCTTGGATTTTCAACTGTAAGGGAGTCAGCGCCCCCAGTCCCCACATTGTTTAGGGGCAAACTGCATTCCATCTTCTTGGACTGCTCTTCCCACAGGTGTTGCCCCCCTCCCTTTTCCTCTGTCAGGTCCCAGAGCATGGGTTACCACCACAGAGAGGCCTCTGTGGATGCCTATGTAAAGTGGCACCATTTACTTCAGCCGAGAGGTGAAGGCTGCCGTGAGGCAGGACCATATCACTGCACTCAGTCTGGGCAACAGAGTGAGGCCCTGGCTCAAAAATAATACCAATAATAAAAAAAAGTGCTACCATCCTCCCAGCTCCTCACTCCCAGGAATCACTCAGGAGCCCATGGTTCTGTCTTATTTTGTTCATCGCACAATTACTATCTGAAATGATCTCATTTATTTACTTATTTTTTGTCTGCCTCCCACCAGAATGTTCTCTGTTCTCTGCCGTATCCTTAGCACTGAGCAGTGCCTGCACATGGTGAGCACTCGACAAAAATTTATTATAAGGATGAATGAATGGATGGACCCTCGATTCTGTTATTATTATGTTTTAATCCAGACAACACTCAGGAGTTTCACTGTATCAGTATATCCATTAGGAAGGTTAGTAATGTGTAAAAACTCTCCTGTGAATGCTTTCATTCAGTACTCAGTCTGTAAGGGGTAAATCCTTCAGCAGACTCTTGAGGAGTGTTTACCAAGTGTCAGGCACTATTCTAGAGCAGTGGCTCTAACCTAGGGATGATTTTGCCTTCCAGGGGCAGCTGTCAATGTCTAGGAACATTTTTGGTTGTCAGGGTGGGTGGTAGGTTGCTACTGGCATCTAGCGGATAGAGGCCAGGGAAGCCGCTAAACATCCTGCCATGCACAGGACAGCCCCACAACAAAGAATCATCTGGCACAAAATGTCAATAGTGTCAATAGTGTGAGGTTGAGAAACCTTGTTCTGGAGTCTGAGGATACGGTGGTGACAGGGCAAGGCTCCTACTCCCATGAAGCTTATATTCTGTTGCAGGAACCGGGATAGATACACAATAAACAAATGAGATTATTCTGGGAATGACAAGGGCTGACAAAGAAAGCAAATAGAATGTTGCGATGGTAGCTGTGGGAGTTACTTAGATCGACGGATTGGGGAAAGCTTTCTGAGAGGTGGCATATGAGCTGGGACCCCTCCAGATGAGCTGGAGGCAACCCTGGAGATCTGGCAGACCCTACCAGGAGGAGTCAGACAGCAAGTGCTAATGGGGAAGGGGAAAACTTTCCAAAGGTTCTGAGGTTTAGGTTGGTTTCAAAGAGGGCCATTCACTCTGGGGCTTGAATGTGCTTTTATCCAATGAAGGTAGCCTAGACATCTGTTTGAAAAACCATTAGATTAGTATTCTTTTTTGCAATATCTCGTTTTTTGGAAAGAGCTAAGCTTCCTAAAAAACGTATTTTTCTAGACTTCAGAGTTCCTTAAGAGTGGTGGTTTATCTTTCTGAGGTTGGCTGCCATGTTGATTCCTCCTCCCCTTTCCCAGAATTGGGAGTCTTACAGCTTTGTCTCTCCACTCAGTGCTCAGAGAATCACACACACAGTCCCAGGATAGGACATTCCAAAAAATAAAGAAGGGCACAGAGAAGGTGGGGGACCTTCCCCGCAACTTAGCCGCAGTTGGAGATTCAATAATTGAGCCTGAAAGATCACTTTAATTTCCTCAATAATAGTTTGGTGTTCTTATGTGTTAGGTTATAAAGCCCTAAAACGCAGTATAATTCAATACCATTGTGCTACAAACCCACTAACACTTTTTTCTTCACTGCCCAGCCTGGCTCCTCCTCTTAGGAGTCGCATGTCCATACAGAGTCCCAGAGAAATTCTACATCTTTCTCTGTGTTCTCCCAGACTGAACAGAAGACTGGAAATGTCTTCCCTTAGGTCTTTGCTGCCAATCTGGGAAATGTCAAAGGAATTAGCTTTTCTTTCTATACTTCTAGCATGTATTTATCCTCGCTATAAATGTCACTTTTTTTACTGCTTGTGTGTCAGTCAGGTTGCTTTTGGCTGCAAGTGTCCTCATGACCCTAACAACAAGTTACTGTGTCACATATCAAGTTCTGGGAGAGGGAATTCCAGGGGGAACAGGAAAGCGTGTCTTCCTTGAGTGAGGAACCCTCTCCAAGAACCCTCCAGCAGACTCCGCCATGCTTCATTGGCCAGGGGCTGGCCAGATATCTCTTTAGCAGGGAAGATGGGATTGGCTTGGGTGAATTGTGATGTGCCTCCATTGCTTGGGGAGAGGTGACATCCAAACAAAATCTGGGCACTCCCAGCAAGGGAGAAGGAGGGAGTGCTTCTGGGTAGGCAACGATTCCAACTTTATCATTTGTCTTCCTGGCAAGGACTCAGAAGATACTGACCATTTATATTTTTCTGGTTCTTCATCACATGCAAGAATGTCTTTTGTTATAATGATTAGAGAAATGATAATGATCGTGGGCCTTTGTTTCCCCTTGCCTGAGCTGGGCCTTCACAATGCACAGGCATTGCTTTTGATAAATTGGATTGACTTAGAGGATTTTAGACTTGGAAAGCCTTAAAGAACAGCCAGTTCAGTCTTTGTCTTTCCACACAGGGACACTGAGCCCAGGCTGCCATGTGGCCTGCCCAGGACCTCACCGCTTGTTCAGCTGAGGCCCGCACGCTTTGGGTGCACAGGCTCTTACTTTGTGTCTTTTTCCTAATTTCATGAAGCCTGGTCCCCGTTTGCCTCCAGCTAATCAATGCTATTGTACACGTTTAGGTCTTTATCTCAGTTGAAACCTGCACCAGAACTGGAGAACTAAGTAGTAGTCATATATAGCTCAGCATGAATATTAGATATTTCTTATTTTAAGTCTTCTCTTGAATCATTTAAAGACATTTCAATCACTTATTAACAGGTATGGAAGTTGTTTTGGGGGATGAGGACCTTCAGTCCTCTTCTTGGTCCTTCAGAACCACATCATCTGGGTGGTGCCTCTTCTGCCCCTTCCTCCTCGAAGGCAGCTCTGCCACCACTAACAGCCACAGAGGAGAAGAGGAAGGGGACTTGCTTCACGTGGGAAGGAGTGTCTCACCTGAAGCATCCTTGGACGCTTATTTAATTTAAAAATGTTTCATGAGCAACTTCTGAGCTCTGTTGTCCTCTTCCCCATGAGCGGAGGGTGGAATGAGGCTTGAGGATAAAGGACCCTGGGCCTTGAGAATGCTTCAAGCCCCGGAGATGAAGTTGTCTGTCTGACAGAGGTCCCCAAGTCTGCATCCAAGGAGAGGACCTCTCTTCTCTATGAAGAGATGCTTTGCTTCTGGAAACCCAAGTACAATCCTAGAAACCTAGGAGCTGGCCATTTGTACACCGAAAGTTTTCTTTTTTTCTGTGTGAATGGAATCCCCATCAGGATCCTATTAAAGTTCTCTGGGGAATTTAGAAAGGTCTTGATTTCCATGCTGGGGGTGTAGCCATGCATACCCTGTCTATAGTGAAACGTACATAGTATTTTCCATGAAGGGAAGTGCCTGCAAACTATTCAAAGTATCAGGCCACAGGAGCGACCAGCCAGGACTGAGAAGGTGGTGTAGGATGGGATGTCCGCCTGCGATCCATCTCCATGCTGTCCTGTCCTCATGTCCCCATAGGAACAGTTATGGACATTGGACTTTTCCTTCTTACAGTCCCCCTCAGTTGTGGTGCTGTTGGCATTTTTGCAGGGACTGTTCGTTGTTAGGGGCTGTCTCACCCACTGAAGGGTAGACCTTGGTTAAGGTTAAGGATCCTTGAAGGTTTAGGATCCTTGGCTTTTACCTGCATTCAATTACCCACCCAGGTATTGCAGCAACCAGAAGTCCCGCACCAGCTTCTCGCCATCTCCCGTGGAGCAGACTGCTCTGGGCCTCTGTTACAGGACGGATTAGGAGTCAGGATTCTGGAGGTGGCTGCAGTCCTATGGCCAAGCCGGTACCTGTACCTCCAGGGATCCGCATTCTTAGGAGGGTTTTCTGAATGTAGGGAAAGAGAGCACCAGGGGACACTGCTCCTTCAGGGTCACCCACCAGCCCCTCATGGCTTCACTCAGCCAAGAAGCACATTGTATCTCCTTGGGGCCCTCTGGCATCTCCTCTGCCTTCATACTTGGTCCTGGGTTGCATGCATTTGGGATATGTTTTCACACCAGAGAGCTTGCTAGACAGAGCCCAAGGGGATGGAACTGAGTGAAGTGACCTATAGGCCTACTTCTGGCCAAATCTCAGGGCCCAGGTCCCCGGCACAGGTCTTTGCTGCGTGTGATTTCTGCCCCTTCATGGGGGACCAGGAGGCTCTGCAGTCTTTTGGACATTAAATGATGCTTGCAAAACAACAATGTGATGAGTTAGGAATGAATCAGAAGCAGACGAGGGACATTTAAAACCTCTTAGATTACAGTCCCACCAACAGTGTAAAAGTGTTCCTATTTCTCCACATCCTCTCCAGCACCTGTTGTTTCCTGACTTTTTAATGATCGCCATTCTAACTGGTGTGAGATGGTATCTCATTGTGGTTTTGATTTGCATTTCTCTGATGGCCAGTGATGATGAGCATTTTTTCATGTGTTTCTTGGCTGCATAAATGTCTTCTTTTGAGAAGTGTCTGTTCATGTCCTTCGCCCACTTTTTGATGGGGTTGTTTGTTTTTTTCTTGTAAATTTGTTTGAGTTCATTGTAGATTCTGGATATTAGCCCTAGTTCAACCATTGTGGAAGTCAGTGTGGCGATTCCTCAGGGATCTAGACCTAGAAATACCATTTGACCCAGCCATCCCATTACTGGATATATACCCAAATGACTATAAATCATGTTGCTATAAAGACACATGCACACGTATGTTTATTGCAGCATTATTCACAATAGCAAAGACTTGGAACCAACCCAAATGTCCAACAATGATAGACTGGATTAAGAAAATGTGGCACATATACATCATGGAATACTATGCAGCCATAAAAAATGATGAGTTCGTGTCCTTTGTAGGGACATGGATGAAATTGGAAATCATCATTCTCAGTAAACTATCACAAGAACAAAAAACTAAACACTGCATATTCTCACTCATAGGTGGGAATTGAACAGTGAGATCACATGGACACAGGAAGGGGAATATCACACTCTGGGGACTGTGGTGGGGTTGGGGGAGGGGGGAGGGATAGCATTGGGAGATATACCTAATGCTAGATGATGAGTTAGTGGGTGCAGCGCACCAGCATGGCACATGTATACATATGTAACTAACCTGCACAATGTGCACATGTACCCTAAAACTTTAATAAAAAAAAATAAATTAATTAAAAAAAACAAAAACAAAAAAAAAACCTCTTAGATACTCATTCCCTCATGCTCACGTTCCTCCCCAAAGAACCTCCTCCCTTCCCAGGGAGAGGGTCTTGGCCACATGTGTGGGAGGCTCTGCAAAGCCAGTGAGCTCTTCCACCCACAGCAGTCCCAGGGCCCTGACATTCCTCCTTCCCTTTCCTGGTTGCCAGACTTTCTAGAAGGAAGCCATGTATTCGGGCACTTCTGAAGGGCTGGGTGAAACTAGGCAACAGACTTCTGCACGTTACACTGGGAAAGCCAGTGTGTGGAGGTGCAGCGTGACCTGAACCAGTCCTGAGAGGCCAGGTGTCCACACTTGGCTGTGGGGCTTGGCTGGTGGGGGCAGGGCATGTAGCCTGGGTACAGGGAGGAGGGGGACTGCCCAGAGGCACTCACTCTTAATTTGGCTTTCTCTTCGGGTCTCATTATGTGTCACTTAATGTGAAAAGTCTGCTTTAGACTCCTATTCTAAATCACCTTAACCTTTCATCTTGCCCTGTGGTGCTCTTGGCTCCTATAGCACTGAAAACAATGTGTAATTCTATATTTATTTATATGTTTATTATCTGTCACCCCCAGTAGATGGTAAACTGCATGAGTTGGGGTCCTGTGCATTGCAAGTGCTGGCATCTTAGTAGCTGCAGAATGAATAAACAGTGGCAGTAGCATCCTCTCCGGCTGAGTTTTTAGAGTAGGAAGTAGGCAGAAGGTTTGGGGTCATCTTAGTTTGCTCAGGCTCCTATAACAAAATACCGCAGTGGGGGGACTACAAAGACGGAAATGTATTTCTCACAGACCTGGAGGCTGGGCAGCCCCAGGATCAAGGTGCCAGCAGATTTGGTGTCTGGTGAGGGCCTTCTTCCTGGCTCGTGGACATTTGTCTCCTCACTGTGTCCTCATATAGTGGAAGGGGCGAGGGAGCTCTCTGGAGTCTCTAAGAGTGTTAATCTCATTCGTGAGTGCTCTGCCCCATGACCTAATTGCCTACGAAAGCCCCTCCCCCAATATCATCACACTGGGGGCTAGGATTTCAGCATAGGAATTTGGGGGGACACATTCAGTCTGTCACCATGTACATGGACTGTGCAGTGGGAATTACCCTGATTTGAGGAGTGTTTAGGGAGGGGGAGGGCGAGCTGGACAGACCTGGGATGGCTCCGCGTAAACCGTGTCTGCAGCATCCTGGGAGCCTGCTTGAGATCCGGCCCTTCTAAGGAGCTCCAGGAGACTTACAACCCAGCCCTTGGAAGGAGATCCAGAGGGAAGAAGGCCAGTTGATGACTTATGAAATGTGGATTTGTATTTTCAGAAGTGCAGAGTAGTATTTTAAAAAAGCAGATGAGACTCTGAGGGTTGGGAGAATGGCAGAGCATGGGAAGTGGAGGCTGCTTCGGATCCGAGAGGAGGCACTGTGAGATGTGGAAAGAGCTTGGGCTTTGGAATGGAACCTGCATTTGATTCTAGATTTCACCGCTGAGTAGTTATGTAGCTTTTGGCCAAGTCACTTATCCAGTCTGAGACTCAGCATTTTTATCTGCAAAATGGGGCTAGTAACACTGCCCTCTTTGAGTTGTCATGAATATTCAATGAGATGATGTGTGTACCCACCTCCCTACCTACTCACTGTCCAATGAGTGTTTGTTCTTTGTTCCTTTTCTCTCTTGAATAGCCAGCGTGGCCAGTTTTAAATTTCTCTTGCTCTCCAATCTAGTCTAATTTATTCTGTCAGCTGTCACATCTACTAACTAGGTAGTCCATAGGTGCATATTATATGCATGTAATGGACCCATTGTTGTGTGAAGGGTGGTGAAGATTTAGGAGCACAGATTTATCCTGCAGACCATCTCCCACATGAATGTGTTCCTGGGAGAATACATTTTGGATTTTTAATACCCATGCTTCGTATTTTATACACATATTTTAATAAAATGATTTTAAGCTGCTGTTTATATAGGAAATTATATTTACAGCCTCCAAATGCAATATAACATTTTAGTGAAAAGTCTTGAGTTACATTTCAAGTACAGTTGATAGAATGTGGGAATCTCTTGTGGGTGTTGTGTAGAGCCCGTCGAGTGTCAATAAAGGGGACTTGCTTTGGGGATGTGTCTGGGCCCCAGGACCACATTCGAGGAGCATCTTTCCCTTCCCAAGGCAAGGCATCTTGGCTACATGTGTTGGAGGATTTGCAGAGCCAGGATTTGGGGGATAGACCAGGCTGCTTTCCCGACCCATGACACACCTGGACTCTTCCCTTCCCTTTTTCTGGCTGACAGTCTTCCTAGAAAGAGGTCATTTGTTTGGCCCCTCCATGGGGCTGTGTGAAGTCAGCTGACGGGCTTCTGCACATTAAGCGGAGAGGTCAGGAGCACGTTATATTCATTGTGATAGTTTGTGTGATAGTTCTACTATATAATAGACATTATGCTGTATTTTGTTACTTTTAGGAAATACATGATGAAGTGTTTTGGTTACATTTTAGGAAATTGGCTTTGAGTTGACATGTAATGCATTATAATTTTTCTTATTTAAAAGATGAGAAATAGGCCAGGTGCGGTGGCTCAAGCCTGTAATCCCAGTATTTTGGGAGGCTGAGGTGGGAGGCTCACTTGAGCTCAGGAGTTGGAGACCAGCCTGGGCAACATAGCAACACCTCGTCTCTACAAAAAAAAGTAAAAAAAATTAGTCAGGTGTGGTGGTGTGCACCTGTAGTCTCATTTATTCTGGAGGCTGACACAGGATGATTACTTGGGCCCAGGAAGTTGAGGCTGCAGTGAGCTGAGAGTTGAGATCGTGCCACTGTATTCCAGCTTGGGTGACAGAGCCAGACCCTGTCTCAAAAACAAAACAAACAAAAAAAACCATGAGAAATTGGCTAGCGTTTCCCACAGAACATCTGACTTTCGGGAAAGTCTTATTGATGTGTGCCTTTTTTACAAATGGTCCCTATCTTCAAGGCGTGGATAGTGTTTTTAGGGAGACAGAACAAACAATAAGAATGGAGCATTCATATAAGGAACATAACAAATAGCACAAGGAGGTACGCAGCCAAATTAGTGGACCTTTGAGGACGGCAGGGCTGGAGAGGATGGGTAGCAACCACATACGCCATGGCTCTTGGAATTTCAGACTTTAGCAGTTTCTCAATGAATGTTCCTTAAGTACCTGTCATGCACAGGTGCTGTGCCAAGTATAAAGTGATAAGCAAGGAAGCGGAAAACGTAGCATGATGCCCAGCCTGAACTTCTCTATGTCTAAGAGGAATGAGAAGACATTAAAAACACACAGCACAACATGATTCAAGGTAGAAAAGTTACAATGTGCTAAAAGAGAAGAACAGCTAGACAACGCACTGCTCAGAGAGGGGAGATGACGTGCACATCTGAGAGGTTGCTGTGGCTTTGGCTAGGACAGTTATCTTAGCTGAGATGGCCTTAAGGCAAGGTCTTGATGAGGGCTGCCCATGTTATTAACACCTGGCACTGCAGTGCCCGTTAGAGTGGATGCCGCCGGCTGAGGGAGCTGGCAGGCTCTGGAGCCCTCTGTCCCCTAGGCATAAATCTGCTATGCAGTGCATTGGAGGGAAGCTCCAGGGACCTAAGGAAGGATGTCTGGGTGGTGGGTGGCATTTGAGGGACTCAGGGCACTGATATTTACCAACCCATACAGTGTTTTACTGTTTAATGACCAGTATGTTTTACCATGCACAGTAGCTGAAGATCAGCCCAAATTGGACCCCAGGGGTAGGTAAGCTAATGAAGCCAGAGGTGTAGGCTATCCATCCTCTTTTGTCCCAATCCAGGAAATGTATTTTACCCAATAACAACAGTCCTGTGTTCTTGGAGGGTGTTCCACCTGGCGTAACCTAAGGGTCTAACTTAGGGTTTAAGTACCCTACATTGAAATAATAGAGAAACCTGTGACCTGACCACTCTAATGATTCTAATCAAAGTGCTCCAGCACTGTGATCCCTGCCCCAGACCCCTGGGCCTCACCCCCATCCAGTAAATAGAGGGTTTGTGCATGGCAAAGCTGAGGGCCGCAGAGCCCCGCGCCAGCTCTCCCGGCCAGCAGCGTCCATGCTGATGGTGGTGTTTGTGCAGCACCTGGTATGAAATCTTGTAGCTATCACCCCCCTGGTTCCCATGCCTGCCACTTCTATCAGTAAGACGCAGCGAGTCACACAGTACCACAGTGAAGTCTTGGTTTTGGATGAGGTATGTGATTATAAGAATTTGTTTTTATAAAAACAATAATCATCCTAAAAACCTGTGTAAGCCTCCCCTCTGCAAACCAGTATGGTCTGAAAGAAAACCAAGTAAAACAAACACCAACAATCCTTATGAACAAAGGAGTGGGAAGGGGTATGTTCGACGGTTGTAATAGTAAGAAACTCACGGGGAGGAGTCATAGTGTGCTTGAAGTTTGGTGGCTCTCTGAAGACAAATGGCGCTCCATCTGTGTGAAAGGGAGCGAGGGAGTGGGGGAGGCACGCCCGTGGCTGCTCTGTAGCTGGGGTGCTGTTTCATAAGGTGGTTCACTGACTGGTACCACCGTCACACAGCGCCCTATTACCAGTTGTTTACCCAAGAATAAAGAATCCGAATTATATTTTAGAAATACAATTTAGGGAGCTGAAGTTTAAAATAACTATCTTGAGCTTCAGAAAGCTCATCTCTGGAAAATATTCACAGAGGGATATTTGTACTTCCAAGGGAATCTGATGGGGCAAGAAGCAAGTCAGATTTCTCTACTTTTCAGTTAATGGACTCCTTAAAGATTATGTTCGTATTCCTTTAAAATAGTAATTGCTTTGTTTCCTCAAGAGCCAAGATCCATCCAGTCCCTAAATCAAATTCTCAACTAAAATCAGAAGGTTTAAGATACAGTTATTTTAAGTGCTGCATACTCTTAAAAATGTGTGTCTGGTTATGTTGTGTATATAAGTGGCTCATATCAGAGATGCAGCAAGTCAAGCTATATAAAATTCAGTAACACATGCCAGAGAAGGAAGGAGGGAAGAGAGAGAGATTGAAAGAGAGAAAGAGATGCTTATCCTTTTCTCCAGGAGAGGCTCGAATTTTACTTTCAACTTGTTTCTAAAAATGGCAGATGCAAAGTAAGAAAACAAATGTATCTGTTGCAGGAAGGAAGGAAGGACAGAGAGGGGAATCTGATCTTCAGCCTGATGTGATATGTTTTTATCTGAATGCTTTTGCAATAGAACATCTGGGAGGCAAGTGAGAATTGGGGTATGCCTATGTTTCAACAGTTTCATTAGGGTCACAGACCTTTATTTCCCAGGGCTGTGATAGAAAATATGAACTCTTCCATAGTTGGGAGTTGAGGAAGGGGTAGGCTGAAACAGTGGCATCTGTAACAGTGCATGCCATCAGTGGGATGTGATGATAGTGCTTATCACAATAGCTTTAAGACTTATGCCCTCTTTCTTTGGAAGCATTTAAATAGCTAGCCTTGTTTCTCTTTCCTAGGAGGAAGCCTGGGATTGATGTTGGTACCTCCAACCTGAAGTCTGGGAAATTGGTGGGGGGTTTGTTGACTCAAGTTTATAAGTGGATTTTTAACCCAGTTCACGTGGTGCTTGTGCTGACACTGACATTTTGTGCTGCATGATCTGGAAGTTGAGGCAAACATTATCAATGTTAGACTGGCAGAATCTGAGAGGACAGGGTCCCAGTTTCAAAGTTTAGAAACATTTCATTGATCAAAGTGTATTAGAGAAAAAAGCATTAAGTTAATTTTTTCATTCAGTCATTCAGTCATGCAACATACCTTTCTTGATCATCTGCCAGGACCCCAGCACATTTCTGGAGGCTGTATTTGGGGGCAGATTGAAGCTAGGTGCAGTATCATCTCCTCTCTGGTAACTCCTTTCCAATTGAATCTGCAGCTATAACTGGTATTTTGTGCCACAGAGAAGGAAGAAAGTATACAGGTGGGCAAGCTGGGATTATGTGTATCAAGATGGTTATAGTAATGGAGGAACTATCTCTTGGGATGCATTTTAGCAGAAAGGAACATAAAGCATTCAAAAGAGTTCTATTCTCTAGTTAGTGTCAGGACTGACTTTTCTTTGTTCTGTGGTCAAGGAAGGCCCTACTGAAAACCCAGGAATCAAGGTGGGTGTTTGCATGAAGGTCCCTTCAGCGTCAGCAATGAGAGCAGTAAATCAGGCAGAGCTCCCTGAATTAGGAGTCCTCCCAGGCAGTCAGGTCAAGGTCAGATTTAATTTGGGATTTTGTAGTTTACAGGATGCTACCCACTTTCTTACACCTCACAGTAACCATGTTCCAGCAGCTTATTGGATTGGTCCAGGCTGTGCCTGGTGGTGAGAACGTCAGGTTTTGTGGGCACATGGCTTCACCAGGAGAGGTCTGGGGTGTCTCATGTTGGTAGAGAAGGAGTATGTCCGTGGACTCTAACTTCTCTAGAGGCAATGCCAAAGGCAAACTGGATAGCTGTTGCTGCTGTAGTTTTGTAAATCTATGACCCTCTGTTGAGGCCTCTTTAACTCTAGCAGCCTTATGCATCTTTATGATTAATTCAGTAGGACCCCACCAGCAGACTCTCCTTCTTCTAAGAGTGTAAAGTCATTCATGCAGGTTTGGCCTTGCTTGGAGGTTAGGGCTTGGGGGGACATGAGCAGGGCTTGCCCTCAAATTCCCAGTCATTTGGCTCCTCCTTTCTTTCACCTGTTACTCTTTCTGCTGCTTTTTTTTTTTTTTTTTTTTTGAGACAGAGTCTTGCTCTTTTCTCCCAGGCTAGAGTGCAATGGCATGGTCTCGGCTCACTGCAACCTCCGCCTTCCAGGTTCAAGCGATTCTCCTGCCTCAGCCTCCCGAGTAGCTGGGACTCCAGGCGCCCACCACCACTCCCGGCTAATTTTTTTGTATTTTTAGTAGAGATGGGGTTTCACCATGTTGGCCAGGCTGGTCTTGAACTCCTGACCTCAGGTGATCCACCCGCCTCAGCCTCCCAACGTGCTGGGATTATAGGCATGAGCCACCGCGCCCGGCCTCTTTCTGCTACCTTTACGTTATTTACACAAGCTTGGAGGCCTAGAGGCAGGAGCTGGTATTTGGATCAATGGCTGGGTAATCCAGAGCAGTTAAAGAACCAAGAAATTATTAATATTTTGTTCCAGGTTATATGTTTTTATGGGGTGATGGTGAAACAAAGAATGAATTTTGTTTCCTAAATGTGTGTTTCTTGCACTGATAGCAAAATTAGCCACTGTTTACATTTCCTGAGCACTCATCAGCCTGTGGTAGAGAGAACTCAAAGGTAAGTGTGGTTGCAAGGAAAGAAACCGGGAATCCAGTGGTTGCCGCTAGCTTCATTCAATGTATAGATCCAGATTATTACATATTATCTGAATTAAACAATTTTACTTTAGAGAGATCATGCAGGTTCTGTGTTTGAGGAAATCTTACGGTTGCTTATAAAGGAAATCATTGCCCCAAAATTCTGGATTTCAACTAATCTGATCTGCTTAAAGCATGACACCTGCATACTTGCTAACTTATTTTTTGAGAATAGAGAGTTAGATCAGGAATAGGATTCAGTCCTTAGAATGCAGAGCTTATAATTTTAGAAAGGTATGTATTTTATTTAGGCCAGGTATTTTTACTGTTAATATATTTACTGTTTTATCTAGAATGTTGACTCTGTTATGATTGAGTCAGTTGCCCCTTCCCCACTTCCTCTTTCCTCTGTGTATTTATTGCACACTGACTAAGTGTCTGGTGTGACAGCAGGTGCTGCGGTCATGAGGGTGACTAGTTAGACATGGTTTCTGCCTTCATGGAGCTTACAGTCTGGTGGGAGGGATGGACAAAGGAAGCACAGAACTGGACACCATGCATTTTCTCCTCTGACATCAGAGCCAAACTGGAAGATCCTGAAAATAATTCTATTGCATGTCCCTTGGAGATATTAACACATTGCTCAGTGATGTTGATTGTTAAAATATCCTCTTGTTTGGAATTGTTATCACAGTGGCTCCTCTGGCGGTAGCATGCTTATAAAAGCAACCAGGAACTGCCCATGTGCCCAGTCTAGGCTCCTGACTCCCACAGATGCCTCTGGGGCTGGGGCCCGGCTAAATATTTTCCAGGAGAAAAGTCAGTCAGGAGCCAGCGCCTGCCATTTCCCATTCTTTCAGAGCCAAGGAGCTGGACGGGCATCTGACAGCCTGGAAGGGCCCTGCTCCAATCTGGAACTGAGGTTAACGCTTCAGGTCAGCTACTTCCTAAGGGAAGGAAAAATCCCTCCCAGGGATTTTTTTACTTTGAGCTTTCTCTGGTGCTGCTTGTTGCTGGCCTTCAGATTTTGGCCACCACTATCTTCGGGTACTATTTTCTCTGCCTCCCTTGGAGAGGTGACCTTCCCCTTCTGTGCAGGGCCCTGTCTGTCCCATGTGGTCTTCCAGGGCTGGGGTGAGGAGGAGGCGGCGAGATTATTGCCTGTTACACATGGACATCTAGACGGGGGAAGAAACATAACAGCTTTATTTTTAGGCTTTGCTAATTCTCACTCTTCTCCTAGTTCGCTGCTACCTGGCAACAGCTTATTGTCATGGCAACACCGATGTTAATGAGTGAAACTCTCAGTGTGTCTGCTCTCCTGGTGCTCTGACAGACACCGTGTGGAGCTATCTTTCTGGCCATCAGAGGCTAAACGCTAGGCTTCCTTCCCCTCTGCAGGCCTCCCAGGCCCCGGGCCCCGTCCACAGAGGGAAGGCACGGAGGCAGCGTTGACAAGGGATTTATGGCTCTGCTTACACATTCCCAGCTTCTCCTCTCTTCACGGATGGGCTGCTGCTCTCGCACTGCCCCTCCTCCCGCAGTCCATCCGTCCACATTTTTAAGCGGTAGCTGTAGCCCATTTTCTCATGTCTAGGGCACCTCAAGATTTGAGCCGGTTTTTACAGCACCTTCTCTGCAGTTGATCAGCAGGGCTGAATCGCGAGTTTGGGAGAGGAGATTTGTGGCTGGAACTGGCGCTCACATTGGGGAGGGAAGACCTGCACCTTCAGCTCTTAGGCTGAGAGTCAGTAACACCACCATAGCTTCTTGTCTTGCTTCTCTGACATCTGTCCCTCAAGGGTGCCTTTGCAGCATTACAATAATTGTGAGGAAGAGCAGGCAGAGTCTGCTCCAGCCTCCTTGTGCCTCAGTTTGTCCATCTCTAAAGCAGCGCATATCTGAAATTGGATGGTCCTTAAGTTGGCGCTGCTGAGGAGGGGTTCATGTGAAGTGCTCTGGGCTCCTGCTCACCATTTCTATGATGTGGGTAACTTGCTCGACCCCTCTGTGACTCCACTTCTCACTTGTAAATAAGGATAGTAATAGTACCTACCTCAGAGTGTCATTGCAGGACTCCAACCAGATACATATGTGTCCGGGGCTTATAATAAAATCATGGTTCAATAAATCTTAGTTCTTACTACGTGTGGTCATTATTCAGTCTTCACACTGATCTCGTGAACTAGGACTATTATTCTTGAATTACAAAGAAGGAAACTGAAGCATGGAGAGGTTGAGCAACTGCCAAGGTCGCTGGAAGCAACATGAAGCCTAGGCGTGCCCTGAGTCACCACACTGCACATTGCAAGGTGAGCCTGAAGGGGATGGCCCTGTATGCCCTCAGTGACTTCTCCCTGCTCCGGGGAGGTGGGCCCGGGACCCCAGGAGTGTGCCTGAGGACCTTGCACTCCTTGGATAAGAGGTGTCACCGCCAGCCCCCTTCCTGTCTTCCCTGTAGGCCCAGCACTCATTCACAGGCAGACACTTCTAGTTAGCGCACATGGTTGATGGACATGTGAGGTTCCTTTGACCCCATCCCTTCTAGTCTATGCTTCTGCTTCTTTATCTAGAAAATGTGCAGCCATGTCTCATCCCCGCCAAAAGAGGTACTCAAGAAGAGAGAAGAGGAGTGTTCAGTGTCTTCTCCCCACGTCCCCTTTCCCCCAGCGAGGCACAGGGGCTCTCTCTGGGTTTGGACTGGAGCACCTCATGGGTGTGAAGTCGGGAGGAGCCGGAGGCAGTGAGGACCTGCATTGCAGCGGGTGTGTCGGAGGGCTCAGCAAACGTGTGCTGCATGAGATGGGGAAACGAAGCCATGTTTGCCGGCATATCTGGGGTTCCCTGGTCACTGAGACATCAGAGACATGTCAATCTGAGTCCCTTTGCTTGGATTTAATCTGCTATTTGTGGGTGTTCTGTTGCATTCAGTGGGGCTTCAGTCTTCATTTTCCTTGTCCTTTGCACTTCCTCATCATTCCCTTTCTGCGAGCTTGCCCACTTGCTAGGATGGATCCTGGTCAGTGGATCAGGTGGTGGTGCTGAGGGCTCTGTTACCCTGATGGCTTGCCAGCTTGCAGGGCCCAGCATGCCTGTGAGGGCAAAAGGGTTCTGAGTGGGGCCTGTTCCTCTGGGTGGGATGCGCTCTCCCTCCTCCTAGGCTTGGTTCCTCTCCTTCCTCGGGGCCTGATTCCTCCAGCTCATGCTCTGTCTTTCCTCAGAGCTCCTACCACAGTCCCTGTCCCCCACACCGTTAACACTTTTACATCAGCATTGCACATGGACATAAAGGGGCACTGCAGCCAGTCCCCTGTGGAGGATCAGGATGTCCCAGCCCTTCAGGGACAGGCTCCAGGGTAGGCCTGGCAGAGGGAAGGACCATGTTCTCTCCCAAACAGGCCAGTCCTTGGAGCTGCTGCCATGGCTTCAGCTTCCAGTACCCTGTTTGGAGGGCTCTTTGCAAAGAGGCAGAAGAGCCCCAAGGTGAGTTGAAGGGCCCTGGAGCCCCAGGCCTGCCTGCCTGGGGAGCAGCTGATGGCGAATCTGTGTCCTAGAACACGCCCTGCTGCCACCAGTGTGACATCAGCCGTGGTTGTGAAATTTCTGACAAAGATGCTGGGAACTCATCCTGTTCTCGAAGTCACCATGCCGCCCATCAGTTGACATGCTCTGTTGTCAAGAACACAAGAACCAGAGAGAAAGCACACTCAGCAGAGATGTGTCCTAGGGTGTTAGAGGAAGGAACCCCATCACAAAAGAAAATTAGCAAAGACAGAACTGGGCAAAACCACCAGAGGTCCCTGGGGCACGCCAATTAACTAGCTGGGAGTCTTGGGCAAGAGCGAGGGGAGGCCAGGGCTTAGGGATGAAATGTGAGGATGGGGAGGGGCCTCTTGAGCTGGCTCAGTGCCTCAGTCGGGCACTGGATATGGACTGGGACCACATCTTCTGGCCCCTCTTATTGTCCCTACTGCCTTGAAAGGACTAGATTATAATTACCTGAAGGACTGAGTAGGCCTAGAAATACTTCCCTAACTGCTTACTCATATCAACATTCCTTCCAAGAAAGAAGCAGGCACGCAGTCCACAATTAGAGATAAAAGGCTTCAACTGGAGGAGGTAAGGCCGTGGAGCGAATGTTTCAGTTGGAATGCAATCAGTCAAACAACTAGGGCAATTGACTGGTTATCAAACCCTCCTGGGTTTTGATGGGAGGAAAGAAGAGGAATTACTCATAAGGCAGAGTTTTCTTAAATAAAGAGAAGGGCCCCCCAGAAGAAGAGGCTTCAGGACACTGATTCTTACTCTTGTCTGTACAGTAGAATAATCTGGGCAGCCTTTTAAAAATACTCAATTCCTCTGCCTCAACTCAGAGGAGTTCTGATTCAGTGGCCTTCATAGGGCTGGGACATCAGTATTTTTTGAAAGCACCCCCAGGTGATTCTAATAGGCAGCCAGGGTTGAGAACCACTGGTTTAGAGGTGTTTAAAGACAGAAGGCAAAATGTGTAGACTCCAGCACAGAATTTGCTGTTTTCCAGGCTGAGACCAATAGAAAGCATATCCTGATTTTAATTCACAGCGGCACATTCTAAAAGTATACTCCAGGATTTAAAAAGTCTAGGGGCTTTTGGAAATATTTGTTTGCCCATGTTCATATCAACATTATTTGTAATGGCCAAAAAGCAGATGCAATCCAAGTATTCATTCGTGGATAAATGGATAAACAGGATGTGGTATATACATACAGTGGAATATCATTCGGCCTTAAAAAGGAAGGAGATCCTGATACATGCTACAACATGGATGAACCTTGAGAACATTATGCTAAATAAAATAAGCCAGACACAAAAGGAGAAATATGGTATGATTCCACTTATGTGAGGTACCCAGAATAGACAAATTTATAGAGACAGAAGTAGAATGGTGGTTGCCAGGGGCTGGTGCAGGGGGAAGTGCGGAGCTGTTGTTTAATGGGTTCAGGATTTCAGATTTTCAGGAATAGCAAAGTGTTCTGGAGATGGATGGAGGTGATGGTTAAACAACAATGTAAATGTTTTTAATGCTACTAAATTGTACACTTAAAAATGGTTAAGATTGTAAAATTTATGTTACATGTATATATTTTACCACAACCTAAAAAATTAATTTCAGATTAATAAGAATCATCTATTTTAATATTTGAGAAAAACAGAAATGTATAAAGGAGAAAATTTCAAAATTACCACTTGATATCTAGATGTATTCTTTCTCTGCATGTGCTTAATCATGCAAATACATACACACATTGAATCTTACTTTCTATGATGGCTTGCAGTCTGGGTTTTCATTTGTACTTGATTTGGTTTAATCCTTATTTCTTGACAGAGATGGTTCCATCTCAAGGGTGGAGTAAGTGAGGTGACATAGTAGGTGGGCATCCTAACATATCCGTATATTCAGCTTTGGAATCAGACACTACTGGGTTCAAATTTGCACCTGTCATGTTCACGATCGGTGTGACCTTGGGCCTCATTCTGAGCCTAAGTGTCCTTATTTCAGACTTGTTTGGGAAGTTAAAGATAACTTAGGTGCCAGGTCCCTGCTCAGGCCGTCGGGAAATGGGAGCTGTAACTGCAGAGTCACCGGAGACTTCCACGGACACTTTTACGTACTTGAGATAGATATTCAGTCTCCACTTCTACCCGTCTAACTTAGGAGAGAGCTTCGGAGAAGCCCTGATCTGAGATTCAGGAAGTCGCCAGGGCTGCCACATGGTGCTGTGACCTTGGCAACACCAGATTCTTTCTCGGTCTCTGTTACTACATTTACAAAGTGAACACATTGGGTTTTGGGGTCTCTGGGCTCCTCCCACGTCCCTACTCTAGCATCCTTTGCCTCTCCGTAGCCTCTCACTCCCTGAGATGCAGGGCCCTCAGTGGATGTCCAGTAAATGTTTATTGACAACGCGTCTCCTGCAGGTTAATCATCAACAACATGCAACAATATCCCAGATATGACCGGCTCCCTCCAAAGAGAGAAACCTGCTTTATGGCAAACTCATTGACTTTTCTTCAGGAAGAAAATTTCTGCTGGTGCAGCACCATATTCTGCAGGAGTTTGGATAGGGTGTGCTGGAAAGACAGGGATATTTTTCCCTAAAGGCAGTGCATAGGGGCAGAGGGGCAAAACTCCCTTTTTTATTCCTGTAGTGCTTGTACTGGGGCAGAGGAAGCAGATGCATTACCAAGAGCGTGGAAAGAAGTCCTACGTCCAGCCTAGAGCTCAGCGCATCTTTCAGCTGCCAAATGGAAGGTCTCTCTGTGGCAATGCTGGGGAGGGAAATTGAGTTAGGATGGCTTGTTCCAAATAAAATGCTATATTTAATTTCACTCTGGGAAACATTTGATGTCCGGGCTACTGTAATACGTGAAATAGATTTAAGAAGATCCTTTTTTTGTTAGAACAACAGAAAATACAAAACAGGGAGGTTCTCAGATCAGTTGCAGGTTGCACGTAGGGGTCTGATCATTTCAGTGTGGTTTTTAAGCATCTGGCAGCTGCTGGCCAACGGTTGACTAGTCAGTATCTAGCAGCCTGAGTGTCACTGTATGCGTTGAATCTGTCTCAGTAGTTCAGCCTCTGAAATGCCTTTCAAGTTAAGCCAAGGCATTCGGCACAGGAATGGGAAACTGTCAGTTTGTAAATCTGGGATGTGTATTTGTGTGCTTGACATGTGGAAGGGAAGGGTTGAGTATGAACCAATGCTGAGTTAGATCAACAAATATGTATCTGACTATATGATCTAAAAATCAGCCAGGTAGAGTTCCATCTCCAGAACTGCTGTCCCTTTTATGATGGTCATAAGCGCCATGGCTGCTGGACGCTTCTCTCCCTTTGTGGAGCTCTGCCCTGGTGCATTTCTGGGCTAACTGGCCATGCAGGGATTTGGGGAAGGAGCTCACAGACCTACTTTACTTTTCACATTGTTCCTATCCCTTCAGGCTTCTGCCTGTTTCCTTCTTGACTCCTGTTACTTTTTAGTGTGAGGTCAGAAAAAGCTCTTCTCCCCTCTTCTGCCTTCATTCATTTACCATTCAGAGGACCTCACTGAAGTGGAGAGACCAACAGATAGGGCTGCCAACTCAACCCTGGAAATGCTCTTTTCTTATTTTACCTGGCCATCTAGAAACCAAGTGTTTTATTTTTTTGTCCATTTATTTAAAAAAACTACAGAATGAAGTATTTTTGGGGACTGTGCCACTCTTTCGGGCTGTAAGTAGAAAAGAACAAATATATCCTTGTCCAGCTTTTCCTGTTAGACCCTCAGAGGAAGAAGCTCCAGCCCGTAACCTGTGAGGCTTTATTCCTTGGTGATGATGTGAATTAGAGAGAAAAGCTAATCTTTTTGAATGACTATGAAAGTTTCTCTGTGGAGCATCTGAAACCCTGGAAACACTTGCTTTCACGAACACTGAGTGCACCCTTATATGTGGAAAGAATTTCAGAGGCCAGGTATCAGGAGAGGCCCTGGGAGAGTAAGGAAATACAAGCAGCCTTTTGGCCTGGGATCTGGAGGCCTGGAGTCTGGAGGCCTGGTGACCTAGGCAGTGGAGGGCCCAGGAGGGAGGCTTTCCTTGAAGAGCACTCTATGATGTTGGTTCAGCTCTCTGACATTGAATTTGTCATGAGAACCCAAGCTGCTTTCCATGATAGAAAGGATTTCCTCCTCCTCAGATGCTGAGGGAAATGGTTCTTTGCATCCTGCATCCAGAATCAGCACAAGACGGTGGAAGTGGTCAGGGACCAGCATCTGGGCTCCCCTGTTCTCCAACTGGCAGTGCTGTGGGGTCCCTGGGCAATTGTACAGAAAGCATGTATATAGAGTCAGATAGATATGTGCTGGAATACTGACACAATTCAAAGCTCCCTCTGCTCAACTCCTTTGAGCTGAGCTTAATCCATAGCTCTCTGAACCTCAGTTTCATTATCTGTAAGAGTGGGAATGATGATACTGCAGAGTTGTGAGGCCTGTGCATGCTAACGCATGTGATACACCAGCTACAGTGCTGGCTCCCTGGTAAGGCTCAGGCATGGGGAACTGGTACAAGCATTACCTCTGCCCTCCCATGAGACAGGGGGTGCTGATATTTGGTGTGAAGAGGTGCTGACACTAGATGTGAAGGGGTGCTGATACTAGGTGTGAAGGGGTGCTGATACTAGGTGTGAAGGGGTGCTGATACTAGGTTGGGTTCTCCTAGATCAGTCTGATGTAGGAGAGCCATCTTCAGCTGGAGCTTTGGGATCTGTAGTTACTGACCAGTCTTGACTCACCATTGTTTGTGGTGTCTCTTGTCTTTTTTCACTTGTTTCCGGAAGGCAGCTGGTGGTAAGTTTTACATTAGTTTTAGCTTGAGTATTATGCTTGGTTAGCGCAATACTAAAATTATTTCCTTTTTCCTGTGCATTCATCTATTCAACATGTATTTATCGAGGATGAACTATATGCGAGGCACTTTGACAGGCACTGATGATGCTGTGCTTGGCGCTGAGCGAGAGTTTACATTCTCTGTGCATATGAGGGCAAGAAGAGAAGAGAGAGAAAATTTAAGATGTAAGCAAATAAATGAGAGAGCTTCATATTATGGTAGGTGCTATGAAAAAGAAATCAAAGAGAAACAAGCAGAGTTTTGTGGTAACATGACTGTGGGTGGGGGTTACTTTAAGCTGTTGGTCAGGGAGGTCCCCTCTGGGACCTGGAAGACAAGAAGGAGCTAGGCTTGCAAAGAAAGAGAGGAAGAGCCTTCCGGGGGATGGCATAGCAAGTACAAAGGCCCAGAGGCAGGACAACCTTGGCATGTGTCAGAAACAGAAGAGCAAGGCTGGCACACAGTGAATGACCAGGCGGGTGCAGGTGAACTGGTCAAAGGGTTGGCGGTGTGGGGAGAGGGAGTGCTAGATCATGACTGGTAGGGAGGGTGACGTGTCTTTTTTATTTTTAGAATACCATCATTCTGCCTGTGGATTAGAAAAGGGAGTTGGGAGGGAATGAGAAACTGGTTGGGAGGCCAGTTGGGTAGGAGAATAGAGGCTGGGACCAGGTGCCAGCAGTGGAGGTGAGATGAATGGACAGAATTTGGCCAGTGGGATGAATGCAAGTGCCTGGGAGGCAGAGTTGCCAGGGCCTGCTGGGCAGTTGGGCAAGGAGGCCTCAAAGGATGCCAGGCAGTTTGTTCAGAATAAACATCAACAGTGAAAGTCTTGTCAAGAGTGTTGGGAAGTTGGACATTTTTAGATACAGCTGATGGCAGTGCAGAAGTTCCACTCACCTTGGAGGGTCATTTGACAAAATGTTCAAAGGCTTCAAAATGCTCATTTCTTTTGGTTCAGCAAGTCCATAGGATTTTATCCTACAGAAACAGTCAGAAATACACAAGGATTACTTACAAGTGTGTTCATTGTAGTCTTATTTGTAATGGAGCTAAACCTGGGATAATTTCTCTCCTCTATTAATCACCAGAGGGCTGGGTAACTAAGTTAGGATGCGTCCATATGATGGAACACCATGTAGCCATTCAAATGATAACCTAGAAGGACAGTTAATGGCACATAAAGATGTTCAACTGCACTGCTAAATGAACAAACATAGAAAGTTATCTACAATATGATCCCAAATTTTATAAGATATATAACCTCTATTTACATCTCATATGAGTGTAGACAGGATATACTATACCCTGGAAGGTATAATAGGTATACATTAGAGTGTTAATGATAAGCCAATTCAGGGAACAAAATTACAAATTATTTTATTTCATTCTCTATTTATGATTCTTCTAAATTTTCTAACATAAACATTTGAAATAAAAACTTAAAAAAAGCCCTGTTATTTGAAAAAACTTGTGATGTCTTACCATGTCCAAGTATAAACTGAAAAGTGAATAAATCAGTGGGCTGGTGGCCCTTCTTAATACACTGCCATACATAGGACAACCATTTGTATTCAGAAAGTTTGTGTTGAGTAAGTCACTGGATTTGAGTCAGAAGACTTGGAGTTGGAGTCCCAGCTCAGCCATTCACTGGCTTTGTGATCTTGAACACGACGCTTAACCTCTAATGCACAGACTCTTGGCTGCTTCAATTTGCAGTGGGAATGAATGGTGATAACAAGAACAAGAATAATGCTTTCACGGAGTTGTGAGGATTCAGTGATAGGGAATTAGAAAATATTTTGTAAGAGGAAAACCACAATGTAAATATTAATATTTCAGGGCCCAAGTCTTTGACATGGACGTGACTATGGGCACCAATAGATTTTTGGATGGATCATTTATGGTACCCTGTCGTGCCCTTTAGTACACCTTTGCCTGGTGTACATCTCATGCAACCAAATGGCCAGCTCACGTCTGATCCCAAGCCCTGAATTAAGTGAGCAATCTGAACATGAGGGACAATGAGTTGTCCTGAGTGGCAGGCGGCTCTCAAGTGAGGAGTGCTTTCTCATTCACTGGAAAACTGTAAGTGAAATGCTGCTTCAGCAGCCACACCCAGAGCCCCTTTGATACATGGTTCAGCTGTTCTGTTACATAAACCTATTGGAAATGAACCTGCAAAGGAGTTGAGCAGAGGGAGGTGCCCATTGGAATAAGGACAAAGGAGAAATGCACTACCTCTCCATTTAAAGGAGACATTTGCTTTTTAATGGACCCTAAACACTGGGATCTGAAATGTCACAATCTTTACATACTGGAATGGACACGCACATAAATGCTGATGAACAGCTCAGCAGGCACTTAATTTTTAAATCCTTGATTGTTCAAGGACAGGGATATCCTACTTGGCTCTGCAAGACTCATAGCATACTGGACAATGTTGTCTGCATCGGAATGTCTTACTGGGGAGTCACACCTCCAAAAAGAAGCTGTGTGGTGAATGGGTCCAAACATAAGGGTTTGAGCCCCTGTTTTCAGCTGGGATTTTTGGGTAAAGGGAGATGAAGCAGCCAGGTCTAACCAACTGCAGAGGTTTATTTCTTGGGGACTCCCAGCTCCATTGAGGTGTAGAAAATATAGCACATACCAGTTACCAACAAGGATACCTGTTCCTGGATGGAACTGCCTGGTTGGAAAGAATGCTGGTGGTCAGTAGTGCCTTCTGATCCTAAGAAGAGGACCCTAACCTGGCCATTTTGAATAAGGGCCCCATAGCTGCTGATTAAGTGTGTCAATAGTGGGTTCCTTGTGATGTAACATTCATCGTCCTTCCTGTGGTGGATGACCCTACAGACCCACCTGCTGATAAGCTAAGCTGCTTGCTTAAGGCCATAAAGCTACAGAGGTATTAATCTAGAGTTTGAATCGGATCTCTCTGACTCTAAGACTCCTGCTCTGAAGTCCTCCATTATCCTTCCTCTTATAGAGTTGTTTTGCCAGTGCTATTGGATTTGAATTCAATTGTACCCTACGTACATTAGAATGAAAATGTTATACATCGTAGAAAATGAATAAATCATGGTTCCATCCCTCAAGAAACTTATATGTATTATTATTTAAGAGTTTGAAGTGCATAGCAAGAGCTCAATAAATAATTATTGAGTAAATGATAATACACAAATATATTCTAGTTTATTTATAGATATCCATAACCCCAATCAGATTATGATGCATCTCATAAAAGGTGCACACACAAAATCCCATCGGAGTTTAAAGACGGGAGAGAATACCTCTGGAGAAATCAGGAAAATAAAAGTTGGATGTATCATTTGAGATGGGTCTTAAAGACCTGTAAACACTCTGACAGGTAGAGATGGTGAGGCTTGGTTCCCACCCTGAACCTCCTGCCTGCTGATTGGTTCCTGCAGTAGACCCTAGGTGCCCTGGTTTGTTTCTGCTTTGTAATTCCACTTCTTAATGATATCAACAACTGGGAGCTGGGAAATGAAGTTTTTATTCTGATAAACCTGACTTGCCACAAGAGGCCTACAAGAGAAAGTATGATTTCTGGTCTCCTCTCCACCGTCTCCGATATGCAAACGAGTCACACATCTGTATCTTCATTCTAGAGCTCTCTTTTGAACTGCTAATCCCCCTGGCGGAGCCTCTGATCCTGGTTATCCAGCATTCTTCTAGATTTAAGGTTGAAACATGATTTAAGGTCATGAATGCATGACCTTCCCAGACTCCCTTGTACATGAGCTCCCACATTCCCAGCCCCTGTTCTGCTCCACCCCTTGTGGTGATAGCCAGGGTGGTCAGCTGCATTGCATGTTAGTAGTAAGGGAAGAATGGGGTGGTGGGTCCAGAGTTGTGTGTTATAAGATGACTTTGGAGGTCAGGCTGTTGTTTTGGCTCACTTTGGGATTTTGGGGAGTAGCTTACTTTGCCATCAATTTCCTGATGAAGAAAAGGCAACTTAGCATTCTTCGTATAAGTAAACAGGTCAGTGTTGGAGATAATTACATCATGAAGCACCGTGGGTCCCAGAGGTGGGAGGCCTCATGTAAGTACTACTGTGCTATTGCCATCATTGTCTGGAGGGGATGATAATGTCGTATTTGCTTGCAAAATGGTTTTCTGATGTTGGGTTGAAAGAGACGGTTATGTACCTTAGCCAACTGTTAGGGCTGTTTTTCTTCTAGCACAATTTATAAAGTGATTTTTGTCACACCCAAATTTTTGCAGGACCGCAGAACTCAGACATTTAAGGTTGTGGCTTTTCAGAATGGATGAATAAACGTTCGCACTCTAAACTTAAGAGTGTGAAGGCTTGTCAAGGCTCCATTTCTGGTTTGCTTTCTGATCTCATGCAAGTCACTTCACCTCTCTGCTTTTTGTTTTTCCATCTGTGAGACATTGCTCACTTTGCCAGGATATCTTCAATATGAAGAAGATAATGTGTGGAACGCTGTCAGCTGCTGCATCATTAAAAAGCATTTATTCAGCACTTATGTAGCATTGCACAAAGAGAATTATAAAGACTAGATCCCTGCCTTGTCTGCTAGGTTATATTCTAATATCTTCTTAAAAAGGCAGAAACTAGGCAACTAAAGAGAGCAATAATTCAAATGTTATCTTTTAAGCTACACAAATAACAGTAGCATAAATAATTAACAAGCACCAATACGCAAAGAAATCAGTTATCAAGAATACACAGAAATAGTTATCAAAAATACATAGATAAAATTATCAGAAATTTCTCAACTTTCTGGAGCCAAGTCATGCAAGAACCTGGTTTTATGTAAATGAAATTGCGATACTGCCCCCTGGAACCTGAGCAAGAAGAAGATCCTAGTGGGCGGAGTGGGGAGGGAAAGTGTTCTGGAGAGTTTTACTTGGGATTCTGGTATTTGGGTTTCTGTCACTGTCTCTTCTCCCTCCAAAGTCAACTAATACTCAGACATTAAGGCTTAAGACCCTGTTAAGGGGAAAGGTCTATGCTTTAGAGAGGATGCTGTAGAGTGGTAGGCAACCATCATTCCTCTTGTGAATATTGTGGTCATTGCATTATGGGCCTTCATTGAATTATGAACCATCATGAGGATGAGATCCAAACCAAGCTGGATGGAAACCACATGGATGAGGCCCCAGAGAGTGAGGACGCCATACAAATGTAATCACTGAGCTGTCTGAATCATCTTGAGAAAATTCTACAAGTCTGTATACATCTGACTTCCCCATCAGTTACACACTTTGAAAGGAAAGCTCTAGGGAGAAGAGTACCATTTGCTTCCCCAATGCTAGGAGAGGAAGGTGATGAGACCGAGATTACTAACTAAATTATTTCCTGTGACTTCTTAGAAAAGCTGAACTCCCAAGGTATGCCGCTTGGATATGGGGACGCGCACACACACACACACACACACACACACACACACACACACACACACACAGTTTTCTTCATACAGGGGTAGTAAAACCTGTCAGGAAATTAATTAAATTAGCTATTATTTGTGTTTCTCTTATAGTTTACAGCATCCTTTCACTGATTTGATCTCATTTGACATAAAAAGACTAGCTGTCAAGGTAGGTGAGACTAAGATTAATCATCCCCATTGTACATAAAAGGAAACCAAGACTCAGAGGTTAAATAACTTGGCCAAGGTCACACAACCAGTGTGAATCTGGCAGAGACCAGATTTAGATATTCACTGTAATACCCTGACTTTCTCTCTGGAAGATGGTCAGCAGTCTAAAGCCAATGTATTTAAATACCACCTATCACAAATTTTGCATACAAAGATTTCAAGCCCCATCTAGATACCTAGTTTTCCTCTCCATATCTCATGTTTTTAAATTACTATTTTGTGTCACCATAGTGCACAGCATGCTTAAGACCTGGCTTGCTGCTCTTAATAATTACATAGTGTCATTGTTTCCTCCACGGAGACTCACAGTGGAAGCTAGCAAGCCAGGAACTTGTCCTTCACTGCACTTGGGTCTTAAACAGCTACAAAATACACCGAGTTTGACTCCCATCTCCCTCCAGTTCTCGAGCTCTCTGCCTGTTGGTTTTCAGCACGAGTTTCAAGTATTCTTTCGGCAGGAGAAGGGCTCTTGAAAAATAGCCCATCACAGTGCAAATTCTTTTCTAATGAATGCGCTGGGCAGGCAATAAATCTGAAAGGGATGCATCTGAATCCCGGTCCAGGTGGAAGATGCTAAACTGGCCTAAGGTTTTCAAATATGCCTGTCCTTAGCCCACTTGCAGATATTGCTGCCGTTACTGCTGATGCCATGGCCTGTGTGGGGAGGCAGTCCTCACCAAGAACTCCCTCCACAACTGCTGGGTGATGGGGGGATTGCTGCATGCTTTCTCTGTTCCCTGCCCTCCCCTTTTTAGCTATTCCCCTCCTCTCTGAAATCATCCCCTCCTGACTTTAGTCCAGGATCTCCTTCCAGCTCCTCGCCTTCCTCTAACCAGGACCAACTTTCTGGAAAAATGGTTCTTGCACTTCAGTGTCAATTTTCCCCAAGAACATGAGCATTTCAAGCTTTGAGTGCTGATTCGGGAATTTATCCAGTCACAGGAGTTTCCCAGACAGACACTTCATTCTGTTGATTCAGAGTCATAGTGACTCTGTGATCAGAGGGACTTGAGTTTGAATCTCTATACCACCTTTGACTGACTTTTGGCAAGTTACCTAACCTTTCAGAGTCTGCCAAATGAAGACAATGCTATTGTCCTGTTAGAAGGATTAAATGATATCACATAAAGTACCTGGATGTGCTCAGCCTGTGGTGAATCATTATATGTCAGTTCCGTTTTTCTGTTTCTCTCCTGAAGAACTCACAAAGCCTCTTTATCTGTTCAAGGTCATTGGATGACTTGCTAAGAACTAGGCAGAAGCCAAAGGTCATTCTCCCATCAGTTATCACTCCTACTTGACAATACACCCCAGGTGTCAATTAGTTTTTGGTTTGACCTACTATATTTTACTGATTCTACTGATCCTAAGACATGTTTTCCCCTACATTTTCATTTCTCTAAAACTAAAGTGCAATCTAAACTAATAGGTTACACTTTAGTTGGCACCATTTTTTCTTTCTCATTGATACATAAAATAATGGGCACATCTTACAACTTACAACTTTGACTTGATGGACATATGGTAATTATTTTTAAACACCTGACTTTAAATTCCCTGAACTCAAATGGCAAACAACTGCCCTGACCTGGTGATTCTTGATGCAGTCTCTTCCCAGGTGCCTTGTGCTGGAGCGTCTGCAAGATGTCCTTAGGTGGTGGGCTGCCATCTGGATAAAGGGGCAGCAGGAAGAAGAGTTTCTGGGCTTCTGGGACACATGTGAATAGAGTGCAAATGACACTTAGGGTTGCATTCTTGTGTCAGAGTTCAGTTGGCTTGTGCAACCCCGCCCCTGTGTTTGGCCCCGAGATGTTTTCCCACACCTTACACAGGGAACTCCCTATCATGTAATATTCAAAGTGGGCTTTTCAACCAACATTTATTGAGTGCATACTGTGTATTAGGCCCTGTTAAGCACTTGACACGTGTATACTCTTTTAATTAATATGATTACTCCATAAAGTAGGTACTTCTTTATCTTACACAAACCCAGGCTTAGGAATTAACTTACTTGCCCAGGTCTTAAACTCAGATCTGTCTGGCTCCAAATGTCCTGATCTGAATCTCTCTGTCCTTCTGCTTCTCTCCAAGCCTGAGTTGGCAACTCTGCCTTACCTAGTGGCAATGACAAAACAGCATAGGAGTTAAGCCTGAGTTTTCGTTCTCCTAAGAATCTGGTTGACAAGGTATGTGCTAAAGAGGTAGGGGTAGCTTATAGAGTTTGTAGAAAAGGGGGGATGGAGAGGAGGAAAACCCAGTACAGATTTTGAGCCTTTCTGAGTGAATATTCAGCTCCTTTTCTCCAGGTACACTCATTCCATCATTTCATCTCTGGCACTGTGCCAGCATGGTTCCAGGGCCAGGGGTGACTCTGGCTACCTGGCATGAACAGTGCCCCACTTTTCCCATCTGTGACTTTTTCTGTCTTCTGCCTTGAATCAGATATGCCCCAGGTGCCAGGGAAAGAGGAGTATGTGCTTGATGGTCTGTCAAGTCAGGTAGAAAGAAAATTAACATCTCTAACAGTGAGTGATTGAGATGGAGTATTTTCCAGGAGCTAGAATATTATGTGTGTGTGTGTGCATATCTCCTGGAAAAACAGAGAGGAGGAGACGCTCCTGTAGCCTCAAGAGAGCTCAGTTTGGTAGTGAAGACAGCAGATGTATGGGCCCATTACTATTAGCGGGGCAAGTTCTTAGGGGTGTGAGAACCAAGAGAACGGTTGATTGGTGGAAAGAGCACAGGATTTGGAGTTCTGAAGAGCACGTTGAGCTTTGTCTTTTCCTTGCTGGCTCACTTGGGCAAGTTCCTTAAACTCCAAGCTTTAGTTTCAGTTTTATAATGTGGGTAGTCCATTTTTACCTCGGCCTCATTGAAAGAATTAATTAGACACTCAGAGTGCAGGCTTGATACAGGCCTCTTCCAGGGCCTGGGATGTATTAATTGCTGGTGCTCCCTCAGTGGCAGCCTTGATATGCACACCTAGGAATATATACATATGCGTTTGTATATGTGTGTATGGGTTTTAAAAGTCCGTCCTTCATTCATCAAATATTTATCGTGTATCTGTTCTAGGTGTCAGGGAGTTAGCAATAAATAAAACAGGCCTGAATCCCTGCCCACGGGGAGCTTACAATCTAGTAGAGAGACAATGAATAAAATAAGTTAAACACACTTTGTTGGGTGGCAGTAGGGGCTGTGGAGAAAGGTAAAGCAGGGGAATGGGGTGTGAGTGGAGGTTTACTTTTAAATAAGACGATGAGGGAAGGCCTCCGCAGGGGATGCCTGAGCACCATCTATGGGAATGAGGGGGTCAGCAGGGTAGACTGACATTCGAGAGGAACGCATTCCAGGCAGAGGGAATTGCAGTTACAGACACTGACAGACGAACGGCCTGGCAGGCTCAAGGGCGAGGGAGCGGCATGAGCAGGGTGGGCGCTGGTTGCAGGTGAGGGGTCCCGAGGCGGGCGGAGCAGGGCGTTGCAGGCCACGGTGAGCACGGCAGCTTTTGCCCGGAAGGAGGCCAGAGCCATTGCAGATTTTGAGCGGGTGTGGCGTGGTCTGACGCGGGCTATCCCAGGTGAGCATGGCTGCTGTATGGGAGGTGACGAGGGGTCTGTCCTGTGTGCGCGCCCGCCTGGCTCCGCAGTAGCTCTGAGAACTGCCTTAAGCTCCGGCAGCGATTCCCTCAGGTTAGAGGCGGAAGGGGAAGAAGGGGCCTGGAGAGGTGTGGTTCTCGTGGTGGCGCGGCCCTCGCTGACTGTGCTCAGGATGTCCCCTCCCGGGGCTGCGACCTGGAGCCGCGGGCAGGCAGTGAGGGGCTGCTGCCGAGCTCCGCAGCCCGGGGGGCGGGCCTGGCGCGTCTAGCTCGCGGTCAGAGGTCGGGAAGGGCGCCATGGGTGTACGTGGGGACGGCGCCGGGCTGCGGCTGAGCCGCCAGGGCCTGCTGAGGGCAAGCGGGGCCTCTCGCCTTGGTGGCGCGCAAGGTGCCTTGTGAGGAGCAATGGCGGTCCCGGAAGGGGAGGCGGGGCCGAGCCTGGAAGCACAGTCAGCCCTCTGCCGGCGAGGAACTCTCAGTGCGACCCCTCAGGAAGAGACTGAGAACTTAAAAGCTGAGGGTAGAACCTGAGTGTCCAAAAGGCTAAGAGGAGAACAGAAGGGAATGCTGGCTGAGGTTACACAGCACCCATCGTGACCCTCGACGGCCTCAGTAGCTGGCCGTCCCCGCCCTGCTGACCGGGCTCTTCCCGCGCCTGATCACTAACGGTGGGAGGCCTGGGCCTTCTGGAGAAAAGAGGCTAGAATCTTCCATCTTGGGTTGTGCGGGACTTTATTCCACTGTCAGTCACAAAGCCATAAATACATTTCTCCAAGACAAGAAAAGAGTAACAGCAGCTAACCCTTCTCCGGTGCTTATTTTGCACAAGGTCCTGTTCTGAGTGCTTGGTTTGTACTAACTCCTTTAATCTTAAAGAATGATCTGGTGAGGTGGGTCGTATTATTATCCCGATTTTGCAGAGGAGGAAACCAAAGAAGGACTTGGCCCAAAGACCCTTGCTAACAGGTGTTGGGACATTATCCAAACGCATGCTTCTGACTTTGTCAATCTCTTAATTTCTTATTTGCCACGCGGACTATTGGGAGGGAGTTTTTGGAAATAACATATACAGATACGCACAAAGGTCAGAAAGGGAAAATAAAAACCGGCTTAAGCCCCTTTCTTCCCATATCCATGTGAGCACCTGCCAGGCAGCTGGTGACTGGCAATTTTCACTTCTTATTTTATGTTATAATTTATTGATGTATATGTCATCCCTCTTCCTAAGGCTGGAGACTCATGAGGCCAGAGTCCATGTGCAATCCATTTTTATATTCACCATAGTATCTAAGCCAGTGCTTTTAACATAATAGGTGCTCAGTAAATACTAAATCATTTCTAACGTTAAATGGATGCATGTGGTAACCAGCTCTCACTTAAGCCATTCCGTTCTGAAAACAATGAGAATGAGAACCTTTAAATATGTGAATCATAACACAGTTACAGCTGCATAATGTTTTTATGGTTTTCAAAATGCTTCCGCACAGTTTATCTTGTTTCGTCTTCCTGCTAACCCTTTTGAGAGTGGGAGGCACGCATTACTTAATTATAAGAAAATGAGAAAACTGAAGGCAGAGACAACAAATGAGCTATCCAAGATCACAAATGGGTTTTGTTTCTGTTTCTGATTTTGTTTTTAAAATCAGAGCGGAGATCAGAACCATCATCTCCTGGTCTTCCTATTTTGCAAGCAGCGCCCGGTACACACCTGTTGGATACACAGCTTGAACACAGGACCTAATTGTTCGCTAGGCATGAACAACAGGGTGTTTTGACTCCTGCAAGCTGCTAACAGTCTTGCACAGTGCTAGACTGTGCACTAGCACTATCTAGAATGTGATCCTTTGACCGGTAGGCAGGTTATCACTTACCAGTTTTTGGCAAGATCAGGAGCTTGTGACAGAATGTAAATCAGCTGTGTCTATAAACACACTGCTTAGTTTGTCTTTTTATTTTTTTTTACATTTTATTTTGAAATAATTTTAGGCTTAAAGTAGAAGAATAGTGTAGAGTTCCCATAAACCCTTTGGGAACTTCCTCTAATGTTAATATCTTGCATGACCATAATATAGTGATTAAAACTGAGAAACTGACATGGGTATAATACTTTTAACAAACTTCAGACTTCATTTTGATCTTACGAGTTTCTCCACTTCAGTCCTTTTTTTCTGGTGCAGATCCAATCCAAGATCCCACATGACATTTAGTCATCGTGTCTCCTTTGTCTCATCCAAGTGGTGGTAGTTCTCAGTCTTTCCTTGTTTTTTTTTTTTTTTTTTTTTTTTTGTTTGTTTGTTTGTTTGTTTTTAATGACTTTGACACTTTTGAAGAATCCGGGTCAGTTATCATGTAGAATGTCTCTTAATCTGGGTTTGTCTGATGTTTACTCATGATTAGATGGAGGGTATGCATTTGTTGCATACTAAATGCATACTTCTGAATATCACAGAAGTGATGTTCCCTTCACAATGTGTCCTATCAAAGGGTAAAGGATGTTGATGTCTTTCTACTGGTGCTGTTAACCTTCATCACTTGGTGAAGGTGGTGTCTTTTGAGTTTCTTCACTATAAAGCTGCTATTTCCCCACTTCTAATAAGTATCCTGGGGGAGATATTTTGAGACTATGCAAATATCATGCTTTTTGTCAAGCTTTTGCCCATAGTTTTAGCATTCCCTGGTACATCTTGTTTACAACAGTTATTATGTTTGGCTAATTATGATTTTTCTATTGTCCTTTTTGCCTCCATATTTATTAACTAGACTTCTCCCATTAAGGAAAAACTGTCCCTTCTTCCCCAGTTATTTATTTATTTAGTCATTAATTTATACCAGTATCATGTTTATTTATTTTATTCTATGAGTAATAATCCACTACTACTGTTAATTTATTTTCTTGCTCAAATTGTTTTAGCTTTGGCCATTGGGAGCGCTTTCTGGTTGGCTTCTGTGCCTCTTGACATACCCCCAACCTTTCTCAAGTGTTTTCTTGCTTTGGGACCACAAGATATTCCAGGCACATCTTTTATTTCCCCCTCAGCCCTAGAATCAACTGTTACTCCAAGGAGTACTGATTCGTTTTATTGGAGAGTGGTAGTATGTGAAAACCAAGACCTGGGCACTAGGTGTGCTCATTCCTATCAGCTTGTGTTTATATGGAGACTCTCCTGATGAAGGAAGTAGTGTGTTGATTCACATTTTGGTGCTAGCTTCCTATCTCATCATATCAGGACCAGTTCGTGACTCTCCCACTTTGAGTCTCAGTGATCTTTAAGTTCTGTTGTGTCACCGTGTCCATGTGACTCATCTGGGGGTAATTTCAAATTCTATTGAATTAAAGTTATGAATCAGTGTTATCCTTTCACTCATTCATTAAGTCAATATGTCTTGCATGTACACTGTGTGTTGGGCCTTGTGATAGGCACTGGGTTTACATTAGTGAGTAAAATTCTGCCTTTAACAAGTTTATACTATAGTTTCTTTGATGGCGTCTAGGAGACATTACTCCTTTTCTTGGTTCTGTATATTATCAGAACTCATCTCAGATTGTTCAGCATTCTAAAATCATGTAAGTTCAGCCTAGGGAATTTTAAATTTTGATTTTAGATTCAGAGGTTGTTGGAATATGAAGATACCATTCCCTGTCCCAGTAGCTCCTGGGGCCATTAAAAACCTTTGCCCATGCCTTGTTTCTGATACATAGATGGTTGACTTCTTCAGATGCAAGGAGGCTGAAGATATATACTTTGACTTGATAAGACCTCTGAAGTCTTAGCTGCTCCCTCTAACCAATACTCTCTGGTCAGTGCTTCCCTCTCCTATGGGGTTGGGGTATAGGGGAGGCATCCTCCTCTTCAAACCACTCTCAGACCCCAAAAGGATCCCTTCAGCAAAGATTCTCTTGCTTGACTTTCCTCCACCTACAAGTCAAGTTGGATCTGGGTTCAGCTTCAAGGGGGTCGAAAGTGAGGTCAGTTAAGGTCATTTGGATGGGCATGATCCTTACTCCCAGGTCCACCCTTCCCACTTGATTTAATACAATCTGGCATTATTCCAACACTTCTCCCTTTGGCTGTTTATTAGCATTTCCTTTAACTTTTTGAGCATAAATGGAATAAGAATCACTTTCACGGCCCAGAAAGGTGTCTCCAGCAAGGAGTGTTCTGCTGGACGATGCAGCCTTTTCAAACGAGTCAGTTAGCTGGAAGTGTCCCGTGTCTCCTTTTCTTTTGGAAAAGATGGGAGTGCTGAAAACTCATGCTGAGGCTGGTTCTCTGTTTCTATTGGTTCCTTTCTGGCATGTGTTAAATTATGTCTTTTGTGTTCTGAACAAATATGTGTTCTCAGCATGCAAAATATGCACACAATGGCTGACCGATTGCCTGTTCTTGAGAGGAAGGGAACACTCAAGCTGTGGTGAGTTGATTGCCAGGCACTCTGTGGTCAAAAATGTGAGGGCACCATGGGTCACCTGCATGTGCCTTGAAAAGTAATGTAGGGTCTAGGCACCTGAGCATCTGTTCGTCAGGTGTGCCGAAGATACTGCCAGAGATGGGCTCCTGTATGCAGGCTCCTCAACAGCCTGGAGCGTTCGCCCCAGCTTTGAGCCTGGTGTAGGGCCAGGGGCCAGATTGTGGAAATGAGTCTTTAGTGCCTCCCTCCATTTTTATGTTGGTGTTTTTCACAAAAATTTTCTGTGTGTGTGTGTGTATTTTAATATATGAAATCCGGTTT
Organism: Homo sapiens; assembly: GCF_000001405.40. Classification (NCBI taxonomy): domain Eukaryota; kingdom Metazoa; phylum Chordata; class Mammalia; order Primates; family Hominidae; genus Homo; species Homo sapiens. Next base: position 576,842 of record NW_018654718.1, read on the forward strand.
AGAGAACAGCCTCGTATGTCCCATCCTGCTTGTAATGCAGTGATCTGCCCTTGAGAATTTTAAATTAGCTGACCTACATAGCTTAACTATTTCAATTAAAAGTAACAGGCAGTATAGATTGGCAAGAGGTGGAGGAGAGGGAGGGGAAGATCCCTCCCAGGAGCTTTGGTTCAGACAAAACAATAGAAGTGACGAGCGATTCTGGGAAGAAGGCATGACTGATAGTTGTCATGGAAGCTCTGACACCCTTTCCATGGGTGAGGTTCTCACAAAGGTGGCTTCTGGATATCCGCCTGCTATGAACACATAGCCTTTGTGGGATGGTGCCAAGCAAACTCTCTTCAAGGGAAGGATTCAGGCAGCATTATTCCTTGCTCTTCTGCACATCCGCTCTTCCATTTCCAGTGTCTCTATACGTGGCTCTCTGAGGGCCAGTGTTCTCCCAGCCCCTTCGGCCTGCTCCCGGGGGAATACCTGGAGAGTAAACACTGTCTGTGGTACAGGGGGGCCATTCTTCCTCCCTTTCCATTTCTTCTCTACTGTTCAGAATTCTGATTCCACAGAAATGCCTAATTAACTCAGTTGCTCTGCAATGACAAGCTAACATCTGGAGCTACCAAGTCAGGAAAGCCATTCAGCCGGGGTCCAACACAGATTTTCTCCCCTCTGCACCCAGCTCAGCTGCTGGGCACTGCACCAACCCTGATGTGGCAGGACGAGGATGCCAAGGGCTGGAGCAACCCAAGGCTAATTTTTTTTCACCCAGAAAATCATGGGTTAGATATTTTTAAATTGCTGGCTTATTTTGCAGCATTTTTATTATTTCTGGTAGATGAGGAGATCTTGCCATCACTAGGGGTCCATCTCTCCCACATGCTGCCTTGCAGTGCTTCTCTACGTAGACCATCTCTGGGTGATGCCGGTTTACCCAGGGATGGGATGGGGTGCAGTGTATTACGCTTCAGGTTGTATTTGTGGCCCCCTTGGGAATCAGTTGCAAAGCAGGGCCGTGTCTGATGTGATGGCCAGGACAAAGGTCTGAATGACTAACAAAGAAGCTGTCTCTGGCAGGCAGGTAGGAGCAGTCCGGTGCACCAGAGCTGTGGAATGACTCCCAGGTTCCATTTTTCACTTCCACTTTGCATCCATCCTCCCATCTGCCTGCCCACTGTGTACAGTGCTTACTACATGCCTTACCTAGTCTAAGTGCTTTACATAAATGAATTCATTTGACGTTCACAGGACATCACAGATAGGCATTACCATTGTCCCTGTTTTATAAATGAGAATACTGAATCATTGAAAGGTTAATAATTTTGCTTATGGACATTTGCTTCTGGAGCTGGACCAGGCAGTTTGGCTTCAGAGTCCACTTGGCTCTATCAAAGTCTTGCTATCAATTACATAAGTTCCATTCCATCTCAGCCCGAAGTGTTTTCAGAGCCGGAGACCTCACAGTGTCTCTCAGGACAGTACCTTTCAGGTTTGAATGTGCCCAAGAGCCATCTGGGGATCCTGGTAAAATGCACATCCTGATTCAGCAGGTTCGGGTTGGGGCCTGAGAATCTCAGGTCCAGCAAGCTCCCAGGTAATGTCAGTGTGACTGATTGCTGGTCCACACATTGAGCAGCAGTGCTGTAGTAGACTACTATCATGCCTGTGTACTAATTTCACTGTCAGATTGGAGTTAACTGCATTTGGATAGGGAGCTCTTTCAGCAATAGAATAATACCAGTAAGAATTTTTAATGAGTGATCAACTATAGTAGCAGTTAGTAATCAATTTTTTGTTTAAAAACTAAGTTTCCTAGGACTCTAATGGAAAATGGAAAGGTTATGTCCCCCTTTTTCGTATCTTTGCCAAGGGTCTTTCCTTTGTTGCTGGGTTTAACTTGGCACTTCTAGGCTACTTTAGTCCTAACTTTTCTCAGTTACCATTATATGCAGTTCTCCCAGCCACACCCCAGCAGTGTGCAAGGGATCAGACACAAGGTTGAATCCATCACAAAAGCAGAATCACCATGGCAACTGCATCCTTTGATTCTTGAGTGTGCCCAGCAACCTGAGCAGAGGCGATAGTTGAAGTGAACCAAGTTCTCCTGAGAAATGGAGGGGAGTGGTGCCGGGCCCACACTAGGCTGTGGTATCTTCCTCCCTACAGTGAGGGGCTTCTGTTTACTCTGAAGACTCCAGACACTCAAAATCTCCTCCCCTCCCTCCAGTCCTGCAGTTAGCCTCCAGGGGTTTCTGGTCCTAAACTTCCACCACCATGAGATTACTACAATGCCTTGTGATACTCTTGTTCTTCTGGTTTGAGTTTTGGTAGATAAGCACATCTGAGTCTTGCTGTGTTAATGTGTCTGTATTTTGGTGTATCTGCTTGCTTGTCGTGTGGGGCATATGCCAAGTCCAGTAGTGGATGGGCTGGGGAAGACCAGACCTTATCACATGGTGCCCTTGGGGGGAAATCTTAATTCCAATGTGTGAAACCAGTGAAAGTATGATTTTCTGGGTCAATTTTAAAAATATACGTTCAAGCAAAAAGCAACCTGTTATCTCTTCTCTTTCTGCCTCTGCACACAGCAGCCTCCATTGCCTAGGGTATGATAGTGTGGGTTCACTTTGTCCATCTCATTTGGATGACATCAGCGAAGATGCATTCTGTATCTCTCCACTGAGGCCTGTGACAGGACCTAATGTTTTGTGGAGCTGAGAGAAAATAAACCAAAATGACCCAATGGAATATAAATGCTGATTTCTGTTCCTGTTGTTTGACAGAAAGGAAGTAATGAACTAAGATGCAGTAGCCTGGCCACGTGATGTCTTGACAGGCAGCTTTCAGATTTGGAGATGCTTCAGAGTGTTGTATTGAGTCTCTGGGAAGACCCTAAGCACTCAATTCCTAGTGGTCAATGGTTGGCCTGTTTTGAGACATAACCAGTTGGAAGGAAGGATGGGCCTTTCTGCTCCCTATGATGTTGCCTTAAAAAGACATTTCCTGGGAAGAACTGGGCAGATGGTGGCTTTAATCTCACTAGCCTTGTTCTTCATTTTTATATCCAAGCTTCAAAAAACCAGCATTAGCCAACAGCACTGTTTTTACTGCTAAGCAAAACTTCAGGAAAGAGCATCCTTCGATAGAACATTAATTAACAAATGTGCCGTCAGTCCAAATGAAGACCTGTGCTGCTCCCTCTGCCCTCCCTAGCTCCACCTTTATTTACGTACCCAAAACATTTCCAGTGGTATCAAGGCGACAATGATAGGTTTTAGTATTGAAGACCTAACATTAATAAATGCAGTTTTGATTGCTGTTCCTATCTGTATGTTCTTTAAGGAGGTTTGTTTAAAAGCCAAACAATCCCACGGGTGGCAGAGACTCTTTGTTCTAGCCTTCGTCGTCAAAACAGACAGAATCAGGTTTGGGAGCAAGGCTTCTACACAGGAGCCTGGAAAACTATTATGCAGAAGAAGCATTTTTTGTTCCCCTGAGTAACCAATATAGTTAGTAGGCATGATATGTGTATAAACTGGGATGTATCTCCTGTGATGGAGTGACGAGGTAACTAGGTGACTTTGGCATGACCTTCCCACGGAAATAACGGTGCTGGACCATATATAGACAAAGATAAGCTTTCACTTAATATAGAAAGAACTGAAGTGTGGCCAAAAACTGTCTCCTCACCCTTGCCTTCAATGTGATTTCTGAGCTGCAGACTCGGAAGTTTCTCACATTCCTTGAGATAGTGGTGAACAGTAAAAGGTTTGGGAATTGGGGAACTGCTATAGGAACTCCACCAAAATCATGTTGAATCTTACAGAGAAATGGGATGAGTCTGTCAGTCTGACTTTCTTGTGAATGAGAATGGTCAGGTAGCTCTGACAGGCCTCAAAGAAATAGGCTTTGGAACTGACCTACCAAGTGCCCTCTGAGAAGAGGACTAGCCATTCTCTGGGAGCAGAGGGAACCTGGATGATGTGGTTCTTTGTCCAAGGAGAGTGTCCTGGAAAGGTGTTCCCCATCTAGGTATTTTCTCTGAGAAGCAGAGGATGAGGGCTGAACTTGCAGGAAGCCGAGAGGAGGAAGTAAAGTCAGGAGAAAATCTGCCTGGTTAAGGCTGAAATTTGGGGACTCATGATCCAGAGAGGTTCTGTAATGCCTAACCCTGGTTTTGGAGGCCAGGGATTTTCATTTTGACTGGCTTCACTCCTTGGCTTATTAAATGTCTTTGACTGAGTGGCTAAACCACCCTAAGCCTTAGTTTCCTTACCTGTAAAGTGGGAATAACACTTGTTTCAGAAGGTGGTTAAGAGGATTACATGACATAACACATATGAACCATTTAGCTAGCGTCATGCCTGTCACATGGTAGCTCGTGAAATTTTAGCAGCTATTTTTACTCCTAGTTTTACTACAATAACCTGACTGGGAAAGCGTCCGTGGGCAGGGCAAAAGGGAGGAGCCGTGAAGATAATCAGGAGGTCAGCGTTAGAGTGGGTACCAAAACAGCCAGAGAACTGTTTGGGAGAAGTTGCCTCCAGAGCACTCCGGTTTGGTCCCCTCCATCAGGGCCCACTGGTCATCGGGTACCGTGTCAGTCACCTGAATGACGGTGAGGGCTGGGCCAATACCAGCTCTCCCAGGCGGTGAGGCTTTCCTTCCACACACACAGGCTTCATCTCGTAAGGCTCTTGGTGGGAGACACAGCTGGGGCACTGCTGGAGGAAGGGTCAGCTGCACAGACCTCGCGGCCCTCTGCCCAGTCCCTGACGTCAAAAGGGCCGTTCATTCCCAGGGCTGCTCTCTCCACCCAGCTGCTGGGTCTCAGCTCTTTTCCTGGGAAGCCCGGCGCTTCCCGGGTAGGAGATTCTATCCCGACAGTCTGTTCTAGCTCCCTTCCCTGTTTGTGACTGTCCCTCTTCCCTCCCACTCGCCTCCCACGCTGTCCCCCACCCCTGCCTGGTTTCCAATTTTAGCGGTGTTACCAGGGCAGGTTTTCAGGAAGCCTGCTCCAGTGGCTCTCTCCTGGGCCATTTCCACAGAGGCTGTGTGCCCGGCTACCATTCCCTAAGGCTCAGCCATTGCGCCCATCTGTTCCCCGGGCTGCAGCCAGCGAGCATCTGCGGGGGGCGGTGAAGGCTGAGGATGCCCAGACAAGGGGCAGGGAGGGCTGGCCCACGTGATGGCCAGGGGAGTGGGATGCCCAAGGGAAATGTCATAAAGGGTCCACTGGTTGGGAAAAAATGGAAAATGGAAATAAGGTTAAAATTGAAATGTTTTTAAAAAGTGATTTGTGAAGACTTAAACAAATTTCTTTCAAACTGCTTTATTACTCATAGAAATTGTATCAATCAACAGTGATCGCTAAATTGCTGGATCAGTCAGAAAATATTGTTGCTGCTGAAGAATCAATGCTAATTGGATCATTAGGGCATTATTACATGAAACACAAATAGCTCAGGATGGTCGCTCTTTGCTTGGCTTGATCTGTAGTCTTCAGAGAAGCAGAGAAACCTCGATTGTTTCCTGCTCAGCTGACATGCAGTTTCCCCTCCCTTGCTCCCCTTCTTGCTGGAGTTAAAGGTGGATGCTGGTTGCAGACATTTCCCCCTATTTAGAAAAACAAAGACGTACCATGGTCCTTGAAATCAGTGATATTGAACAGTCCTAAAAAGTAGAGAGGTTAAAAAGGGATTTGGATTGCATTTTAGCAATCTTCTGTTGGGGTCTGTGATGTGTGAAGACACATCTGCACCTTTACTGAGGCAGGTAGAATCCAACAAAAGCCACTGATAGGGCTCCAGGCATGGGGCAGGGCCTGCACTGAGGGTTATGGTGACAGCGGCCTGAGCCACAAGCTGGCTGGAAGGACTCCTGGAGGGGTGAGACATTTCATAAGATCTGGGAGGCCAGCGTCAGCGTTGGGCACACCATCCCCCAGAGTGCCTGATATTGGTGACCTTGCTGCATGGCGGATGCTAATGGGTATTGACTGAAGGGACAAGGTGCCTTCTCCACCCATGCTTGGTCATTAGCACATGGTTAGGTGGGCACGCGTGGCCTCCTCTTCCACCTCTCTTTTGGCCATTTTCCTTGCCCTCTCCCCCACCCCCTGACCTCTGGCAGCCCAGAGCTCCCCTCAGCAGTGCTCACCCAACTCCCTCAGGGCCTGAATTTCCAGGGTGAGAGTCCCCTCTCTACACCGTCTCAGTGGGTGCTTCTGCCAGGGTGGGATCTCGCCAGGGATTATGCTTGCATCTTAACAGGAATTTACTGGGGATGGAAGTATTAACCCAAATGGAGTTACCACAGAGGGGATTTCACATGTTTCTCAAATAATGCCAGAGTGAGCCAAGGTTTACATAACCAGTACGAGGTGAGGGGGGTGGGAAGAGGGCAAGCATTTCCTTGCGAGGCTCCTGGCAGCTTTATTTCTGACTTGCGAGTGGTTCAAGAAGCCTCCATCCTCCCACGCATGGAGAAGACCAGCATTGACTGCAGCCCCGCTATGTCCCCGCGCTGGCCTGGCTGTGTATTGTCACATAGATGATGTCATGGCAGCCTTAGAGAAATTCTCTGAGGCAAATCATATTGTCCCCATTTTTAAAGATGAGAAACCAGAAGCCAAGGATCCTGTAATTTGCCCAAGGTCACGTGAAAGAGCTGGAGTTCAAGTCATCCCAATTCCAGATCTTTTTATCATGCCATGTTTTTTATGCCTCCCCCCTTGTCCCAGAGTGTGGCAAGCAGAGGAGAGCACGCGTGTGGGATGGGATCAATTGCAAAACGTGTGCAGCCTGGCCAAGCAGGTGGGGGAGTGGCAGGACCAGCTATGTGTATTCTCATGCTCAAGTTCCTCTGGGTCTTCCGAAGACAGATGGGGCAGGTAGTTCCAGCTGCTTTGTGCCTTCACCAGCTGAGCACTGGCAGGTGGGGCATTTTTAACCTCACGCCTTGACTATCCCCTCTCCCTGTCACAGTCAGCTCTGCCTATTGTCCTCCGTGGCTCAGAAGCAGCTATCCTTAATCATTCATGGGGGAATTTTGTGGAAAGATCCCTCCCAATGTGGCTGCATCTGCCATAAAGTGGAGATTTTTTGTTATGTTTGATCCCCTGCTGTATTCCCAGAGAACTCAGTGTGCCTGGCACGCAGTGGGTCCGCAGTAAATTTTTGAATGAATGAGTTCGCAAGGCGTTTCTCCTGGTTCTTGCCCATCAGAATTTCCATTTCTCCTGCTCCCTGGGCTGGCACTACCATGCATGGTGCCCTTGTCCCTGCCATCGCCATCATCATTCAAGCTCCCTGCTCCATCTTGCAGCCTCATTTCTTAGCTGTAAAGTCTTCCCAGTCCTCCATTGTCCTTGTGCCCTCTGCATAGCCCCTCCTCCCAGTCAGGCCGCATCCTCCGACCTGGCCTCCCACCTCCACGCTCAGTTTTCCCAGCCATACTTTGCTCTTGCTACATTCCTGCCACCCTATCTCCTGGGAGTCTCTTTGTCCTTCAGGTCAGACAATGCAAACTTAAATCTTGCTGAAATAAGCAAGAAAGGTACACAGGTGCAGGAGGAGTCTTCACTTTCCCGCAGAAACATACTCACTTCCATTGCTACACAGAGACAGCAATGCAAGGATAATGAAAACTAGCTACTGACACTTGGCCTCCGTGCTGGAGGAACAATGGGGGACCAGGGTAACTGTGATGAACTGAAATGACAGGTGTTTCCTAAAGGTGGCGGCCACAGCAGACGGTCATCACTGAGGAAGTCTGTGCCCGCTGTTATGAGCTCTTCTGACTTTTCAAGGCAAAAATTTGGATTTTGTATGAAACCTACTGTTTCTTAAATGATGACTCAAAAAAATTTATTCTTAATCAACTATGTCAGTGGCCTGTTGGCCTCTACTTCAGGGAGTCTTCCTAGATTATTGAGGCCCAACCGGATTCTTTACTTCCTACCTGCTCCTAGTTAGTGAAGCATCGTCATGGAGAGGACAGACCTCTGGCCAAAGAACCTAAAGACTTGGGCCCTGGTCCCGGGTCTGCTTCCAGCCTCAGTTTCCTTGTTTGTAAATGAGAGCAATAATATTTGGCTTGTCCAATAATCTACCATGGTACAGCTGTGTGGCTTGTAGTTTCAAAGTGCTTTCATATGCGTGATTTCATTTGATCCTCAAAAGAACCCTGTGTGGTTAGCAGGGGCAAGTGTGGTTATTCTTAATTTAAGAGGAAAGAACTGAGGGTCTGAGAGGTGAAGTGACTTACCCACGATCATAGGGTTTATAATTGGTAGAGCTGGCTGTGTCATTTGGGTCTTTTATCTGCTGTGTGGTTTGGTGTTTTGTTTGAACTTTTGGATAGAATGAGATCTGTCTTTGTAAGCTGTTAAGTGCTATGTGGGTGCATAAGAAGGAGTAAGGAGCTTACTTATATGGGTTATTACTAATAAGTGTATGCCCTCCATTTCCTCATAGTGTGGCACTCATCCATACACCATGGTAATTGAGCTCTGACGATTTGATATGTCATGATCTTACCTCTCTAACCAGGTTGTGTGTGAGTACCTGGAAGCAGGGATGAAGTCTAGTGCAGAGAGGCCCATAGAATCATTTGGTAAGTAATTGCTGATGAATTGAATCATAGGAAAGTGGAGATGCCACCTGAGAGAGAACCATAACTTGAAACCAAAGCTGGGCTGTGCCTGAGGTTAGTCAGGGGCCTGGTGGCTCATAGTCCTAAACCCTCAGCTCATGGTCTGCTGGTAGCCACTGATCAAACATGCATGATAGCACGTGTGACTGCTGCCATCAGTGCGATCACCATCCAAGAAGACCACATGGGGGGATGATGAGAAGGTATGAAATGACATAGTGGAAATGGCATTTTGGAGTCAGATCTGGGTTTGACTAATCCCTGGCTGTGGGGCAACTTAACTCTGTTGAGCCTTAGTTTCTTTACCTATATAATGGGATAATAGTAGCTACCTCATGAGTCTGTCCCTGGAACAGGCCAGGTGCTCAAGTGCAATGTGTAGTCCAGTTATAAATTGCTTTGTTAGAGCAGTACTCACAAGGGCACTGTTTATCTGGTTTTGCCAATGCTGGGCACTGAATTCCTCGCTGCAATTGTCAGATGAGGTTCAGTCAATACAAATATTCCTTTATAACAGTACTGGTAGGAGCCTTTTAACTTGAGGTTTTATTAAGATAATAAAGACAACTGGAGAATGACTAGGTGCACATAAGGGAAATGGTGCTGTTTTCAATTAAACTTCAGGCCAACTATGTACAACTATGGATATAGAACTGAGTTATGATGTGGAATTCCAGTTTCTCTCCACTGAGGACCTGGGTGAACTGTTACCAGAGAGAAGCATCTCTGGAGAGCTCCCTTAAGCATCCTGCCCACTCTGTGGGGCCATCCCCTGCTGCTCTTGGCTCAGATTCATCTATCTGTTTCAGGGCCTTTGCCCTCCTGAGTCTGTAGTTAGCCACTTGCTCCAAGAGTCTTTCAGCTACAGCCTTCATTAATTTCATTGTGAAGGGGCCTTCGGCTCCCCTAGCATGCGTTGTGGGACGTCAGCTGCCTGCTGTGCTCATTACCACTAGCCCAGGAATGCGGTGTTGACTCATGGCTGCAGCTCCGCTTTTGAACAGAAGCACTCAGGGCCTGAGCCTGTATTTATCACTAGGCAGGGAAGGTCCTAAGGGAAGGTGCCAGGTGAACACAGACCTCATCCTTCCATCATTACCTATGCAAAACACTAAATACAGTCATCTCCTCCGGAAACTGCCCCCCAGGTCCCAGCAGTAGTTCAGGATTCCCCTGTTAACCATGTTGTGCCCACTACCTTTCAGGCTGCACACACTTCCCTCTGTGTTTAGAGAGAAGGGAATGCAGAAGTCTGCCGTGTAGGGCATGAGGGGTGAAGCCACAGGTCAGTCCTATAAGCACCTCCTCCTTCCTAGAGCAGAGCCATCACCTGCTTTGGGCTGTGCCAAGGCTCTTGTTGAGCAGTTCAGTGCCTCACGTGGACTCCCCCTGCAAGAATTCACTGAGGATTATTGGTTAATGCTGATAAAGCACTTGGGCTGTAAATATCAAGTTTAATGTTAATAAACAGGGGGATTAGGTTCATTTATGTAAAAGGGAATGCTTCACAATGGATACTGGGCAGGGGAAGACTTTACTTTTATCAACAAAAAACAAACAGAGTAAACTGTAAACCCAGACCCATCGAAGCCAAGGCCTTCTTGTCTGCTCACCCTGACATTCCCACAGGGTTTTTCTCTGGGGCTGTAAATGCAATTCTGCTGCTGAACTGATTGCCTGAACGTACTTGTGTGCTTGATGTCTTTCAAAAAGAAAGTGTCTAGGAAAGTGCAAAAGAGGAGCAGGCAAGACAGAAACAGCATGGCCATGTGGAGGGGCCGCGCTGATCGTGAGAGCAAAGGGAATTGTATTATTCTTTGGGATTTGCATACTTTAAGAAGGTGGTTCAATTAATGGCATTCTGTTCCTCCTAGTTGAAGACAGCAAAATGGAAGCATAAGGATTTGCTGAGTCCTCCCTCCAGGAAGCTTCTTAGCTGAGCCATTCTCAGCTCCATTCTCCATTGAGAACCCTTCAGCACATGCATGCTTGCTTAGCCACCCGGGTTTAAATTTTCATTGACTGAACAGTAAAGGGGAGAAGCAAACACACATGAGATCTCTGAGCAGTGTGTTTCAGGTGCTTTATAATAAACCTCTCCTTGCCGGGAGAGTGTCATCCCATTTCACAGACCAGGCAACTGAGGCTCAGAGCGGGTGGTCTAGAATGTGCCCATGCTTGGGCTCCTTTCCTTGTTCCTCCCAAAGGCAGCAGTTATACTATTTCCTTTGTGTAAAAATATTTATCTTTATGACCCCAGAACACCTAGTACAGATCCATAGCCATTTCTCTGTAATTCTGAAATCCCCAAGTCTCTGAAAAGTGAAAGTTCATTTATTATCCCTTTGACAGCAAAATCTGGCCTTTCCTGAATTCATCTGGGGCAGAGTTGTCCTAAACTGACACAAGGGTAGTTGCAGTCTTATTTAACCTGCTTAGAGTGAATATTCATATGATTTACTGCAGAAATACGTTGGCTTCTGGGGCCCTTCACCCTGCTGTGCTATTACATACAGTAGATATGCAAATGACTTTACCTGACACATTCTGAATTCTGAAATGCATTTGGCCCCAAGGGTTTCCAATAAGGGACCGTGGAGCTCTAGAAGGCCCTGCACACAGTGAGCACTACCTGCATGTTGTTGCTTAGTTGGAGTGAAACCTCAGTACCCTAACTTTGTGCGTGGTACACCCATGGTGGGATGGACATAGAACCAGGCCCCCTGTTCAGAGTCACCACAAAGCACCTGCCGTTAGGGTGGCAGGAGGAAGGGCAAGCAAACAGAGCAAGAGAAGATGGTGCCGGCAGCAAACAGCACAGGGCATGGCGTGGGGACAGTTAAGGTGAACAGTGCCCACAGTCAGTGCTGTGGCAGGACAACTGCAGTGGGGCAGGCTCGGCAGAGCTGGGCAGGGGATGCAGATGCTGGAGACCTTGCTGCCCAGCAGATGAGAGTGGACCCAATTCTGTAGATCGGGGGCCGAGGCTGAATTCTGAGCAGGAAAGTAATCTGCTGAATAGGAGGCTGTAGTAAGGCCTTTTAGATGGTGGCTCCCGGAGTGAACAGGATCCTGAATCTCAGGCTTTCCTTATCCCACTGAGCCATGCCTCCCTGCCTGAAACGTGTTTCTGAGTAATAGCAGCTAACACTTACACAGTGCTTCCTGTGTAATAGGCACTCCTGTAACTGCTGGACCCATGACGACTCTGTGCAATTCATACCGTTGTTGTCCCCTTTGTATAGATGAGAAAACTGAGGCACACCGAGGGTAGGTCGTCAGGTCCCGTGAGTCGCGAGTGTGGGGGCTGTGGTGAGAACCCAGCCAGCATGGTGTGTGTGTGCTCTTAACTGCTACGCTCTGTCCTAACCTGTTCTTTTATAGGTCCCAGCAAGGAAGCTTTTCTCCTGGTCCACACCGCTGCCTGGGCATGGAGAAACCTGCTGGCACATTGGCCAAGGTTGGGGGTGAGGGGTGATGTCATGACCCATCCAAGAACTGTAATCTCCTGTCTTCAAGGAGGCCAGTTCCCTGGGCTGACGCTTCATGCATAGCGGCTGCATCCCTGTCTCCCCACTTCTCCATCCCCTTCCAGGCCGTTCTTCCCCCATGCACACACATGCCTACACATGCCTGCAATAACTCCCCGATAGGTAGAATTAAAATTTTGAAAAACTTAAGCTAAGACTATAAAGTAAGAAAGGCTAAATCAGCTTCCTTCCTTCTTCCCTTTGACTCCTGCAAATCTGTAGCTTCCTTCAATTCATTCTGGAATTTTTTTCCAGTTTTCACCCTGATTATCCTTTATTCTTGTCTTAAAAATAGGCAGGACATTTTCTTTGGGCAGCGGGGATGGCCTGTTATAACCTTGCTCTCTCTATATGGTCACAGTGCATTGCATGGAAGTTGGGAGCACCCTCGCCTTTTCCTGTGAGGTCACTCTTTGATTTCCTGCACCCTCTCTGCCCTGTCAATGCCGCAGGGTCTGTTTTTCCTATAAGTCTGATGCTCTCTTGTCCTTGAACTCCTTTTCCGGGTGGGTTTTAATTAGCTAAATTTGCATGTGACAAAATGAGATATAACCTTCGTGGGGAAATTCCTCACAGCTTTCTAGGCTGGGAGAAATCGACCATGCCATTTTGTGATGGAGTGTCCCAGTTTAACACGGCAATGTGACTGCAGACTTCATCCGCCTGGTGGGCACTTTGTCCCCATGGCTGAGTTTCAGGCTTCCTGACCTTCCTGGTGGGCAGCCACGGCGAAATCTAGACTTCCTGGTCCCTCCTCAGTTCCCTATGGACGATGGCAAGATTTTGCAAAGGGACAAAAGGAAACTTTTGCTGAAACCTTCTAGGTCTTTAATCACTTGTTCTTTTTCCTTCTAAAATTCTGGATTCTTGCCGAGCCTCTTTGTGCTTCCTCTTTTCATTCTCTGTCACCTCCACTTAGTCTCGTTCTCACCTGCTCCTTTCTCTTTATTCTCCAAGGGAGGGGAAGACAACTTGAATTTTAGGAACAAAGCAAGAAACAGTACATGGAAAGGAGAAAAGGTGCTGTGGCCACTGCAGAGGGGGGACAGGTGGCTGAGAACCTTTGTAAGCCAGAAAGAACTCTTCTCTCCCATTCTCAAATATAATTAGTTATTTCTAAAATTGAGCTGAATCGTGGGCATCTTTTTCCACTCAAACTTTTTTTAACTTAAAATTAAGTTCTATGTATATATGTGTGTGTGTGTTCATTGGAGAAACAGTAACACCACACACAACTTAGCTAACCTAGGAAGGTTTGGCTCAAATGTCCATTGCAAAGTAATTAAGAATCTCCTCTCCTATGCTGTGTTTACACTGTACATTCCCATAATGTCCACTTCCTGGCTGCTGGACTCTGCTCTATAAATATAACCAGTGAGCAGTGTCTCTTTCATGCTCAGCTCCTGACCAGTTAAGGGGAGGAGGAGATGAGTCCAGGAACCAGAGTTGGATGCTGGGAATCTCCGTGCTGTCCTTCCAGGGAACATTTCTCTGCACCGGGCCAAGGACCCACGGGATCATCCCTTTCCATTGTGAAGGAACCGAGGCCGCCTCACTGGGCTCCATTTTCCAGTATTTTTAGTTAGCAGCCTGCAAGTGAGTGTTCTGCCTGCAGTGCTGTAGAAACTGGCAGATGCTCTGTGTTGAGTGGTGTGCAGGACAGACAGGAGTCGGTGCTGGAGAGGCGATGGCTGCAACTGGGGCAGAGAAGTGAGCCTTCCTGTCTTCCTGGGGGTGATCATCCCCAAGGCAGTGCATCACGCTCCCGTGTTCAAAGCCGCAGTGGTATAAACTCTCGAAGAGAACAGTGTCTACCTTTACTCTGGAAAGAAGTAACCGAAAGACAGGAGCGGATGTTGCCTCCTGGCAAGAGGGCCTCACGGTGTGGAGGGGCAATGCCAACCTTGGCGGTGACGGACTTAGGTTCTATTATGGCTCTAATACTTGCTGACTCTGGGACCTTGAGCAAGTTATGGTAACCCTCAGCCTCTGTTTCTCCCTCTGTACAATGAGCATCACGATAGTCCTGTTCTCACAGAGCTGCTATGAAGGTTGCATCTGGGAAGCACCTGGCACCGTGCCTGGCGTAAAATAGGCCCTCAGGAAATGTTGGCTATTATTATGGCCATGCTTGACTGGCACCTCAGTTTGATGTAGTGGTTGTCACGTTTCATTTCTAGCGTTCTGAATAGGCTGTCAGTAGAGAGGTAAGGAGGTAAGGACTCTGGGGCCAGACTGCCTTTCTTCAAATCCCAAGCCTGCCACTTAACAGCTCTCTGACATTGAGCAAGTTAATTCATGTGACTGGGCCTCACTTTTCTCATCTGTAAAGTGAGTATGAAGTGACGTATACTTCACTGGGTCATGGTGAGGGGAAGTATGCAAAGCAGGAGTTGGTGAACTGGCGAACAGGCCACATCCGGCCTGCCATCTGCTTTTGTAAATAAAATGGTATCAGAACATAGCCACACGTATCCATTTATGTCTTGTCTGTGACTGTTTCTCTGCAGCAGCAGCAGAGATGAGTAATTGTGACAGAGACTGTCTGTCCTACAAATCCTAAAATAAAATCCTAAAATATTTACTACCTGACCCTTTACAGAAAAAGTTTGTTGCCCTCTGATTGTAAAAGGTTTAAACAGTGTGTGGCACAGAGCAGATGCCAGGTAAATGTTTGCTGTTATTCCTGCTGGTACTCCTCTGCAGTTCGTCACCCCCAACCCTCACATTAGCTCTGTGAAGTGGGCACACAGAGGTGATGATTGTTCCCTGTTTATTGCACCTGGGATTCAGGGGACTCACGTGACCTGTCCAAGGTGAGGCCAGGCCTAAAATCTAGTCTAGGGCTCACTCGGCCGGTGGCTCCGAATCAGTGACATCTGCCTTGCCTTCTCTCTTTTTTTTTTTTTTTTGAGATGGAGTCTCACTCTGTTGCCCAGGCTGGAGTGCAGTGGCGCGATCCTGGCTCATTGCAAGCGCCGCCTCCCAGGTTCACGCGATTCTCCTGCCTCAAGCTCCGCCTCCCGGGTTCACACCATTCTCCTGCCTCAGTCTCTCGAGTAGCTGAGACTACAGGCGCCCGCCACCACGCCTGGCTAATTTTTTGTATTTTCAGTGGAGACGGGGTTTCACCGTGTTAGCCAGGATGGTCTCGATCTCCTGACCTCGTGATCCACCTGCCTCGGCCTCCCAGAGTGCTGGGATTACAGGCGTGAGCCACTGCACCCGGCCTGCCTTGCCTTCTCTTTAGATTCCTCAAGGACAAGGATGCATCAGTCCATCTCCCTGAGGCATGGACAGTGCCTCACAGAGCCCACCCAGTCAGTATCTGCGGAGTTCATTTGTCTTCTGTGCTCCACCTGGCCAGCATCAGCACTGAGCACTCCAGGAAGAGACATTTCCAACCCTGGGCCGTTCACCTCCCAGCACCTGGAGTTGGGAGCACTCAGCTTATTAACAGGGCAGAAACTCCCAGGTTGCACGCACAGCACCGAATCCTGAAGGGCACAGGCCAAGACCCTCTCTCCATCCCGAGACCTTTAGTCAGGATTGTGGGTGTGGTTGATGACAGCTGATATCTGGGTAGCAATTTATGGTTCACTGAACACTTTTACATCCATGATCTCATTTGATCTTCATAGCAACTACTCAGGGGGACAAACTGGGTGATGGCCTACGCTGTAGCTGAAGTGGAGAGAGACTGGCACCTCCTCCAAGGCCATGCGTTAAATACCCACTGAGCCAATGGAGCCCTGGTCATCCATCTCTAATCCAGTGACCTCCCAACCCCAGCCGGCCCTCCTGACTTGATCATTGTGGTGATGCCAGTGCTGTAGCCTTGGGCACTCATTCCATTGTCTAATGACCCTCACTGTCCAATAATTCTTTTTTGTCTGTAATGGAAATTCCACATGCTTTAGGGGTTTGTTCTGCTCTCAGTGGAGATGACGACAAGCCACCCAGAATAATAGCTCTACTTTTTAGTCTTCAGCCTTGAAGCTGTCCTCTCCCTAACCAGCCCAGGCTGGCTCTTCTGTCCTTGTGGGTTTGCTGGAACACAGACCATCCCATCCACCCTGGTGACTTCTACCACATCCTGCACTTAGAGCAACTTCCAGCATGACGCAGAAGGAGGGACAGTGTGTTCTGCGTTGGCTCAGCCCGTCTGCAGAACAGTCATGTCACTTTGGAAGAGCCTGAGTTTGAGAGGGATGTGTGTCTGCTCATATGAATACTTCTTGATCATTTAGTTTCTGTCATCAGTATCTGGGGAGTGGAGAATCGTTGCTGAGGGCTTCTGAAGAGCAGGGGAGAAAATAGATCACGTTGACAGTCAGCATAAGGTCATGGGGGTGAAGGGCAAAGGGAAGCTGAGTTGCTGCTGGACAGTGTGGTCTACTGACATGTCTCCTGGGATCGTGACCATCATGAGGGCAGGCGGTCAATGGCTGGTCAGAGCTATACCCAGCTTTCTAGTACAGTGATCCTAAAGGACATGGCTGAAGCGTGTTGAAATCCTCCTTTGTAATGAAAATTCTCCCCTGCAAGGGGAGAAGTAGCTTCTATGAAATTTCCAGCAGAGGTTTCCAAGCCAGGGAGGTTGAGGTAGGTCAGGGAGGCCGCAGGTGCTTATCTAAGTGGCACTGCCACAGTCTTTGAGTTTCCATTACTGGCCTCCTGGATTCAGTGGAGTCCTGCTAGACGTTGTCATTGCAGGGCAACCAAACCCAGCCCCGGGCCCATGGGAATGAACATACATATCTTCTAATGGTTAGAGAAATAAATTGCTTTATAACCAAAATACCCTTTTGGTTATGTGTCTCTCTTGGAAAAATAATCAGAAACAGCTGCCCTGCAGTTCTCCAGAGAATGGAGTCTTCCTAGTTTCCATGAAGCGAAAATGTTTCGGAAATCAGAACTGAATGAGGCTGGGGCGAGAGGTGGGGCTGAGGATGGACTCCTGGCACCTCCTCTGATTGATCCTAAATCACTTTCTCACTCTGGCCTTCGGTTTCTGCATCTGTTAAGAGGGCTAATGAAACCTGTTTCTTACTGCAACTTGACACCATGAAAATTTAGTCTCTCATCTGCAGCAGGCTTAGGCAAAGTGGCTGGCCACATAAAACAGCTTGAATCCTTGAGCATGGTGGATGGAGTTTGTTTAATGAGTGAAGCTGTGTAGCCCACTCCATGTCTGTCCTACCATTAAAATTTTTATTGTTATTTGTGAAGTATCCACTGGAGTTCAGAAAAAGACTGCACACCACTAAATCAAGTTGGCTCAGCTCCTGCTGCGGTTAAAATGAGTGCTGTAACCCCAATTAATAACGATTTTTTTCCACCAGAGATGGCTGCTTGGATGAATGTATTATTTGCTGGGGGCTCTTGTGGGGCTTGCTTGAAGTGTGTAAATAGTCCGCCTGAAAAAGAAAGTCCAAAAAAGGGCTGGTTTAGACAGAGTGGCCTCTGCAATCTGGCCACAGTCAAAGGCTTCTTCACATCAGCAGCTCTGATACGATACACAAACGTTTGGGTTGTAGGACAGTGTAGAAAGAGGACCCTCTGGGAGGCCAACGTGCTGAGTGGAAGGTGGAAGGACATGGAAAGCAGCAACCGTGCAGCTGAGGCTAAGAAGCCCC
Organism: Homo sapiens; assembly: GCF_000001405.40. NCBI lineage: Eukaryota > Metazoa > Chordata > Mammalia > Primates > Hominidae > Homo > Homo sapiens. The sequence continues at coordinate 594,660 of NW_018654718.1, forward strand.
GGAGCAGGCTTGGGGGCTTCTTGTGTGAGTCATCATTTGTCCTCCACTGTCTATCAAGAAGCAGGGACAAGAGTTATGCACTTTAAATGTCAAGGTTGCCTTTGTAGGTGGTAGAGGCCTGGTGGGTTCCAGGAGATTATTCAGGTTCTATGTAGAGCAAATTCCAGATCAGATGAAGGTGTTTGTGCGGGGACAGCTGTATGTTTTCTGTTACAGACCTGTTAGGTCAAACCCCTTCTTTCTTTTTTCTAAGCTCTTACTCTTCCCCAGTTTTTACTTCCCAAGACTTTCTTGGGTCCTTCCAAGTCCTCCTTAGAGGATGGCACTTTGCTGGGTCCATGGGTTTAACTTTTTTTTTTTTTTTCAGTCTTTCCCATACATTCGAGTTAGCTTGAAAGTGTTGATGGCCCTCTCCCGCAAAAGGAATATCATTTACTCCCTACCCCTTGTGTTACATGGGCAGGGGAAGGAGGGAGTTTCTAGCTCATGTTCCCGGAAGGGAAGGTATGGCAGGAACACATCCCACTTTTCCCTGTCTCTTTATGCCCTTGTCCCCAGGGGAGAAGTGACCTATCTGACTGGTGAGTTTGGTGTAGCCCCTTCTGGGACTCTCTTTTGAATCCACTTATCCCCAAAGAAGGGTTCACCAAGTTATTGGGACTGATCTGGCCCTGTGGGGAAAACCTGTGATGGTCTCACCTTCTGGCAGGGTAAGTACATTTAATAGTGGTTGAAATATTAGGAAGTCCTTCGAAGCCCGTCTAAGCCACTTCCTCCATTTTATAATTTGTTTCTAATCAAGCTTTTGGTTTGATTTAATCTGTGTGTCCTATATCTTACTTCTTAATTGGTTCTGAGTTTATAAGGGGCAGAAAGGATGATTATTTATTGGCTGCCACCCAAAGGCTTAGAACTCCTCCTTGGTCATTGACTGATCCATGTGGAAGGCTCTCCAAGCAGCTCTGGGTACAGTGGAGGCCAAACATATGTGCATACTTTTCCCCACCAGGGTACTATTTGCAAGTCATTGGAACCTAAGTCCGTGGCTTCTGTTTTCTAAGAACATCTGCTGTGGAAATGCTATTCTTTTCCTCTTTCTTCATCCCTGAAATAATGATACCTTCCTCGCAGGAGGGTGTTGAGGATTAAATAAAATCAAGCACATTCACACACGTAGGTAGTCAGTAAATGTCAGTTTCTGCCTCTCCGTCCATCCACTGGTAACCTACATTGTTTAAGTAGCGCTTACCACTATTCATTCTGATGTCCAAAGTATGCCTCTCATGTTGCAATGGAAGATTTCTTCTATCTCATTGGGAGCACTTAATAACCTTTAATACATGATGTGAAAACCTTCTGTCTCACATGCCTGATTTATGGGATCACTGGAGAGAGAAAACTTTGAAACCAACAGGGAAGTAAGGGATGCGTACTGAGTGGGAGAAGCAACAGTACTGGGATCCAGGGGAGGGCTGGATGGGAAGGGCTCAGTCATGGATAGGACTGAGGGTGTGCTGGTGAGCCTGGAAGCCATCACTGGGTGACCAACCTCACCTGGGCACTTCTTAGTTTGGATGTGCCTTATTTAAAGTAAAACTTGACACAGTCCAGAAAAACTCGCAATGCAAAAACAACTCACTTTTCTGGAGCTTTACTGTGTGTGCCCAGCACTGTGCTCACCACTCGAGAGCCCCTAGGCAGGCACCCTCCCTCCAGTTGTTCTCAGGGAGTGGGGTGGAGAGTATCAGTACAGAGGAGAGCCTCAAACGACCCCAGACTCTGTCTGTCAGTATGCTTCTGGAGGATGTAGGCTGAGTCTTATCTTCTCAACCGCCAGTTGTCTGTAGTGGCCCTTCCATTTCATGTCTTCCTTAGACACATACTCCAGTCTGTTGTTTTGAGTGTTGGCTGTGAACTCTGTAACCCTGTATTTTCTGTTTTCCTCTTAGTATGAGAACGAAGGTGTGGGCCCGGATTGCCCCATTACTCTTGTGTCCTGTGCACCTTTTGTATCGTGCTGCGGCAAACTGGCACAGGGGATGTCAGCTCCGCACCCTCTGCTGTGGATTGTCCAGGGTCCAGGCTTCCCCTTCCTACTGCTCACCCCTGTCCCCTTTGCTGTTAACACCTGCCCGTGGGATAAGGGAAAAGAAAAAAGCCACTCAAACTACTCCATTGTGAGATTTGCTATGGAGTCAGGGCTGAAGTGGGGTTGGTTGACTTGCAGAATCTGTGAATGGGGGACGATATATGTTGAGAAAGTGCCTGGGTGATTCTGATACGTCCCATCTACACTTTGAGAACTACAGGTTCATTACCACTGCCAAGAAAAAGATCTTTTCATATCCCCCCGTCCTCTCTTCACTTGGATGGCAGTTGAGTCTCTGAAAGAGATTCATCCCGAAGGTCTTTTAAGTGAAGAGAGGCAAAGCTTAGCTTAGTATTTCCTTTCTGAAGAGCACATACCCCTGTGTAAAATTGAGGAGCAACAGCCTTAAATGGAAGCAGCTGTGATTCCCCGCCCCTGTGAAGGGGCTGTGGCCCTGCAGATGCCACGGCTGTGGATGCGTAGAGCTTGGGTACCCTCCCTGGCTTCATGGCTGACCTGCTGTGTGACCTTGGGCAAGTCAGATTTCCTCTCTGTTTGCCATCTGCAAAATATGGATACAGACCCGTGCTCCCTCCTGGTTTTACTGAGGTACTGTGAGAGCCAGTGAAATCACGGTTATGGGATGCTCAGCATTCTGCTGCAGAAAAAAAAAAAAAAAAAACCTAGTTACTAGGAAAGCACCATTCCCCAGGTGTGGGAGTTCTCAGTACCTGTGTGGAGTTTGCTAACAGACCTGGGGTCATTCGGGGTGTGACAGGCAGGCCCTCTCTCCTAGATCCAGGTCCATTTACTAATGTCCTTGCCCATCCATGCCTGCAAGAAGGAAGAGATGTCTGAACTGCCAGGAGGTGGTGGCTACAGATGGTCCCTGGCACAGCAAGAAGGCAGTGCCAATCAAAGGAGGTCGGCCTCTTCAATTAGAACTCTGAGCAGATGGGGCTGAGGCAGCCAGAAGGGGCACTTCCCAGTTTACTAAGTGTGTGACAGTAAGCTGGTGGCCTTCAGAAGACCAGGAGGGTCACCTGGTTCATTTCCTTTCTGGAAGGAAGGGCAGTGTTTAGGATAAGTCAGATGAGATTCCTCCTCATTGGACAGATAATAAGCTTTATTGTGAGTTAAGCAATATGCTTGGCCCTACGGATATCACATTAAACAAAATAGACCTGACCCTGACCTTACTAGTTTACAATCACACGATCCTGACCTTACTAGTTTACAATCACAGGATCCTGACCTGACTAGTTTACAATCACACGACCCTGACCTGACTAGTTTACAATCACACGACCCTGACCTTACTAGTTTACAATCACACGACCCTGACCTGACTAGTTTACAATCACACGACCCTGACCTGACTAGTTTACAACCACACGACCCTGACCTGACTAGTTTACAATCACACGACCCTGACCTGACTAGTTTACAATCACACGACCCTGACCTGACTAGTTTACAATCACACGATCCTGACCTGACTAGTTTACAATCACACGATCCTGACCTTACTAGTTTACAATCACACGATCCTGACCTTACTAGTTTACAATCACAGGATCCTGACCTGACTAGTTTACAATCACACGACCCTGACCTGACTAGTTTACAATCACACGATCCTGACCTGACTAGTTTACAATCACACGATCCTGACCTTGCTAGTTTACAATCACACGATCCTGACCTTACTAGTTTACAATCACACGATCCTGACCTGACTAGTTTACAATCACACGACCCTGACCTGACTAGTTTACAATCACACGACCCTGACCTGACTAGTTTACAACCACACGACCCTGACCTGACTAGTTTACAACCACACGACCCTGACCTGACTAGTTTACAACCACACGACCCTGACCTGACTAGTTTACAACCACACGATCCTGACCTGACTAGTTTACAATCACACGACCCTGACCTGACTAGTTTACAATCACACGACCCTGACCTGACTAGTTTACAATCACACGACCCTGACCTGACTAGTTTACAATCACACGATCCTGACCTGACTAGTTTACAATCACACGACCCTGACCTGACTAGTTTACAGTCACACGATCCTGACCTGACTAGTTTACAATCACACGACCCTGACCTGACTAGTTTACAATCACACGACCCTGACCTGACTAGTTTACAGTCACACGATCCTGACCTGACTAGTTTACAACCACACGACCCTGACCTGACTAGTTTACAATCACACGACCCTGACCTGACTAGTTTACAATCACACTATCCTGACCTGACTAGTTTACAATCACACGACCCTGACCTGACTAGTTTACAATCACACGACCCTGACCTGACTAGTTTACAATCACACGACCCTGACCTGACTAGTTTACAATCACACGACCCTGACCTGACTAGTTTACAATCACACGACCCTGACCTGACTAGTTTACAATCACACGACCCTGACCTGACTAGTTTACAATCACACGACCCTGACCTGACTAGTTTACAATCACACGACCCTGACCTGACTAGTTTACAACCACACGACCCTGACCTGACTAGTTTACAATCACACGACCCTGACCTGACTAGTTTACAATCACACGACCCTGACCTGACTAGTTTACAATCACACGATCCTGACCTGACTACTTTACAATCACACGATCCTGACCTTGCTAGTTTACAATCACACGATCCTGACCTTACTAGTTTACAATCACAGGATCCTGACCTGACTAGTTTACAATCACACGACCCTGACCTGACTAGTTTACAATCACACGATCCTGACCTGACTAGTTTACAATCACACGATCCTGACCTTGCTAGTTTACAATCACACGATCCTGACCTTACTAGTTTACAATCACACGATCCTGACCTTGCTAGTTTACAATCACACGACCCTGACCTGACTAGTTTACAATCACACGACCCTGACCTGACTAGTTTACAACCACACGACCCTGACCTGACTAGTTTACAACCACACGACCCTGACCTGACTAGTTTACAACCACACGACCCTGACCTGACTAGTTTACAATCACACGATCCTGACCTGACTAGTTTACAATCACACGACCCTGACCTGACTAGTTTACAATCACACGACCCTGACCTGACTAGTTTACAATCACACGACCCTGACCTGACTAGTTTACAATCACACGATCCTGACCTGACTAGTTTACAATCACACGACCCTGACCTGACTAGTTTACAATCACACGATCCTGACCTGACTAGTTTACAATCACACGACCCTGACCTGACTAGTTTACAATCACACGACCCTGACCTGACTAGTTTACAATCACACGATCCTGACCTGACTAGTTTACAACCACACGACCCTGACCTGACTAGTTTACAATCACACGACCCTGACCTGACTAGTTTACAATCACACTATCCTGACCTGACTAGTTTACAATCACACGACCCTGACCTGACTAGTTTACAATCACACGACCCTGACCTGACTAGTTTACAATCACACGACCCTGACCTGACTAGTTTACAATCACACGACCCTGACCTGACTAGTTTACAATCACACGACCCTGACCTGACTAGTTTACAGTCACACGATCCTGACCTGACTAGTTTACAATCACACGACCCTGACCTGACTAGTTTACAATCACACGACCCTGACCTGACTAGTTTACAATCACACGACCCTGACCTGACTAGTTTACAATCACACGACCCTGACCTGACTAGTTTACAATCACACGACCCTGACCTGACTAGTTTACAATCACACGATCCTGACCTGACTAGTTTACAATCACACGACCCTGACCTGACTAGTTTACAATCACACGACCCTGACCTGACTAGTTTACAATCACACGACCCTGACCTGACTAGTTTACAATCACACGACCCTGACCTGACTAGTTTACAATCACACGACCCTGACCTGACTAGTTTACAATCACACGATCCTGACCTGACTAGTTTACAATCACACGACCCTGACCTGACTAGTTTACAATCACACGACCCTGACCTGACTAGTTTACAGTCACATGATCCTGACCTGACTAGTTTACAATCACACGATCCTGACCTTGCTAGTTTACAATCACACTATCCTGACCTTACTAGTTTACAATCACAAGACCCTGACCTGACTAGTTTACAATCACACGACCCTGACCTGACTAGTTTACAATCACACGACCCTGACCTTACTAGTTTACAATCACACGATCCTGACCTGACTAGTTTACAATCACACGATCCTGACCTGACTAGTTTACAATCACACGACCCTGACCTGACTAGTTTACAACCACACGACCCTGACCTGACTAGTTTACAACCACACGACCCTGACCTGACTAGTTTACAATCACACGATCCTGACCTGACTAGTTTACAATCACACGACCCTGACCTGACTAGTTTACAACCACACGACCCTGACCTGACTAGTTTACAATCACACGATCCTGACCTGACTAGTTTACAATCACACGATCCTGACCTTGCTAGTTTACAATCACACGATCCTGACCTTACTAGTTTACAATCACAGGATCCTGACCTGACTAGTTTACAATCACACGACCCTGACCTGACTAGTTTACAACCACACGACCCTGACCTGACTAGTTTACAACCACACGACCCTGACCTGACTAGTTTACAATCACACGACCCTGACCTGACTAGTTTACAATCACACGACCCTGACCTGACTAGTTTACAATCACATGATCCTGACCTTGCTAGTTTACAATCACACGATCCTGACCTGACTAGTTTACAATCACACGACCCTGACCTGACTAGTTTACAATCACACTATCCTGACCTGACTAGTTTACAATCACACTATCCTGACCTGACTAGTTTACAATCACACTATCCTGACCTGACTAGTTTACAATCACACTATCCTGACCTGACTAGTTTACAATCACACGATCCTGACCTGACTAGTTTACAATCACACTATCCTGACCTGACTAGTTTACAATCACACTATCCTGACCTGACTAGTTTACAACCACACGACCCTGACCTGACTAGTTTACAATCACACGACCCTGACCTGACTAGTTTACAATCACACGATCCTGACCTTGCTAGTTTACAATCACACGATCCTGACCTTGCTAGTTTACAATCACACGACCCTGACCTGACTAGTTTACAACCACACGACCCTGACCTGACTAGTTTACAATCACACGATCCTGACCTTGCTAGTTTACAATCACAGGATCCTGACCTGACTAGTTTACAATCACACGACCCTGACCTGACTAGTTTACAACCACACGACCCTGACCTGACTAGTTTACAATCACACGACCTGACCTGACTAGTTTACAATCACACGATCCTGACCTTGCTAGTTTACAATCACACGACCCTGACCTGACTAGTTTACAATCACACGACCCTGACCTGACTAGTTTACAATCACACGACCCTGACCTTACTAGTTTACAATCACACGATCCTGACCTGACTAGTTTACAATCACACGATCCTGACCTTGCTAGTTTACAATCACACGATCCTGACCTGACTAGTTTACAATCACACGATCCTGACCTTGCTAGTTTACAATCACACGACCCTGACCTGACTAGTTTACAATCACACTATCCTGACCTGACTAGTTTACAATCACACGACCCTGACCTGACTAGTTTACAATCACACGACCCTGACCTGACTAGTTTACAATCACACGATCCTGACCTGACTAGTTTACAATCACACGACCCTGACCTGACTAGTTTACAACCACACGACCCTGACCTGACTAGTTTACAATCACACGATCCTGACCTGACTAGTTTACAATCACACGACCCTGACCTGACTAGTTTACAATCACACGACCCTGACCTGACTACTAGTTTACAACCACACGATCCTGACCTGACTAGTTTACAATCACACGACCCTGACCTGACTAGTTTACAATCACACGACCCTGACCTGACTAGTTTACAATCACACGACCCTGACCTGACTAGTTTACAATCACACGACCCTGACCTGACTAGTTTACAATCACACGATCCTGACCTGACTAGTTTACAATCACACTATCCTGACCTGACTAGTTTACAACCACACGACCCTGACCTGACTAGTTTACAACCACACGACCCTGACCTTACTAGTTTACAATCACACGACCCTGACCTTACTAGTTTACAATCACACGACCCTGACCTGACTAGTTTACGATCACATGACCCTGACCTGACTAGTTTACGATCACACGATCCTGACCTGACTAGTTTACGATCACACGATCCTGACCTGACTAGTTTACAATCACACGATCCTGACCTGACTAGTTTACAATCACACGATCCTGACCTTACTAGTTTACAATCACAGGATCCTGACCTGACTAGTTTACAATCACACGACCCTGACCTGACTAGTTTACAACCACACGACCCTGACCTGACTAGTTTACAACCACACGACCCTGACCTGACTAGTTTACAATCACACGACCCTGACCTGACTAGTTTACGACCACACGACCCTGACCTGACTAGTTTACGACCACACGACCCTGACCTGACTAGTTTACAATCACACGACCCTGACCTGACTAGTTTACAATCACACGATCCTGACCTGACTAGTTTACAATCACACGATCCTGACCTGACTAGTTTACAATCACACGATCCTGACCTGACTAGTTTACAATCACACGATCCTGACCTGACTAGTTTACAATCACACGATCCTGACCTTGCTAGTTTACAATCACACGATCCTGACCTTGCTAGTTTACAACCACACGATCCTGACCTGACTAGTTTACAATCACACGATCCTGACCTGACTAGTTTACAGTCACATGATCCTGACCTGACTAGTTTACAATCACACGATCCTGACCTTGCTAGTTTACAATCACACTATCCTGACCTTACTAGTTTACAATCACAAGACCCTGACCTGACTAGTTTACAATCACACGATCCTGACCTGACTAGTTTACAATCACACGACCCTGACCTGACTAGTTTACAATCACACGATCCTGACCTTACTAGTTTACAATCACACGATCCTGACCTTACTAGTTTACAATCACACGACCCTGACCTGACTAGTTTACAATCACACGATCCTGACCTGACTAGTTTACAATCACACGATCCTGACCTGACTAGTTTACAATCACACGATCCTGACCTGACTAGTTTACAATCACACGATCCTGACCTGACTAGTTTACAATCACACGATCCTGACCTTACTAGTTTACAATCACACGACCCTGACCTGACTAGTTTACAATCACACGATCCTGACCTGACTAGTTTACAATCACACGATCCTGACCTTGCTAGTTTACAATCACACGACCCTGACCTGACTAGTTTACAATCACACGATCCTGACCTGACTAGTTTACAATCACACGATCCTGACCTTACTAGTTTACAATCACACCTCCTGTTTCTTGCCACTTGCACACAACTCAGGGATGGGGTAGGAGGAGGAATATCATAAATGCAAATTCCTGTGCCTTACACTGGAGCTACTAGATCAGACTACCTGGAGGCTAAGCCCAGGAATCTACATTTTTAACAAGCTTCATAGTTCAGCCTTGCACATATTAAATTTTGAGAACTGGTTACTTCTCCATCAATGCATGGGGTAATCAGTCACCTTGGGCACATTGGTGTCTTAAAAATGACTTAAACACATAATTGGAACTGTTTTGCTAAGTCTAGCCTGTGTCTACGTTGCTAGAAAAGCCCTTTTTCCCCTTATTCTGATGGTATAGAAGAAAACAACTGCTTAAATCAAATGAATTAATGTGTTGATTGAGCTTTCATTACCTGTCTAGCTTCATGCTGTTTGGAAAATAAATATAAAAGCTATAATCCTGGCCCCTGATGAGCGTACAGGGTTCTTGAGTTGATAAAACACACCAGTTAACCAGTTAGAGATGACGAGAAGATGGTGCAAGATTAAGAGCCAGGACGTAAAGCAGATGGCGCGTTTCCAGGGGTAGAGAAATGAGGACATCGGCAGGTCAGCATTGCAGCCACATCCTTTCTAGCCATCCTCAGATTCCAGCCTAATGATCAGTCGTAAACTCCTAAAGAACTTAAAAAAAATCCTGGAAAAATTCAGGAGATTCAGGGTGTAGTATAGGAATCTGTTTGATTAAAACACTCCACAGGTGATTCTGATGGGTGTTTCCAGGTTTGGAAACCAGCATGCTACCTTTTAAAATAGTAAATGGATTAGTTATCTCTTTTTTAGAGGGGGCATGAGAACAACAGTTCCTTTATCCATTCTTCTATTACACCAGATATGTTACAGTTGCACTCAAAAATCGTGGTGACTCAACACAACAGAATGTAAACCCAATCAGGACGGGGGTGGCTCTGCTCCATATTGTAGGGGACCAGGGCTTTGCTGTCTTCGTTGGTGGCTTTCCAGGCCTCCCTGGGTGTTAACATCCAGCACTCAGACAGTCACAGAGGAATGAACACAGTTGTTTGTAATGGCGGCCAAGATCGTCCAGGCCCGGAAGTTGTGACTATCACTTTCACTGACATTTCACTGGCCAGAAGTCAGCCATGGGCCACACCTGTCTCCAAAGGAGGTTGAGAAATGTAGTCCAGCTGAGTACCCTGGAGGACGGGACCAGGCTGTGGTGGGACAGTTCAGTCTTCTCTAGCACAGCGGTCTCCAACCTTTTTGGCACCAGGAATCAGTTTCGTGGAAGACAATTTTTCCATGGAGGACCGAGAGGGGATGGTTTTGGGATGAAATTGTTCCACTTCAGATCATCAGGCATTAGATTCTCATCAGGAGCATGCAACCTAGATCCCCAGCATGCACAGTTCACAATAGGGTTTGCTCCCATGAGAATCTAATGCTGCTGCTGATCTGACAGGAGCTGGAGCTCAGGCTGTAATGCTGGCTTGCCCACCGCTCATCTCCTGCTGTGCAGCCTGGTTCCTAACAGGCCATGGACCGGTACCTGGGGGCTGGGGACCCCCGCTCTAGCGTGTTCCCTTCCTCTCCAAGTCTTTAAGCATTTTCATTGATCTCTTCTCCTCCAGATTCTCCCAGGTTCTCAAGCAGTGAGGTTCCAAACTAAGGTTTAACTCTCTAGTCTTCAGAATGTTCTTTTCTAACTGTTAGAACTGCAAAGACAGCCTTGAAATGGTATATTCTTTATACCTGTTGCCTCCACTTCACTTGGTCTTACTGTTAGGTTTAACCTTAGGAAATCACTGATATTTTTTGACCTACAGAAGCGGCATTTTCATACAAGTGAATGCTACACTCTCAACTTGATTGAAGAGCACCCTCAATCTGCCTTCAGCACGTGCACTCCCACTCTGCAGTAGGCAGAGGTTTGAGAACCAAGCCAAAGGAAAGAGAAGAGGGAGGCAGAGTTTCTTTGTACTACATCTCATCACCTGCTGTGTTTGGGGTCTGCCCTGTCCCACCATAGTAAAGCTCATATCCCACCTCTTCCTGAAACCTTAATAATGACATCTTATTTCTGGTTATTTGCCAGAAGCTTTCACACACATGATCTCATTCATTGCTTTGAGGAATTCGCTTGTTTCCGCCTCTCAATTTATGAGATAATGAGAGTTATGTAATAATTCCCTTCTTCAGTTTAACTGCCAGGAAACTTAGGCCAGCATTTGTGATTAGTCAGAATAATTTTACTGTGTGTTTTTGGTTGGTATATATTGTTTTAAAATATGTATTTTACTCATTAATTTTTGAAAACTCATTTTTTCCTCAAGTTTTTTTTTTAAATGTGAAATTTTAAAAATCTCAAGTTCTTAAAAAATGATGTGGGATAAAACAACTAAATTTAATTATATCATCGTCTTTGGAGGACGGTGTTATCTTCATCTTGCATATGTAGAACCTGAGGTCCATAAAAACCAATTTTCCGAGCCCATAAGGCTCCTCAGTGGGGTAACTGGGACTGGGTTTCCCAACCAGATTTAATCCAGGGCCCCTTCTGCTGTATCAATGCTGCCCTTCCAGACTGTCCCTTTCATCATCACTTTAATCTCTTCCCTCTCGATTTCAGATAACTCGTATTTTAAGACGCCTGAATATTTTCTATCTTATTATTGTAGATATGTGAGCATCAGCTCCTTAAAGTTACCGAATATTTCTGATCAAATTCTGGTTATTTTTGTCTCATTAAAATGAATATTTAAGTTTTCAGGAGAGAAGAAGGCACAAATCTCCCTTAAAAAGTAATCCATTTGAGAGATGGATTAATAAAGTAATATTATGAATTCAATATAAATTAACATATGTGTTTTCAAATTCCAAAAATAGATGAGGGAGATGGAATTACACTAGTGAGTTCAGCATGATTCCTAACCAAGGCCTTTTCATAAGTGGAAGTCTTTCACCTGGCCCTGGGGAAATCACGGAACTCAATATTTCCTTCACTTAATTGTTTTTCTTTTCCATTTAAGGAAAGGTAGCTTAAAGCAGTGGTTCTCAGAATATGGCCCTGAACCAGCTGCATCAAAATCACCTGGGAACCTACTAGAAGTGCCGATTCTACAAAAAGGAAGCTCCCCACACCCCGCCCTGCCCCACACGGGACCCAGCAGTTTGTGTTCTAACAAGCCCACCAGGTTTTTGTGATGTATGCTGAAGTTTGAGACTGGTTAGCTTAAAACAGCCTCTGAGAGGGGCTGCAAGCCACTCTTTATTTGGATCATAACTAAGTAGTTAAAACATCCCTGAGTGAATTCAAAATGCTAATGAGGAAAATTAATGTCTTTATCAAAAAAAGAAAAAAAGAACAAAACAAACCTCAGGAGACCAGAAGTAAGTTGCCTCTTTAAGAAGCAGAGCCGCTTTGAGATGTTGCAAGGGGGAGCTAAGAGCAGGGCAGAATTTTCCAGTGTCTTTTGACAGGAGGAAGTGGTTGGGGACGACTTATTTTTTTGGCCCGGAGACAGCCTGTCATTATTAGACTAAGCATTGTATCAGATCTAAGTGTGTAGCTTTCTTAATGTAATGCAGAGCAGGAGCTATACGTTTTGTTTTGTTTTTCATTTTATCAGTAAGAATGAGTGCATTACAGCCTGGGCAATGTAGCAAGACCTGGTCTCTACTAAAAAAGTAAAATAATTAGCCAGGCATGGTGGCACGTGCCTTTGGTCCTAGCTACTTGGGAGGCTGAGGTGGGAGAATTGCTTGAGCCCAGGAGGTGGAGGCTGCAGTGAGCTAGAACTGTACTTCTGCACTCCAGCCTGGGTGACAGAAAGCACTAGTAATAGCTTTGTGAGCTAAGTCCCGCTTTCTTGGGTGTTCTCATGGTCATGCTCAGAGAATCCCCCTCTCCCCACCAGCATCCACCAGACTGCACACTGGTGTGCAGGAGAAACCAGCTTGCCTGGCAGCCTGGGTCCAGCAGTCCCAAACCATCAGAAGGAAGACCGACATCCTGCACCTCCACATGGTCACTAATTCCCTGCTGTGGGGGGCACATTTTGGCCTGACTTGGCTGACACAATCTGGGGAAAAAAGAGAAGTATGGGCTGAGTACTGTGGCTCTCACTGGTTAATCCCAGCACTTTAGGAGGCAGCAGCAGGAAGATTGCTTGAGCCTAGGAATTAGATCAGCCTGGGCAAGATGGTGGGACCTTGTCTCTACAAAAATAAAAATAATTAGCTGGCCATAATGCCACGTGCCTGTAGTCCCAGCTACCTGGGAGGTTGAGGTGGGAGGATTGCTTGAGCCCAGGAGTTTGAGGTTGTAGTGAGCCATGATCATATCACTGTGCTACAGCCTTGGTGACAGAGACCCTGTCTCTATTAAAAAAAAAAAAAAAAAAAAGAACAAGAAGAAGAAAGAGACAGAAAGAAAAGAAAGAAGAGAGAAAAGGAGAGGAGCACAGATTGCTCAACCCCATGGAGGCAAGGCTCTCACTTCTGCTGGTGGGGCCCTCGGCCCGTCCTGGAGTCGGGGTAGCATCATGGTTGAGATCACATGGACTCCTTGGCTAAAGTCCTGTTTTGAACACTTGTTGGCTGTGTGATCTTAGATTAGGCACTGTTTCTCTCTGCCTCAACATTCTTGCTCCTAAAGTGGGGTTAATTATATATACCTTGCAGGGCTATTCTGAGAATTAAATGAGTTAATGCAGAAGTTCTGAGCCTTTTTGGTCTCAGGACTCCTTTATATTCTCAATAACTACTGAGAATCCCAGAGAGTTTTTATTTGTGTAAATTATAGCTACTCATGTTTATTGTATTAGAAATCAACTTAATTCATTAAAAAACCGATTGTGGCCAGGTGGTGTGGCTCACACCTGTAATCCCAGCACTTTGAGAGGCCGAGGCTGGCAGATCACAAGGTCAGGAGATCGAGACCATCCTGGCTAACATGGTAAAACCCTGTCTCTACTAAAAATACAAAAAAATTTAGCCAGGTGTGGTGGCAAGCACCTGTAGTCCCAGCTACTCGGAAGGCTGAGGCAGGAGAATGGCGTGAACCTGGGAGGTGGAGCTTGCAGTGAGCCGAGATAGTGCCACTGCACTCCAGCCTGGGTGACAGAGCGAGACTCCGTCTCAAAAAAAAAAACAAAAACAAAAACAAAAAAAACTGATTGCATGTTAACATAAGCAATATTGTTTCTGAAAAATAATTTTTTTGTAAAACAAAAAAACAGAAGAGTGACATTGCTTTACATTTGTATAGATTAGTGTCTGACTTACTAGAAAACAGCTGGGTTCTCATATCTGCTCTGTCATTCAGTGTGTTATGGTATCACATCATGTAGGCTCTGGGAAACTCTGCTGTGTATTTGTGAGAGCATTACAGTGAAAATGTTAGAGTTGTTATAAAAATAGTTCTCTCCTCACAGATACACGAAAAAGGTCTCAGAGATCCTGCTGGGGTTCCTTGGGACACACTTTGAGAAACACTGGATTAATAAGTCATGACAAGTGTTTAGTATAACACCTTGCATATGGTAATCACTGAGTAAAACATTATTACAAACAGCACTATTTACTAGGAGATATAGCATCAGAGGTGGTTTTCTATACATATATGGGCCAAGCTCTAGAAGGGTCCTTGTGCAACACACACACACACACAACAGGTGCTTCTGCTGTTGCCACCAGCAGTTCCATGCCATCCCATCTGGCTGGGGGGAGCCCTGAAAGTGTCTGGATGTATCTGAAGCTGCTGTGCTGGGATGTGTGCAGTACTAATATGGGAATGACAGTGAGTGGACATTGCATCACATAGTAGCCTTTCCTCCTAGGAGGCAAAGCACTCACCTCCCCATCACCCTGCAGTTATCCTCATGGGGGAGGGAGCCAGTCCAGTCCCTTGGGAAGGCAGTGCCAGGGCCAGGACCTGAACCTGCCTTTCTGATCTACAGCAGAGTCAGGCTAAAGAGGGCAGGCAGAGGCTCGCCAAGGGGCACAGTGGAGTGCTTCAGGACTCACAGTTGCTGGGGCTGAATGCTGGAAACAGCTTGTCAGTTCAACCCAGGAGATGCTAAGATGCAGGCTAGAGTCGATGACTTGGTCCTCCCATCAGGGGCTTGCAGACCATGTGACAGTCAGCTGGCACTCCCTTGACCTTTCTGTTGAGTCCAGAAACCATAGTGCAAGCAGTGGGCTGAAAGCTGTGGCAAGCTGCTGTGTTGGCATGTAATTTGGAAAGCCTATTCACTTAGCCACCTATTAAACACCTGGTGTGTTTTGAGTCCCCAGTCTGTTTTCTTGTTCATCTCCCACCAAGGGAAAAGCAACATTGACCAATCAAAAGGCAGGCTCAGTCTTGTAGTCTCAGTAGTACAGTCTTCCCTGTGGCCAAGACGGTGTCTTCAGCATCTGCAGTGGTGTGTGCAGCCATAGGTTGACAATGAAATGCAGGGAGCCAGGATCAGGAATCTGACCTGCACCAAGAGCTGTGGGCAGAACAGACCAGCATCTGTGTGATGCTGTGGCTGGTGGTGCAGGAGGCCAGGAGGCATCCAGGAGCCAGAGGGATGCCTTGCAGGACTGGGGTGGGGTGGAGGCTGTGTCTAAAATATGGGATGAATGCTAAGAATCAGAAAGTTAGTGACCGCAGGCAGAAGCTCAGAAACACACAGCAGATGTGAAAAGTGCTCCTTGCCCCTGCTTTTTAAATGTTATCTGAATGCCCACAGTGGGCAGAAGCTACTATTCAGTCAACAAATAATGGTCAAGGGCTGGGCATTGTTGTAGGTGCATCACTAGTTACCTCAGTGAATAAAACAGACAATTCCTACCTGCAAGGAGGTTGCACTTTTGTGGGAAGAAGAAAATAAAGGAAAGGAGAACATAAAGGAAAAAATATAAATACGATACATAATATTAGACACAGTGGAGGGATGAATGCAGGGATGGAGATAGGGTGCTTCAGGGTGGGGTTATAGCTTTTAATAGAGGGGTCAGGGAAGGTGTTACTGTGAAGATAACGTTTGAGCAGACCAGTGGGAAATGGCGAGGTAAGTGCTGTGGATCTGGGGAGAGGGCATTCAAGGGAGCAGGAGGGCCAGGTGCAGAGGCCCTCAGGTGGGAGTATGCCCAGCGTGTCTGGGAGCAGGAGGGCCAGGTGCGGAGGCCCTCAGGTGGGAGTATGCCCAGCGTGTCTGGGAGCAGGAGGGCCAGGTGCGGAGGCCCTCAGGTAGGAGCAGGGAGGAGGCAGGTATGGCTGGAACACAGCAAGTGCTCAGAGGTGAGGTCAGTGAGGAACAGAGGGCACTTAGGGTCTTGTAAGTCATTGTGATGACTGTGGTGCTAACTTGGGGTGAAGTGTGAAGCTAGTGGAGGCTTTTTAGCAAAGGAGTGACTGATCTGTTTTGAAAGAGAATCATTGCTGGGAGCTTCTCGGTGTTGGTAGAAGTGTGACGGTCAGTCAGGAGGCTGGATCAGTAATCCAAGAGGCAGATGTTAGCAGCTTGGACCAGAGTGATAAAGGTGGAGGTGGAGAGAAGTTGCTAGATCCTTGATACATTCTAGAAGTACACCAGAAATGATCTGCTAACAGACCGGACATGAGGTATGAACAAAGGAAGAGGGAAGATGGACTCTATATCTTGGCTTGAGTGAATGGAAGGCTGGAGAGTCACCATGATCCGAGATGGGCAGGAGCTGGTTGGGGTGGGGGAGGCTCAAGAATTGGGGTTTGGACATGCCAAGTTTGAGATGCCCAAGTAGAGACTGACTGTAGAGGTCTAGGCTGGAGCAGGCAGAAAGACCCAGGATGTGCAAAGGAAAGAGGGAAACAGCAGCAGTAGCACTTGTTCAGCCAAGTCCTGCCTCGGAGATCAAATGCATAAAGGAAAGGAAATCTCAGAGCCAGCCTCTAACCCTGAGCTTAATCCCAAAGAGCAGCAGAGTAGCCTGGGGTATCCACCCCTCCACCCCGGTGGTGCTGCAGAGCCCCTGTTGCACTCACGGGTGGCAAGAGGCAGGGCTCAAAGCTTACCTCACAGGTGTGACTCCCAGGGAGTAGGGGTAGGGTGAGGACCCCGCTGGAACTGGAATGGACTCTCCTGTATAGTGATGCCTCCTAAGCCTGGGGATGCCTCTGCAAGGGCTCCAGGGGGCTCTCAAAGAGGAGCAGGCTCTGCCTTTCTCAGATCAGCCCTCTGGCTCTGTTGTTCCCTTGGGCCTGTCTTCAGATAACCACAGTAATCCAGGGAGATGAAATTGGCAGATCAGAAGCCCTTGATTAGACCTGCAGAATGTCTGCACTGACAAGAACTGCAGAAAGCATCCCGTTCAACTCCCTCCTCTTACAGATGGGGGAACTGAGGTCCAGGGAGATGATGGGACTTGTCCAAGTTAGAAGCTTCATGACCTAGGGCAAATCACTTAACCCTTGCAATCATGCCAAGTTGAGAGCATTTTCCTAAATGCTGTGGCTCAGAGATGGCTGTGTGCTCGTGGTTCCTCCTGTTTCTCCCTAACCCTCTTCCACATGGGTTTTTTACTGCCCGATCAGGGTTTGGGGAATGATTGGCAGCCCGGAGGCCAGCCAGCCCTTTTGGCAATCCAGTCAAATCTGCCCACTGGCTGATGAAACATGGACTCCCTTGGCAGCGAGTACTTCCTCAAGAGATATCTTGCTTAAAATTGATGGCCCCCCTTTGGCTTTGCTATTCCCCATGCCCTTGGTGGGGCAGAGAGTTAGTTCCATCCCAAGTTCTTCTCCATTTGCCAGAGTCCACCTCCACCCCAGCCCAGAGCTGTTTGCTCTGGCTTGCCCTATCCTGCGTTGGCTCCTTTCACTCTCTGCAAACCCTTCTGTCCTTCCCGTTGTCTGAGCTGCCTTTTTCTTGACTACTTCTTAAGCCTCTGGATTTCTCCTTAAATATCAGCTCTAGGACGCCTGCCTGATGAGCTGAGGTCATTCCTACCCTCAAGTGACCTGGTGAATTAAGCAACAATACCAGGGATTCCAGGACAGTGAGTTTGAAGATCAGCATCTTTGCTGGCCTGAGGGAGGCCCTTGGCCTGCTGGGGGTGGATAGAGTGATGCTGACCTTCTGCACAGGCTTTGGGAGGGAACAGTTAGTTACCGCAAATGTCTGGCTATCTAGGTGAAGCACTCCCGACCCTCTGCTCCTCAACTGTAGTTGTGAATTACAGAGCTGGAAACAGCACACGGGAGCATTTGTTCCACTCCTGTTTCAGGGACAAAACTTAGGCCTGGGTCTCTAAAACCAGAGGTGCTTGATGCTTCATCCCAAGGCTAAAGGGGCAGATGCCCTCTCTATCTGGCGTTGTGGTTTCCTCTACTTCCACCTTACTGCAGAGTGGGGGGCTGGAACGTTGGCAAGGATCCAGGACTCCTGTACCCTATCTCATTCTCCTCCCACACCCCTGTCCCTTCATTACAGATAGTCCAACCTCTTTGTTCTGTGGTTGCTGAATAGCATCCCCCAGGGGACCATCTTCCCTGCAAATGCAGGGTGACGCTGTGCAGTGGTTTCTCTGCCATCATCTTTTCTCTGCTGGGGATGCCAGAGCATAAACCCATGGTGCAATGGAATGTGCCTGGTAGCAAGGATGAAGACGCGGGGGCTCCAGTGTGCTCCACCCCTTCCTTTCTGTCAGCCTGAGTGCTCCCGCCCCCTTTGGGCCTCAGTCTCCCACAGAGAGGGAGAGCTGGGTGGCCCAGCAATCTCTGGAGCCCCTTTTGGCTCAGACCTCCTGCAGTTCTCTGTAGCCTCCTGGTTCCCAGTGTATTTTTAAAGGATCCTGTGTTATTTATCTCAGCATCTCTGCCCCCCTGCGCTCCACGCTCCTATCCATGCAGTAATGACATCCAAACACCCACACTGTATCTTAACAATCTGATGAGATAAATGCCTCATCGTTGGGCTCCGTGGACACAGAGTAGCAATTCTATTCTGCTATCAAAGAGCTCAGAAACTCAGGCAACCAAGGCAGGATGAGCAGGCATGTGGCTTGCCATGTGCCCATCATTGGGCAAAAACACATTCTCCCTGCCCCAAAGCCCCTGTTTTTCCCCAAAGCAGCCTCACTTTTTCCCTTCCTCCACCTCCAGAACAATGCCTTCGAGCCTGCTGGCATTTGAGAATGGGCCGGGCGGGCAGTACTGGGGGCATATGGCCTTGTTATTTTGATGGAGCTCCTAGTGGGATGCACCAGCCACTGGCCAGGTCCTGGAAATAATTAAGCTGAGCATATTGACCTGGGGGTTGCAGGGCCTTGGGCATGCTGCAACCTCCAACACCTGTTCTCATGCTCCTTCTGCAGTGACCCTCTCGTGCTCTAGGCACACCTGTTAGATGGAACCTGGGACTTTCAAGGTTGTCACTGCCAGGGCTGGCATGATGTGCTTGCACTCCTGCTCCCTTTATGGACCTGGGAGTTGGGAAGGTGCATTGGGTTCCAAGAGAAGCAGGAACTGATTTGGTCTTGTAGTGAAAATAGACCTGGCTCTGGTTTGGTAAGTGAGTGACCTTGGACTTAGTTTCCCTAGAAGCAGAAATAGGATAACAGTAAGTCTTCCCACTTCAAGGAATGTTATAAGGATCAAGTGAGATCATGTGAAATTCTTAGGAAAGCTGCAAGGGAGTCTACCTATGAAACACAGAGGCCATGGGACACAGAGGGAGGAGTAAGGGCTCGAGCTGGGCAGGCCTGGGTGTGAATTCCAGTGTTTCTCTTCAGGCTGTGCTGCCTAGGGAAATGTACTTACCTCTTCTGAGCTTTTCTTTGCTCTTCTGTCAACCAAGGGATAATGAAGCTACACTGACTGGTTACTCACAGTGATAACAGGAGTATCTGTTATTTATTAAACGCTTATGTTGAGCCAGGACCTTTCTTCCTTTCCTTTTTAAAACCTCCATAAAATGTAGCCGGATTTGTAATCACACATTACTTCACGTGGACTTTGGCTGGTTTGTGTAGTGTCTCTGTGAGAGCAGGGGTTCTACGGGTATTGCCCGGCGCTGTGTTTCCAAAGCCCAGCATGTGCCTGGCCCACGGTGGGCGCTTAAGAAATGTTCATGCAGTCAAGGGGGTGCAGCTGCCTGGCAAGGAGAACCCGGGAAATTCATTTACCCTTCTTATTATTCAGTTCCTTCACCTGAACTCTCTCAGGCTGGAGCTGAGCTTTGGGTTCATAATATATAATTATTCTCCCCAGTTAAAAATGACTAAACTGAGGTCAGGAGAGGTTAAGTGCTGTGCCCTAGATCACTCAACTAGGAACTAGGGAACAAAGCCTTCTTGTACAGTACTTGTCAGAGCCTCCTTGGAAGCTTGGGAAAAGGGTGTGGGCAGGACTGGGCAGGGAGGAAACAGCTGAGCACCTGCCGGATTCACCATCTGCCCCCATGAAGATACATGGAATCCTATCTCTCATAACGGCCTCCAGCCATGCCCATTTTACAGATGAGAAACTGAGGCTGAGAGGGAGAAAGAACCCGAAGCTCAGCTCCAGCCAGAGAGAGTTCAGGTAAAAGAACAGAATAATAAGAAGGGCAAATGAATTTCCAGAGTTCCTTCATCCCAGAGTAGGATGCTCAGCCTTGCCAGGCAGCTGCACTCAGCTTCCCGCCCTCTCTGAGCAGGGGGGTTGGAATGTGTCTGCGGAGGGCAGCGAGGAAGGAGCCTGCTGGAATTCCTTCCCTGTGGCACATCTGGGAGGGGTATTCCCCCTGGTGATACTTGGGAAATCATGCTGGCCTCGCCAGTCCTTTTTTCCACTGTTCTTTTGGTCTCGGAGCACCCGCCAAACATCTGACACTGTTCAGGATCGATTGCACATAAAATGAAGAATGGGTATTTAAAAAACAGGTTTTTTTGTGTGTTTTTCCCCCTGTTGTCATCTAA
The DNA here is from genome assembly GCF_000001405.40 of Homo sapiens. Lineage (NCBI taxonomy): Eukaryota > Metazoa > Chordata > Mammalia > Primates > Hominidae > Homo > Homo sapiens. The sequence goes on from NW_018654718.1 coordinate 616,132, forward strand.
GAAGCAGGTTTTTAGGTTCTTTGATTCTCTCCCAGAATAACAACCATATGGGGCCTCCACTTACACTGAGCAGCCTGTGCCTTGTGCCAGGGACTGGTTTGTTTCCATTGTCAGCAAACCTTGACTGGCTCCAAACATTTTCACTTCAGGTGGTTTCTGAAAGAGGGAAAGACTGAGGGGAAAGTGATGATGTGGTCCCTCTGAAGAGGGTTTAGCTTTCAAGGGTATGGCAGGGGTGGGGTCGACAGCCAGAGGGGTGTGACTTTGAGAAGCCAACTCACCGGCAGGATCCAGCGAGATCCAGGCTCGGTGGCTGGAACAAAGAATGTTTTGAACCACACGGGGCTCTGGCATGTTTGTTGATCGACTTATCCAAGGCCTGGGCCAGCTGCTCTTGTTCCAGAAGATTTCATGGATTAACTCCCTGGGCTTTGGAAAATTGTGTCTTTTTTAAGAAAGGGAAGTTTTGAAAAGCAAATGCTCCTGGGCAGGCTGGGGGTGTGGGGAGTGTTGGCTGGAGTGGGAGGTCACATTCGCCCCATGGTGGGATGGCCAAGGGCTCCCAGCGAGGGAACAGTTGGACCTGTGGTGTCCTGGGGGGAGGGTTCCTCTGAGGGACCCTAATGGACAGAGGAGTGTGGACCCCTGAGCCTGGGAGCATCGTGGGCATTTAGACCAAACCACGGGAAGGGCTCCCCAATGCTGAAGGTTGCTAGGCGCTGGGGGAGGTTCCCCGGGAGACTGTGGCTAGAAACACCATCTGCCAAAGATGATTTAGTTCCGGAAGAGGCAAGGGATAGAACGAGATGGTCCTTTCTGTCCCAGTTAATCTTGGTGCTGTTCATTCCGGGCTGAGCATTCCCTTCCTGAAGTGGAATGGAAGACAGACTCGGCCTTGGGCAGACTCTGAGCATCTTGTGAAAGGGAGAGTCTTACCTCCTTGGCTTTGTCCCCACCCCCTGCCCAGGGTCGGATGTCTTGGGTGCTTGCCGGCTCTCTGCCCACTGTCCTGCCCTGGCAGCAGGTACCAGCAAGCCTGTGTGCCGTGTGGGTTACAGGGAGTAGCGGGCACATGATTAAATACTCATGCTTTGTCAAAACACTGACAGTTACAAAATGCCTCCGCGTCTACTCAGGGAAGGGTGAGCAATGAGGAAAATGACTTCAATATGCAAAAGACATTCCAAGGAGTCCGGGAGGGAATGCTCATTCTAGAGCCAGGAGGGAGTCATGGGAATTAGTTCTTGATTTATAGACCGGCTGAAAGAAATCACCTAGGTTAAACCTGCCTAAATTCTGCTATCTGTGTATGTGCTTAAGGGGATGGGCTCAATGAACTTTGAGACTGTCTCTTCTCTACTGATGGGAGTGACAGTGAAGTTCCTGATGAAGGAAGGTTTAGGGTGGAGGAATTCTGAGCCCCTGGGTTCTGGATTCAAAATCATACACAGCCCTCTAGATAACATAGATGTACAGTCGTACAGTCTTTGTGGAGAATTTGAAAAACGAGAATGGTGATTATCTACTTAGGACAGGTTTGGGTACAGCCACTCATGGAAGCCAGGAACCAGCTTCTAACCATGGAAGCTTTGTGTTTTCTGTATAAGCTGTCCTTGACTACGGACAAAGAATGGGTACCGAGTGTTCAGTTGGCATCATAATAGGAAACAGAATTCTACACAGATGGTTCAACGGAACAGAGTTTCTTGAGGGGCATATTTATGGAGGGGTAAGGAGACCAGCAAGGGATATTGAGGCACCCAGGGCTAAACTTAGAGGGAAGCTGTCATCACCCTAGGGCCTGAGGAGGAAGGGGAGAAAATACTGTTTGGGGGGCCTGGTGGGAGCTGTAGCTGGGAGGAGGACCATGAGGGAGAAACCATAGTCATGGAAGGATGTTGTCACTGCCAGGACCAAGACACCAAGGTAGGGGGACATGGAAAGAAAACACCCTGCCTTCTCTGTCCTCCCATCTCCACTCTCTTATTGACACTGCTCATTGGCCAAACCAACCTGAAGCTGGAGGGCCAGGGAGCCGGGCACCTCAAGCAGTCCCCATGCACCAAGCTTCCAGGGCACGGGGTCAGGGAACAGAGGGTGGAAGGGGTCTAGGGGAGCCAGCAGGGAGCTGGAGCTCATTTGTAATATTTGTCTTGTTTAGCCAACTCTAGAAGGCTCGTCCTGAGAAGGCGAGCTTCGAAAGCTATTACTGACTCTTAAAGTATTCCATCGTCAAGACTAGTGTGTTTACCTTGCAAACTACCTTGAGCCAGCTGTAATGAAATTCTGAAATGTCTCCCATACACCCTCCTTCTCTGTGAAATGTCAGCTTTTTGAGGGCAGGGCCTGATTCTTTTATGAGCAGTTGTCTTGAATCACTTCAACCCTCCACACCTGGAGTGCCTTACACTTTCCAGAATGCCGTACTCAGTGACCCCTCATGTCAATGTTTTGAGGCTTTTGAATTGGTCAAGGCAACCGTCTTGCTGAGTGGCCTGAGTTCTCCAGTGAGAGAACACGAGTAGTCTCTTTGAGTGGGGGCCACAGCACTCCAGACGTGGTGATGGAACCCTCTACGGTATAGAGAGCCCACGGCCATGCCACCCAGCCAGACAGGAACTCAGGAGGCCAGGATGGAGGAAGCAGGAGTGGAAGGTCATTGGACTCCCTTTCTGGTTTAAGCTTGGCCATGGGATGTCTTAAGTAGGGCTCGTGGTCCTCAAATGTCACCTCCATCCTGATGCCACAATGTCTGTATTGCCACTATTCCAATTCTTCTTTTGGGTGAAGTCTTACTCCACCTGCGGGGAGAGCACATGAAATCATTAGCAAGTGCTGGCACAGACAGCCATTCCCCTCTCTGGCCAGGCTGGAGGGGCTGGATGGTGGTGGGGGGTGTGGGTGAAGTAAGCATGAAAGGGGAGATGAAGGGTGTCTAGACACTCCCTTTGCCGAGGGCTGGTGGCCTGTTGCTTGCTCTCTAGGACAACGTGGATCTGTTTGGGGTAATGGCAGACACTTTTCTTTCGCATCCAGCTGTCTCTTCCTCTTCTGAGTCCCACAGGGTCCTGGGCCCGATAGGCTCTGTCACCTCCAGCCAGTATTGGGTAGCCACCTGCCACTACTCAGGCCGGGTTGGAAGGGCCTGTGAGGGGTGGGGTGTGGGATCCAGTTCATGGCTTCCAGGGCCAATTTGGGTGAAATTCAGTTGTTCTTCGACTCCTGTGTTTCTACTTCCCAGTTTCATTCTAAATGGAAAACATTTCTGTAGGTTTAAGTCCAAGGTGCAGCCCCAGAGCGGGTATTTTCCCTTTTGAGAAGTGGAGGCTACCCTGAGCCTTGGGAAAAGTACTCAGAGAGAATCTCCCCCATGAGGCAGTGTAGCTTAAGGAGTTAGGTATTCTGAGTACCTCCAAAGGCTGTTCGCTCTTTCCATTCCAGCTCAGACTGCCTGAGTTCAAGTCCTGGTGTTGCCACTTACTAGCTGGGTATAAGTTGTTTAACATTTTAGTTCCTCGATACCCTAATCTATAAAATGGGGATGAAAATAGTGTCTATGGTAGGGAATTAGTATGAAGATTAAACAGTTTAAATTGTGTCAAGGCCAGGCATGGTGGCTCACTCTTGTAATGCCAGCATTTAGGGAGGCCGAGGCAGGAGAATTGCTTGAGCCCAGGAGTTTGACACCAGCCTGGGAAACATAGTGAACCCCATCTCTACAAAAAAAAAAATTAGCAGAGCATGGTGGTGCATGCCTGTAGTCCCAGCTACTTGGGAGGCTAAGGCAGGAGGATTGCCTGGGCCCAGGAGTTTGAGGCTGCAGTGAGCTGTGATCACACCACTGTACTCCAGCCTGGGTGAGAGAGTGAGACTGTCTAAAAAAAAATGTTTAAGTGTGTCAAGTGCAGAAAACAGTGCTTAATGCATGCCATGTGCCATGCAAATGTTTGCTCTTATTTATTTCAAGAAGCATACTCTTCTGGGCAGAGCATCCTCCTAGGACTCTGGAGAGATGGAGCATCCGCAAGGCCACCAACGGGACTAGTATCCCCCAGTGTTCCCCAAGCATCTCTTCCATCGAGCTATTGCCTTGCTCACAACCCCTCAGTGAGTTGCTTGTCTGGAGATGCAGGCCAAATCAATCCTGTCTACAATCTGCTGTCTGGCTGTGCCCATTCCTGGCCACAAACCCTCTGCTTCACCAGGAAAATCTGTTTATGGGCCCCATTCTCCTACTTGTTTTCACCTCTGCCTTACCCTGCCTGAAAAGCTCTCCTTCCTCACCTTTCCCTCCAAAGCCTATCCATTCTTCGATTCCAGCTCCAGTTCTGCCCTGAAGGCTTGTCCATGCCTGTGGATCACCATCCTCTGCCTCCTGCCTCCTCCTGCTTCCCCGGCTGGTGTCTGCCTCGTATCATCAGTCACCTCCTCCCAAGCAGCCTATTGCTTTCTCTACTGATGCCTTGAGCCGGAAGCCAGACAGCAGATATTCCAAAACTGAAAACCTGTGGATTTGCCTGTAAATTTGCTATAATTTCTTAAGAACACAAGAAAGGCTGAACTTCCTGGAAGTTATTCCTAGGGCCAGCATCATGGGAGTTTGACGGTTGGCTGTGTAGAGCAGTCACTCCAAGGCAGTTGATTTGCTTTGTTGTTCTTCTCACCCCATCAGTATTATAATGTGGAGCTTCCTCTGCATTGTGCCGTGAGATGACAGCAAAAGGGCTGTGGCCACTGCCTGGGACTTGATCCTTCGCTGAAACAGGGACACTTTCTATGACTAGTGCTACGTTACATTTATCCGTTCTATTGGACACATGTTCGTAGGCCCAGGATCAGAATAAAATAGCTCCACAGCTAGAAGAAATCAGTTTATAGGCAAACAAGACTCTGATGTTGGCCCTTAAAAAGAAACTGCTCATATTACATATTACAGTTTAATTTTGTCCGCGTTAGAAGGTCCCAGTGATATCTTTGCTTCTTGACTGTAGTCTAGTGTTTAAAGGTTATTTGCCCAGGTGACTTTTTTATCTTTTCCAATCTAAATACAGTTGTCCCTTGGTATCCACAGGTGATTGGTTCCAGGACTCCCCAACCCCTTGGATACCAAAATCCTTAGGTACTCAAGTCCCTTGCATAAAATGCATAGTGTTTTCATATAACCTATGCACATCCTCTTGTGTACCTTAAATCATCTCCAGGTTACTTATACTACCTAATACGGTGTAAGTGCTATATAAATAGTTCTTATGATGTACTGTTTTCATTTACTGGTATGATTTTTATTGTCATATTATTTTTATTAAAAATTTTCTTTTCAAATATTTTCTATCTGTGGCTGGTTGAATCACCAAGAATGCAAAGGGCCAACTGTATCAACAGCTCAAAGTGGAGAGCCCAGGGCCCAGGCACGGATCATTAGGGGAAGTACAGGGCTGGCAGAGAAGAAACTGGACTCCCAGAGCCGGCTCTTTCTGTGGGCTGGGAGCTCCTCCAGGCTGCTGGGTTAGGACCAGCAGGACGGCCAGAACCATGGAGACATGCTGCTGGTTTTGGAGATGGGGAGAGGCATGTGACCTTTTCTGGGAATCAAATCAGAGTGAAACCAGAAGAAGAATCTAGACTTCTTGGGGTAACTTGGCAAACAAAGCTCAGATAGACGGAGGGGTGTTCAAGGAACTTTGCACGATTTCCTATGGGCTAAGAGAAGACGCTTGCAAATCTGAAAGGGCAACATAGGGAAAGTTCCTACAGGGAAGGGAGACGGTCAACCCCCTCTCCCTGACCCCGGGCTTGGTTAGGGGGCAGAGAACGGGAGGGGGTCAAGGAGGCTGTCTGTTTCCCTCAGTGCAAATGCCTGGACAGCACGTGTGTGCAGGCTGTGCCCCTGACCTGATGAGCACCTGATGGGTGGCTGTTGACCGACTGTCCATGCAAGGGGTGTGGGCTGTGCTTGGCAGCCTCCAGCAGGCAGGGCTTGTTCACCTGCGTCCTGTCCAGCACGCGGCAGGAGCTATCCTGGCCTCAGTGTTAAAAGGTGGCCCTGGGTCGAAGGAGTGGCATAAGGTCCCACTTGGGTGCTTGATAATGATCTAGAGCCTCGTGCCCTTATCTTCACGGCCTCCTCGTTTATGGCAGCAAGTCCTCGTCCTGTGGGCCCCATTTCTAAGCTGGACGTCCAGCAGTTCCCTCAGAAAGTGCTGTGGGGCCCAGGCGTCCTCTCAGAGGATATGAGCACTCCCGAGTCGTTCTCACTGCGTGTGTTCATTTCACTCACTGCCTGCTTCCTTCGTTCAGCTCCAAGTACCTGCTGATGTTTCTGAGCTAGGAGGGCTTCCTTCAGGTAATAGGGGAAGCATGATCTGGAAAAGGGAAGGTTTCCTTTTGCCCCATGGAGAGACGTCCTGAGACACTTCATCAACCAGGAAGGCTCCCAGGCAGCCACTGGGTTGCAGTGAAAGTTTTCAGCCGCTGGTGACTGCTCTGGTGAGACTTGTGAGAGAGAACAGTGACGGTGAGCACAGCAGCCCCTCAGAAAGCAAACCAGGGAGTGGCTTCCCGACGTGCACGGTTTCTAATTCACACGGTCCCTGCATAAGCTAGGCATTCCTGTATCCTGTTTTCACATGAGGAAACTGAGGCCCCTGGAACTCACGTAGTTTGCCCAAGGCCATCTAACTAGGAGGCCGTAATTAGTGAAGCTGGGATTTACACCTAGGGCTGTCTGATTCCGAAGCTGGGCTCTTTCCACGGTATGGTCTGAGGGTGCAGTCTAGAGCGGGGACTGATGGGGTTTGTCTGAAGGAACATGAGATGGTGGAGTTCCAGGCTGGCTGGTGTGGGGCCCCGGCTGGGATGAGACAGTGTCTTCAAGTGTCAGGGATGGACGAATGTCCCTGTCAGGAGATGTTGGTCCCTGGCAGCCAGGCATGGTGGCAGCACTCCCAGCCTGGCCTGCCCTGCACAAACCTTCAGGCACACAGGCCTCTTGACAGAGTGATGATTGGGATTCCATGCCTGCACCAGTGGTGGGAGAGATGCAGGTGAAACAAGGCGGAAAGGACCGTAATTACCTCCTAACAGGTTTCCACATTTCTCTGCTGTCAGAATGGTTTTGTTTTCTGATTTATTTTGATCTGCTTGAAAATTAGTTGTGGCAGTGTGTTTGGTGTGTAATCATTGTCCTGCTAGCTAGCAGTCATCATCAGCAATGTTAGCCCGGCAAACGTGATCTTTCTTTCCTTTGCCCAATACATGTCAGGCTCTGTGTGGCAAGGGCGAGGGAGAGGCATGACTATGTGTCTCTGCCTGTCTGTGGACCCCGACTCCTCACCATCACCCAACAGGGGACAGTCCTGCTGGCTGTGTCTTCCCGGAAGGCTCGTGCCCGCACAGATTGTCTGGTGAGCCCGCCAGCTGTACCGCATCGCTCTGTGCATGTGACCTAGCTCTCTCCTGGCCCCCTGTTCCATCCCACATGCAGCCTCCGTCCACTGTCCCCCAGCTCGCAACCCCCACGCAGCCCCACCCTTGACCTGCCACCTCCATCTGCACCTGCTTGTGGAGCCTGTGTCATGGAAGAGAGGTGGCCTGACCACTCTAAGCCCACAGCACCACTGGATCTTTCCCCTCTCTCTGTGAGAAGACGGCCAGTCTCAGATTGGATTTGACCTTTTCGCTTGTGGTCGGGCCAGGTTGAGCAGGAAACCATCGTTAGGGCACGGAAGCATAGGTGGGAGAAGACAGCCAGCACTGTAGAGTGGGGAGGGCTCAGTGCTTCCACGGGTGGATGTTCAGCAGCAGGCCCCCTCTGTTCTTTGGTGAAGCTTGTCTGCAGCGAGCCCTCAAAAAACATGGGTTTTGAGCCAGACGGAAAGTCATCAAGCCCAGTTACAGTCATCCCTTGGTGTCTGTGGGGAGACTGATTCCTGGACCCCTCTCAGATACAAAACCCAAGGATGCCCATGTCCTTTTATGTATGTAGATTATATGCACATACTACACCATTTTATGTATTTTACATATGGTATATTTTATTTTTTAATTTGTATAATTTTTTAATGATTTTTTTTTCCTAATATTTTTTACCCAAAGCTGGTTGGATCCGCGGGTACAGAGGGCCAACTGTATTTCATTATTCAGAGCAGAAAACTGAGACCTAACACATAGGCAAGGATATGCTTAAGAACTACTGTTGGTTGGCTCCAGGTCTGGGATATGAACCCGAATCTCTGTTGCAGTCTGTCCAAAAGTGGGCTGAGCTGGTTTCAGGATTGGAGCAGACAGCTGTCCATGTGCTGGAATTTGAGGGATCTGCCATTTCCTCCCTAGAATTTCTACCTTTAGCATTACCTTTGAAGTAAGTCAGGGATTACCAAACATCTTATTACCAAAGAACTCTTTCTTCCCACATGACCCAACACAGAACAGAAAAGAGCAGAGATGCTTTTGTTCAAGTGCATGGGAAAGAATGGATGATTCAGAGCTGACCTGTTCAGCTTCTCCTGATTCTCCAGCGAGGTCCCTTATGCTTCTTGCTAGAACCTTTAGAGCTCCATGGAGTATAGTGAGAAATGTTTATGGCCTCTATTACCAGGGCAGATGAATAGGTGCAGACGTTAACAGCTTCTACACCTTAATTAGCATGGGTGTGTTTAGCAGAGTAATTGAGATCAGAGACTAGGTTGATAAAAGAATAGGGTTCCCAACAGGATAGTTTTTGATTAAGGAAATATTTGGAGCACTATGGAAATGCTTGAAACATAGGAAGGGCAAGTTCAGCTGGAGTGCATTGGGATGACGGAGGGTGGGGTAGCGGGGTAGGGTGAGAATCAGGGCAGCCTGGAAGCTGGGGCCTGAATCACTGGGGCAGGGACCAGGGAGACCAGAGAGACCAGAGAAGGTCTCAGACATAAACTCTAGCTACTCCATAAAACTACCTGGAGCATGAAAATCCCAGCGCCTCTGCCACGGCCTAGACTGCTCATCACAGGGGTTGCAAAGTCACAAAAAAGATGATGGCATTGAGCTTTCCTATCAGGAACTATGTCCTCAACTAATATTAATAGCTGACATTTGCATAGCACTTCACAGTTAATATAACACTCTCATATGTTAGGTGCTTCTCTTAATACCCCTTGAGGTAGCTATTGTTATTGTTATTATTATCCTTCTTTTAAAGGTGTGGAAACACAGGGTCAGGGGCCCCGTGAGCCATTACTTGGAAACACTGTCATTAACAATTACTTCTTATAGTTGTTTCTAGCAACTCATGTCCTGGAAATGTCTGGTTTAATTCATCTCTCTCTCCTTCTAGTAGACAGACAGACAGACAGACAGACAGACAGACACACACACACACACACACACACACACACACACACACACACACACACACACACACACACACACACTGAGGGCTGATAGGGAAGAGGACTTCTCTTCTTGATTCTCCATAGCTGTTTCCCAACTGTTGCTCTCTAACAAAAAAACCCCTTCAGAACCCTCAGCCCTGCTCAGAAATCTAAGGAGGCTTCAGGCAGCAACAGTGGGGTCCACCCCACCCTGAAGGGCTGCTGCAAAGATCTCCAGGAGGAGGCCCCCAACACCATTCCTCTTGAAGGTCCCAGTTCAGTGCGGCTTGAGTCCTTCACCTCTGAGTCTCAGCCAGGCAACATCCGAAGGAGCTGAGGAAGCCTTCTCTCTCCTGCCTTCTCTACCTCACAGGAGATGGCTCCTGTCCTCCCCATCTCCCTCCCACCATAACCGCTCACCAAAAATTGACTTGTTTTCTCTGATGCTGCTTTATTGCATGTTAATACTTCATTACTGGACCTGATTCTGTTACACTCGCACAGAGCAAGCAGAGCAGAGGGTCCTGAGCATGCGGCATTAGATGGAGAAACTGCCTCCAGTCTCACTCATCGTGCTGAGATGGGTTGCATGGCACACCACTCTTAGCACAGACTGAGGCTGGCCAGGCCACCCATGCTGGGTGCTGACAGGCCTCAAGCCTGCAGTGAGGGCCAATCTCAGTCCTCATGATCTGCACTGGGGACAGAAGCCATCTGATTTTAAATTCCATAGGAATAAACCAATGGGTGGAGTCACCAAATATCCAGATGTTTTCTCCCAGCTTTCATATCTGCCATTTATTTTTAAAGATGTTTTAATGGACTAGGTACAATTTTCATACATAAGATTCACCCACTCAGTCTATTGTTCTATGAATTTTTAAAAACAGCTTATCTGAGGTATAATTGGCATATAACAAACTGCACATATTTCAACTGTATACTTTGGAAAGTTTCAACATTGACCATCAGTGCAATCAAGAGGGTGAGCATATCCATCACTCCCAAAAGTTTCCTTTTGCCCCTTTGTAATCCCAGTAGCTCAGCCCTCCTCCCCACCCCTGCTATCTCTTTTCTGTCATCATAGATTAGTTTATATTTTCTATTGTTTTATATCAATGAAGTCATACAGCATGGACTCTCTTGACTGCCTTCCTTCATTCAGCATAATTATTTTGAGGTTTACACATGTCTCTGGATGTACTGATAGCTTATTCCTTTTTATTGCTTAGTTGTGTTCCATTGTATGGATATAGCACAGTTTATCCATCCATGTTGAGCTGTTTCCAGTTTTGAGCTATTTAAATAAAGCAGCTATGAACATTTGTGTATAAGGCTTCGTACGGATGTATGCTTTCCTTTTCTCTTGGGTAGATACCTGGGAGTGGAATGGTTACATCATGTGGTAGTGTACGTTTAGTGTTTTAAGAAGTTGCCAAACTCTTTTCCAAAGTGGTTGTGCCATTTTGTGCTGCCATCAGCAGTGTATGAGAGTTTTGGTTCTTCTACATCCTCACCAACACCTGGTGTGGTCAGTATTTTTAATTTTAATTTTAGTCATTATAATGTGTATGCAGTGGTATCTCATTGTGTTTTAAATTTGCATTTTCCTGAAGACTAACAATATTGAACATCTTTCCTGTGGTTATTGGCCACTCGTATATTTTTTGGTGAAGTATCTGTTCATATATTTTGCATACATTATATTTGGGTCATTTTCATATTATTGCATTATGAGGTTTCTTTATATATTCTGGCTGGCTATAAGTTTTTTTTAAAATCAGATATGTGCTTTGCAAATATTTTATCTCAGTCTGTGTCATCTTTTCTCTCTCATCTTTGTTGGAAGTCATTTTCCATATATGTGTTGGTCTATTTCTAGACCATCTGTTCAGTTCCATTGATCCATTTGTCTATTTTTACACCAATACCACACTGCTTTGATTACTATAGCTTTATAATAATAAGGCTTAAAATCAGATAGTGCTAGTTACCCCTTCATCTTTGTGATTTTTCATAGTTGTTTGGTTATTCTAGACCTTCTGCATTTCCATATGAATTTTAAAATCAGTTTGCCTATTTCTACAAAGAAAAGTGTTTGCTTCATGTATTTATTTGAAAGCTCTGTTAATAGGTGCATGAACATTTAGGATTGTTATGCACCCTTGAAGACTTGACCTCTTTGCTGTTTTGAAAAGCCCTTTCTAATCCCTAGTGATAGCCTTTGCGCTGAAATTTATTTTGCCTGATATTAATATAGACAGTCCAGTGTCCTTTTGACTGTGTTAGTATCGTATAGTTGGTCCTTTGTATTCTCAGGTTCTGCACATGCAAATTGAAAATATTGGAAAATAAAAATAAAAAATATAACAAAAATAATGCAAATGAAAAATACAGTATCAACTATTTACATAGCATTTATATTGTATTGGTTTTTATAAGTAATCTAGAGATGATTTAAAGCATATGGAGGGATGTGGATAGGTTATATGCAAATATCATACCATTTTATATAAGGGACATGAGCATCTGAGGATTTGGGTATCTGTGGGGCAGGAGGAGGTGTGTCCTAGAATCAATCCCCTACAGTTACTGAGGGACAGCTGCATATCTTTTTCTGTTCCTTTACTCTTAACCTATTTGTGTCTTTATATTTACAGTGGATTTCTCATAAGCAGCAGATAGATGGGTCTTGCTCTTTTATTCAGCCTGACTTAATTGGCATATTCAACCAATTTGCTGTTGATGCCTTGCTGTGCTTCGGTTTAACCTCTTGATACTTTGCTGTGCTTCGGTTTAACCTCTTGATACTTTGCTGTGCTTCGGTTTAACCTCTTGAGACCTTGCTGTGCTTCGGTTTAACCTCTTGAGACCTTGCTGTGCTTCGGTTTAACCTCTTGATACCTTGCTGTGCTTCGGTTTAACCTCTTGATACCTTGCTGTGCTTCGGTTTGACCTCTTGATACCTTGCTGTGCTTCGGTTTGACCTCTTGATACCTTGCTGTGCTTCGGTTTGACCTCTTGATACCTTGCTGTGCTTCGGTTTGACCTCTTGATACCTTGCTGTGCTTCGGTTTAACCTCTTGATACCTTGCTGTGCTTCGGTTTAACCTCTTGATACCTTGCTGTGCTTCGGTTTAACCTCTTGATACTTTGCTGTGCTTCGGTTTAACCTCTTGAGACCTTGCTGTGCTTCGGTTTAACCTCTTGATACCTTGCTGTGCTTCGGTTTAACCTCTTGATACCTTGCTGTGCTTCGGTTTAACCTCTTGATACCTTGCTGTGCTTCGGTTTAACCTCTTGATACCTTGCTGTGCTTCGGTTTAACCTCTTGATACCTTGCTGTGCTTCGGTTTAACCTCTTGATACCTTGCTGTGCTTCGGTTTAACCTCTTGATACCTTGCTGTGCTTCGGTTTAACCTCTTGTTGTTTTCTGTTAGTCCCATGTAGCTTTGTTCCCTTTTCCCTCTTTTTCTGCCTCCTTTTGGATTAACTGAGTATTTTTAAGGATTCAGTTTCATCTCTTCTGTTGACTTATTAGCTAAAATCCATTGTTTTGTTATTTTAACAGTTGCTGTAGGGCTCATAGTATACATCCTTTTTTTATTATACTTTAAGTTTTAGGGTACATGTGCACAACGTGCAGGTTAGTTACATATGTATACATGTGCCATGTTGGTGTGCTGCACCCAGTAACTCGTCATTTAACATGAGGTATATCTCCAAATGCTCTCCCTCCCCCCGCCCCCACCCCACAACAGGCCTTAATCATCGCAGTTTGTCTTCAGTTGTTACTAAACCCCTTCACATATAGTACGGGAACTTCACAATAGCACACTTAGATCACTCCCTTCCTGGCCTTTATGCCGTTGCTGCCATACATGCTAATTGTGCATTTGTTCTAAACCTCACAATACATTGTTACTATTTTTGTTTAGGCAGTCAATGATCTTTTCAATGAAAATCATATATACTTAACCATGTCAGTACCATTTCTGGTACCCTTGATTCCTTTATGTAGATCCACACTTCTATCTCATATTATTTTCCTTCTGCCTAAAGGACTTCCTTTAACATGTCTTGCAGTGCAAGTCTGCTAGGATTAAAATCTTTTAGCTTTTCTATGTCTGAAGAGAAGTCTTTATTTTTCACTTTTATTTCCGAAGGATATTTTTACTTAGTATAGAATTCTCAGGTGATAGTTTTTCCTTCCATGACTGTAAAGCTATGATTCCACTGTCTTCTTGCTTGTGTTGTTTCTAATAAGAAACCTGCTGTCCCTCTTGTCTGTTCCACTGTACCTAAATGTGTCTTTATGCCCTGGCTACTTCTAACATTTTCTCTTGATCACTGCTTTGAGGAATTTGATTATGATGTGCCTTGGTATAATTCTTTTTTCATGTTTCTAGTGCTTGGCATTCCTTGAGCTTCTGGAACCTGTGGGTTTATATTTTTAAAATTAAAATTGATAAATTTCTGGCTATTATTTATAATTTTTTTTTTGCTTCTCCCCCCATTCCTGTGAGAACTCTAATTACACATGTATTAGGCTGCTTGACATTGTCGAACAGATCACTGGCACTTTCATTTTATTTAATTCTTTTTTTTCTATGTCCTTCATTTTGGATAGTTCCTATACTATGTGTTTATGAATCTTCTCTTTTTTTGCCATACATAATTTGCCTGCCTTCTTCCCTCCCTCATTCCTTATCTTCCTTCCTTTAGAAGAACCTAGGGGGATTTACCTAATTTTATAATGATTATTATTTCAGAACCAATCCAGAGCTTCTGTTCCCAAAGCCAAACTACCGATTGGAGATTCTGGAGGGAGGGAACACAGGGGGTGACATTCCTGGAATTTGGGGGACTTCGCAGGACTTGACATTTTAGAGGCTGGATTAGGGTACATCCAATTTCTCCTGCTTCCTCCCTCTTCTTCTTTCCTATCCCCAAAGTAAGGAGAGTCCTGTGAGCCCAAAGGCACTAGACAGCCCTAGCACACTCTTGGCAGACAGGGCTGAACGCCCGGATTTCCCTCTCAATAGGGAAGACTTAGGGAGCCTCTCACAGGAGTGAGACAGGAACAGCAGCTTTATGGAAACTGAGTTCCAAGTCAACACCCGGAAGAAAACTCAGGCTCCCCTGTAGGCCTGGAAAGCTTTGTCTGAGACAATGACCTTAGGAGGAGGTCACCAAAACCACTCCTTCCCTCACAGCTCATGGGATCAGAGTCAGCTGTGCCTGCTGAATGAGTGGTCAGGTACAGCGCACCCGCCTCCTGCCAGAGAAAAGGAGACCTGCAGTCTGGCTGCGGCAGGTCTCAGCAGAATCTTTAGCTTTCTTCAGGCTTGATCAGCCACCTCAAGACCTGTGCTCATTTAAAGAACAGAGAGTACATGTAAGTTAGGAATGTTCTCGACTTCAAGTAACAGGATACTTAAGGACTCTGAATTGGTTCAGCAGCTCAAGATGCCACTGAGAACCAAGGCTCTTTCTCTCTTTCCACTTCCTTATACTAAGTCTGTTGGCTTTTCATATTCAAGCTGATTTCCTTATGGTTGCAAGATGGTTGTCAATGGGGCTCCAGGCATCACACCCCCATTCAAGGCAGGTGGAACCAGGAAGGAGTGGAGCCAATAACACTCTGGCCCTTTTTTTTTTTTTTACATAAAACAGAGGCTTTCCCAGAAGTCCCTAGCATAGTACTTCTTGAATTTAATCTACACAAGGATCCCCTGGGAATCTTGTTAAAATATAGGTTTGGATGTAGTAGATCTTGGGTAGAGCCTGAAATTCCACATTTTGATCAAGCTGCCAGAGTGTGTCAGTGTGGCTGGAAACTGCATTTTGAGTAGCAAGGTGCAAGGCTACTTCTCCTTACTCTTAGTGACACAATCCAATTAACTAGCTACAACTGGCTGCAAGGGAGGCTGACAAAGTATCTTACCTTTTTCAGGGGAGACTTTGGGTAGCAAACCAATATCAGTCACAGAATTCTACTGAAAATGCAGGGTATGGAAGCATCTGAAGTCACAAGGTTGGGCTGGACAAATTAGAGCCTTCACCTCCATGAGGGAAGACCATGGACCCCTTACTCTATATCCACACTCAGCCTGCAGGGACAGGGCATTATTGCCACGAGCCAGTCTGTCCTGTATACTCACTGGATTAGGGATTCCACTTTCAGAATTTTATCACCTTAGCACCCAGCACAGTGCCCGGTACACAGCAGGTACCCAATACGTGTCTATTACACTGAAATGTTTATTGGCACATGGTCTAAAGACAGTGCCAGGGAATCCTGTGAAAATGCAGTGCTGATTCGGGAGATCCAGGATGGGGATCCAAGATGATGCATTTGGAACAAGCTCCCAGAGGATGCTGCCGTCTGGTCCGAATCCTGGGCCCCACTTTCAATAGAAAGGGCCTAGGACATGCAGAGTAAAGTCCTTCCTCCTGAGTTAGCAGCAGCTACTTGTGCTTCATTCATGCAGGCATGAAGCTGCTTGCAAGGATGTTAGCAGATATTAGATATGGCTGGTGGGGAGGAGTAAGGAGGGCCTTGGCTATGCCTTTTTCCAAGATCCGGGAGCTGGATGCTCAGAGATCTCATCCCTGGCTTCCTTGTCCACTGAAAACAAAACAGCAGTATACCCGGGTGAGGAGAGAGACCAGCCAAGCACGTCTTTCAACAACTCTTAACTTGCTTGGCTCCAGCCACGAAACAGGAACCCGCCATCCCCCTAGCTCGTCCCTGGCCCTCAGGAAGTGCTGAGGCTCTGCCGGGCTGCATGAGTGAGGGGCCGATGTCTTTCAGATGTTGGGGCTTCAGCGGGGGAGTGGGGTAAGCTGGGGAGAGGGAGCATTTTTTTGTGAATATTTTACCCACGGAAAAAGCTGAATTCTCTAGAACAGACCTCTAGATTTTTTTTTTTTTTTTTGGTAGTGGGAAGTGAGTTACTGGAATTTCTTCTGAATTCGAAGCCAAACAAAGTTTCTTGCGGTTTTAGTTACACAAGCGGCTGCTGCCAAGATGGAATGAATGAGAAGAGCCACTGAAAGGAAGAGACAGTGAGGGGCTGGGGGAGGAGGGTGCAGAACAGGACCCAGGCGCAGCACAGAACAGCCCTCCAGGCGGGCATACTGCCCGCTTCTATGCTGTCAACTCTTTAGGGAGAGAGCTCACTGTTCTGTCTGCCTCCCAGGATCAGAATTAAAAAGAAAAAAGGTCTGTGAAAGTGAGGCATACACTGGCAGACACGCACACATGTAAATGATTATCATTGCTTTGTAATTTACCATAATTCCGGCCTGTGCACTCTATGGGGTCCTGCTTTGTTCAGTTTCCTGACTGAGTGGCAGTTGGACGAGACACTTCTGCCCCTAAGCTGCAGGCAGGCGGCTCTCATTTCAGCCTTGTTCCAGTGTGAGTCTGCAGGGAAGGGATGCCCGCTGCTCCAAGGGGAAGCAAGGATAATTAACTTCTACCAGTGATCCCCAAACTTCATTTTCCTTAGAGCCTGAAGCCTCCTCCTTGTTACCTTCCTGGTAGCCACAGAATGGGCCAGGGCCATGTGTCTCCTTTCATTTCTCCAGCCTGCCCTCTGGTGGGCGATGCCCTTCAGTGAGCGGGGCCTGGGGTAGGGCCGTTCTGCAGATCCTGGGTTGGCTTCCAGTGGTGCCTGGCATCTCTCCTGCTCTCTGGGAGGAGGGACGGGCCGCTAAGTGCTGACGGCAGCCTGTCACTCACACCTTGCTCCCTCTGTAGAAACACTCTGTTTCTCTCCATTCCATCCCTGCGTGTTACCTAGCAGGAATTTCCTCTTCCTTGGGTCAAGCGGGTGGGAAGGGCTCATGATTGCTGACTGAACTCAACCCTTTACACTGGGCATTCAATGTCATCACATTGATAACTTGAAATGGGCAGTAGTGGGAACATTTACACCACAAAAACTGGCATATGCTACACCCAGAGCTTTCCTTCCCCCTCTCCTAAAAGCCAGTTGCTAAAACATTTAACAACATACCACTGGCTGGAACCACTTGTGAAGGTGACGTAGGGCTGCAGGGAGAGCCCAGGTAGTGGAGGAAATGGCAGCCTTCCTTCCTTGCCCATAGCCTGTGCCGGCTACAACTCAGGAGCTTTTGGAACTTAGGAGCTCTGTTCTTAAACTCTCCTTAAACACCTCCTCATCCCAGACGGGTTGACTTTCAATGAGAGGACTCTGCTGTGCCGCAGAGCTGGAATCACTCAAAGCAGAGTGATGGACGAGACTTACTTTCGACGTTCCTAGGCTCCCTTCCACCGTTCCCTGGTCTCCAAACCCCATGTTCTTATCTGACGGTATTTCTACTCTTTTTCTCAACCTGTTGCTAACGTGCTCATTCGAGAGAGGCTGGTGCGCACCTACCCAGCGGCTTTTTGGGCGGCAGTGGAAGGGAGTGTTTTATTAGGAATTTACGTTATATGTGCAAGGAATACCACATGGATGGTAAAGTTCAGCCGTTTTCCACTGAAGATAGGGATTCTTCAAACTGCACAGCTTTTCAGGCCATTTCGTTTAGGCGAGCCCTCATGTTATAGTCAGGGAGTTTGAGGCCCAGGGACATTTCCCAGGGGATGAACTCTAACTAAAAATGAAGGTCTCCTAGTCCTGTCGCCTGTTTTCTTCACTCAGCTGTTTAAAGGGATGTTGCCTCGTGTGAATTATGGATGACTGCCAGAGTTATTAGAATGAACAGAGTTACCAAGAGCTAAATACTCGTCATTTATACCTGGCCGGTTCTGTTTTCAGTTGTCCTTTTTCTTTGCAAAGAGCTTTGAAACAAGACTGGCCTGCTTGACCTTCCATTTAGAGTTAATGTCAAAGCTTGCTGAGGCCTGGGAAACAGGTTTGGTTGTTTGCATTAAAAGGGAGTAGGAAGCAAGAACCTTAATTATCCTAGGCTCTGGCCTATTTAATAAGGAATTTGAGAAGATGTCTTAGTGGCTAGTATTCCTAGAACATAATACTTGAAAGTGGAGCGAGCGGGTGAAAATATGCCTTAGGCAGGAAGCCAGATAGGAAGGGCCAGTGTCTACAGGCTCTGCACAGTAAGGACCCTGTGGGAAGATGTCACAGGTAACAGGGCCTGATGGCCCAGCACCCAGCTGCTTTGCAGTAGTTCTGGCTTCGGGGCTTCTCTGGGTGGCTGAAGAACAGGTCTGTGAGGTTCATTCGGGGGCTCTTGTTGATCAAGTGTGGATGGTGTGCCGGACACAGGGCTGGGGCTGCAGAGTGGAGGAGGCGCAGTCCCTCCCCCGAGAGCACTGTGGCCAGTGGAAGGAGACAAACAAGAAACAATGACAGGACCCAGGCTCAGGCTGTCATGAGCAGCCCTCCTCTGGAGAGTGGGAAATGTGCGTTGGGAACTCATGCTTACAACTTTTATGTTTTTTCTTACTGAGCAATGCTCATAACAGGAGAAAGGATTTCTTCACTGTCCCAAAAGAATGTGCCTCAGGACTGAAATTGGTAGTGGCCCTCCCTTACTCATGTGCCCCAAGCACATTGGAACGCCAGAGGAATTTTAAGCAGATTTTTATTCTTGTTTTCTGGAGGCAAAATCTAAAGTGAAGGGTGTGTGTGGAGAGGTCATGCAAGAAATTTGGAAGCTGTGTGCCTTGTCTGGCTGACTGTCCCAATTACCCCGGGCCCAGAGGTGGGAGGTCCCACAGGGGCCTGCCCCCAGTTGACAGAGGGCTCTTTACCGTTAGGACCCCTTCTGGGTTTCTCAAATTATGGCTTTTCCTCCTTCATGGTCTCCTGGTACTTTTAACCCCTTCTCTCCATTTTTCCCAAGGAATATTCTAGAGGAAGGGTTTCTGGGAATGACCTTCCCAAGGGGAGGGATCGGGCAAGTATTGAGTCATTCCTGCTCGTCTGGATTGTGATTGCGACCCGTGCCTCATGGAGTGTCGCTGGATACGCGATCAGTGTCCCTTGAGGCAGTGCTGCACATGGTGCAGTTCCAGAGAAATGAGGGAATGAGAATGAACGTGGCTGCTCGTGTGTTCCGTGGCTGTTTAGGAAGGTTGGGTCAGTGGAGATCAGGGCCCGAAGAGCAGTTTCAGCCTGCGTGGTCTTGATGTGGTCTTGGCTGATGAGAAGCTCCCTCCAATTCTGTGATTCTGGGTAAAGCAGACCATGTGCCATCGGGAGTGCTCCTGTGATTCTTTAAGTTAGTAATTCTCATCCCTGGCCACACATAAGAATCATCTGGGATCATTTAACAAAAAACAATGCCAGGATCCTACAGTCTACTCCACGCCCTTCATTTTCAAACTTGAGTGGGCACCAGAATCACCTGGAGGATTTGTGTAAACACAGATTCCTGGGCTCCAGCTTCCGAGTTTCAGTGGCTCCAGGATGGAGCTTGAGAATTTGCATTTCTAACAAGCTCCCAGGTGACTCGCTGCTGCTGGCCTGGGACCACACTTTGGAAATCACGATTATGAACAGGAATCAGAATTTCTGAAGATGTGGCCTGGGCATCTGAATTTTTTCACATTCTCCAGGTGATTTTAACATATAGCTCTGGCTGAAAACGATTTCTGATCATTGATTTTTTTTTTTTTTTGCATCATCCAATAACTATTCATTGGTCAGACTGTGTGCTAGGCACTGAGTTAGAGTTGAAGACCCTCAAGAATTCCACTGACAACTGAATCATCAAAGGGAACCGAGCCCTGCCCAAGGACATACAGTTGTTTTCCTCTTCCTTGTCCTTTGGAGAAGCACAGCTGAAGCTTCCTGCCCACACCCCAGCCCCTCCTCCTTGAGCATGAATGTGCAGTAAGTATGAGAGCCTGTCATTTACCCTCCCTGGCCTCCCTCTCCAGCCAGCTTCTCTCTGAGGAGTGAGGATTTCTTGCTAAGTACATGATGATGGCCTGTTTACTTTGCTCTGGAGTTTGAGGCTCTTGCGCAGATTCTGCCTTCCTGGACAGTTCAGGAACCAATCAACCAGCTGGCCTTGGCAACCTAGAAAGCATGGTCAGTTGCCCTGAAATAGGTTGATTGCACCCCAGAAGTGCTTTTCCGCCTCTCCCCATCAAAGGTGTTTGCAACCCCATTTTCCCTCTGAGTCAGCTTGTCCATTAATGGGTTTGTGTTCCTTGATGGGGTCTGTTTTTCCAGGGTCTTGAGGAGTGGCCCTTTCCACCCAGTTTGGCTGCGGGGCTGAGAAGGTGCCCTTGCATTTTGTATTGTGTGTCCGTGGTGGGTCTGTGCCTCCCTTCTGTCTGTTTTCCCTCAGGACCACCCACCGCCCCATGCTTGTATCTACAACAGCTATGAGGAAGAACATACAGATTAATCACCCTGCTGCGGGATGCCAGCTACCCAGTGGCTCTGGCAGCCCCAGTCAATGGATCCTGCAGTGTAGCCTTCATCAGTAGAGCTGCCACTGCCAGCACCCAAAAGGTAGCACTAATATGCATGTGTGACCTGAAAATTACAATGTAAATGGTGGGGCAACACATGTATAGGAAGGTAAATTTTAATTAAAAGTCTGTTCTCCAACTCAGCCTGCCTTTAAAGATACAGAAATGCCAAGCTGTCAGGCTGCCGGTCGGGTTAAGAGGGTTCTCTCGTGCACTGTGGACCAAGCTGGGAGAACTAGGGCTTCATTGAAATCGGATGCCTTTGACTAATTATGCACCAAATGCATCCCATATGGGGAAGATATGCCCTCAGGTGGTTAGCAGAGCCAGCAGGAGCCAAGCTTCCTGAAAAATGCTGGGTCTTCTCTCCTGCAGTGTCAGGGGGTGCAGACAGTACAGAGGGAGGGTATGAGAGTCGAGGCACATGCCAAAAAGGAGCAGGTGGGAAAAAAGAGCCCATGGCCCAGCAGCAAATTGTGTGTCTTTGAGTGGATGTGGCTTTTGAGGCACTATGCCCAATAGTCATCCTGAATTTCCTTCACTGCCTGGGGAGGGGGTGGATGGAGGAGGGAAACTAGCCACCTCCAGAGGCAACCCTGCTGGACAAAACTCACTTTTAGAACCATCAGAAGCCCATTTTCCTGTGGAAATCTACGGGGAAGAGATAGAGAAGAGCTGCAGAGTCTATTAAATGTGTGCTTGCTGCCTGGTCTCCGGTATAGTCAGGAAATCAGATTTGTACAGTGGAAATTCATTCATGCCACAAATATTTATTGAGTGCCTACACTGTGCTGGTGGTACTAGGGACTGGGGATACAGCGGTGGGTGAGATAAAGGCACGACGCCCTCACCGAGACTTGTGTGCCACTGGAGAACATGGATTAAACCAGGCGTTACGTGATCAGTGTATCAGTGCCATATGGGCAATGATCCAAGCTGCCGATGGGTACACACCGGGGACACCTAGTTCTTAAGTGACTTTTTAGGATCCCAAGTGGTCAGAACAGCTTCCCTATTTTGCCATTTACATGTTCACATTCACTTAGCTCAAGTTACCCTTCTGATAAGAGGAAATTCGCGTCAAGTCACATAGAATCACTGAATATTTGCACTTGGAGGATCACCTGGCCTAATTCTTCTGCTTTACACATGCAGATGCTGAAGGAGAGAAGTTAAAGAACCTGTCCAAAATCGCACAGCTAGTTAGTAATAAAGCTTGGGTGGAATTCTGCTTTTCTGACTCCCAGATTAGTATTTCTTTGACTTTACCTCCCCTTTGGAAAAATGAAGCGATTCAGGGGAAGTTCCTGGGCATTTATGGCCAAACTGCCCTCGCTCTGAAGATTCAATGTTTTAATTGGCCCGGCAGAGCTGGAGTCCACAGGTGGTAAGCATGGACAGGTGGAGAGCCAGCATCAGAGAGAGCCTCCTGGCCAGCGCCTGCCTTGCTTCACAGATGTCAAGGCAATTGGGGATTGGGGGCAGGGTATGATAAAGGGCATCAGGAAAGTGGCAGTGCTGGGGCACTGTCCTCTGGGCCTCCCTGGGCTCAGCTGGGCAGGGGCGTGTTTTCAGAGACAATGGTGTTGACTCCCTCTGGGCAGCCCTGCAGGGTGGCAGTCCCACAACAGAAATCTTGGAGCAGATATGTTGGAGGATATGTATAAGAATGAGGGATTAGTGCTGGTTGGGGGCAGAAAAAATGCCCTCTTGGGGAGAAAGAAATGATCTGTGACAAAGGACTTCCTTTCCTAACCAGGCAGACTCTGGAAGATGACCACGAGGCTGGGTGGGAAGGTGGCAGTGGAAACGTGATTAATTGTACTGTCCATGGACAGTGAGCCGAGGAGCTTGTACCTGGCTTTATTAGAGACATACACTCGGGGCTGCTCTACCCAGAATCCCTCCTGCTGCCTCCAGGGCTGCTCCACTCTGTGTCTTAGAGATGAGAAAAGGAGTCAAGGACTCCTACCAGCGTGGAATGGTAACCTCTGGAGGGGAGGTAGGTCTCCCAGGGATCTGAGACGTGTTCCAGGAATGGAATTCCCAGTATCCTTGGCAGTCATTTCAGGATCTTGGGGACCTAGGGATGCTGTCTGGACTGCTCTAAAATAGCCCTTCTGTGGCTTCCTCAAATGTATTGTCTGAATCAGCAGCTTCAAAGTGATATCAGGGGGTTTACAGCATGGATGTTGGAGCTATGTAGACTGGATTCAAATCCCCAGTTCTACCAATTCCAGCTCTGTGTGCAGGGCACTAGAACTTGCTGAGTCCTAGCTCCTTTGTAATATGAGGTGATGGTGAATATGTCGTAGGGTTGTTGCCTGGATTGAAAGTAGGTAAAGCACCTACTAGCGTGTCTGGCACCTGGGAGGTACTTAAATGGTAACCCTTATTACAACAAAACAATAAAAGGTCCTTCCTTTTAAGCCAGAAAAGTTATTTGGAAATGGAACAGTCTTTTAATGACGGGGACTTAAAATCCCAAACCACCAGCCAAAACAATCAAAATGGAACCCAGACGGATATTTGCTCAAGGGCCCCTGGCTTCTCAAGGGCCTACTCCGCCGCAGAATTTGCCTGCACCACCTACTGGTGGTTTCTTAGAACTACACACTCTCTTTCTCGACTGCTCTTTGGTGAGCAGGACACCAGGAGAGGCAGGGAGGAAAGGAAGGTAACTAGTAGTTTTGCAACTGTTTTAATTACTTCAAATTGAGATGTTTGTAAATAAGATGTTAGAGTCTGGAGCTTTTGTTCGGTCTTGTGTTTAGCGTAAATATAGTTTTATTGAAACTCGTCACAGAAGTACCCTGCAGTGGAGGGCGCAGGATTTGGCTGTGACGGAGCAGAGCTAGAGGCCACTTGCAAATGGCAGCGTTTGGAAGTGCCTGTTCTGGGTAGAGCATCCAGGCTGCTTTTGATTGGCTGTTTGTCCCTCCCACGAAGCAAGAAAGGTGAATGTAACCAGCCCACTGGAATCGGTCCTTTTGCCATTAACGTCACCTCTGTTTACTACGTGGGAAGAGTGATTCACATGCAGGAAGAAGACCTTTTCCAGAAATCCTCCATCAGCTAGAAGAAGAGAGAGATCCTAATTAGGGAGCCATGCCACATTTCATTCTGAGATTTTGTTTGGAAGCATTTTTCCAACTGAGAAGGTAGGAAAGGGTCGTTTAAGTTTCCCACTGTTCTGTTGGGCTTAATGACCTGCCCAGGTCTCAGGCTGCTCTGAGCTGAGCTGTCAGTGAGACCAGCAGGAGGACATCACTAGGACTGGAAATAGCGTGGAGTCAATTGACAGACAGCCATGAAGCACTACTAAGTGCCAGGCCTTGTGCTGGCTCCCGGGGAGGCAAAGAAACATAGAACATGACCTTGGTCCTTAAGAGGTTGAGAGTTTAGTAGACAAGAGAAGCCTGTGCTAAATCTGTGTACAATAGTGAGTGAAGCAAGTGCTGAGTCCTAGTGGACAGGTCCATCCTCTTGTGGAATATTGGAGAAGGAAGCATGCATGTGTTCAGTTAGACACAGTTTCTGACCTCCAAGGTGAAGGTTCAATTCCATGCACGTTTATTGTGTCCCATTTTGTATAAACAGAGCACGTTTGTTGATATTCTGAGGTATTTGGAGAAGGACACAGTTGAGTACCATTTTTCAGCCCTTTCACATTGTGCAGTACAGAGGTCAGGAGCACTGTTTCAGGAATCAGACAGCCCACGTTTGAAACCTCCAGGACTTACCACCTGTATGTCCTTGGTCAAGTTATCAAACCTCTCTACAGCTTCATGTATCCAATCAACAGACGTTTACTAAATACTGTACCGGCACTGGCAGGCAGGCTAGAGGGACTGAAGGGATGTGCAGAGGTTGGTGGAGAGGGTGAGCAGGGCAGAGACTGAGTGTGTCTAAGGAAAGCTGCCAGCTTTAGGCGGCCTGGGGAGCTTCTAGTTCTCAGCCAATCTCTTCCCTGAATGGGCAGCCTATGGGTGAAGGTCCAAGTGGGGATGTGGCTGTAGTGTCTCTTCCTGCCTTTCTCCCATGCCCTGCGGCACCAGGCCCACACTGGAGTGCTGGTGGGAGCCTGCATGCCTGGTTAAAGGGGCATGCCAGAGAGCTTTCCGTAATTGCGTCCTTTCTTTTTTTTTTTTTCTGGTGTATTTATGAGTTTTAAAAGCCCCTTGGCAACCCAGGAAATTCCATTTCCCTCTGCAGCTCATTTATACCTTCCTTGATATATGCCCAGGCACAAACACTTGTGTGTATTATTTGGTTGTTCACGGGGAATCTTGTAAAATCTGAGGCCTTAGTGGGTGCACTTCAGGCTTGAGGGCAGGAGAGGGAAAGGAGCAGAAGGTGAGAAGGTAACCTCTGGCAAGGAAACGGTAACACTTTTAAATCTCCTCTGAAGACCAAAAGCAAAAGAAATGGGCTCAACCTGTAGCATAAGTGTGCTAGAATAGACACAAGCAAGTTTTTCCTGATAGATGTCAAATGCCTTTTTGCCTGTTCACAATAAGCTTTTATACATATGGCCAATTCTCATCTGACTGGGACAAGATGCAGGGAGTGGAATAAACTAAATGTCCAGTGTGCGTAATTGGTGTTGCTATAATTAATATTTTTCAGCCCTGTGACTCCATGAATGCCTCTAACACCTAGAGCAGGCTTGTCCATCCCATGGGCCACTGGCCACACGTGGTCCAGGATGGCTTTGAATGTGGCCCAACACAAATGCATAAACTTTCATAAAACAGTATGAGATTTTTCTTGCATTTATTTTTAGCTCACCAGCTATCACTAGTGTTAGTGTATTTTATGTATGGCCCAAGACAATTCTTCTCCTTCCAATGTGGCCCAGGGAAGCCAAAAGATTGGGCATCCCTGGTCTAGAGCCTTCCACAGTTTGACCTTTAGAGTATCTTGCTTTGGCTTATTCTTTTTCATATGTATGTACTTCATTTTCCAAACCATATTATACTCTTATCATTTTTATTTGTATCCCTACCACGGCCTAAAATAGTGCCTGAATATAGTAGACAATAAGTGTTTGATGAGTGACTAATAGATAACAGCAGCTTCCAGTGTCTGCCAGTGCTTACACTATAATTTATCATTTTTTTCTTAAGGTGACAGAGAACTCTTGTAATAACTCTAATAGCAAGTCTTCTTTTGTGCTAATATATTAATTGAATCATTTATTAACTTTCTAATAATATGCACCAGCCACTGTCAGGCACTAGTTATTCAAAGGAAGACGAGACACAACCCTGACCAGACATGAGGGGTGTTTACCATCCACCTGGGAGATGGGCATATAATTTAAAATGAAATATCGATTGGTAATATATTAATGAAGAGTATATATTCATAATTTAGGACAGAGGAAGTGCTTTTTGCCTGGCCTTAAAGGGGAGAGTTTCGGGGAGGATGTATTTGAGCTTCATCTTAAAGACGAGCAGGAGTCAGCGAGAAGACATGGCAGCGGTGGTGGGTCCTGGCAGAAGGAAGAGCGTGGCCCATAGCATGAGGCACGGGTACGGTTGTGCTTGGGGAGCCCTGAAGAGGCGGCTGCTGAGGAAGGTGGAGCTGGAAACGTAGATTGGAGTCAAAGCACGAAGGCCTTGAATACCCTGGGCAGAAGCTGAGCAGGCAGTCAGAAAGGCCCTGAGGAGACTCGGAAGGGTCACCTGGGGCAGTGGAGAGTGAGGGGCGGGGGAGGCTGGCCAGGAACCATCGCGGTAGGCCTGATGTGGTGGGGGAAAGATTCCTCTTGTGCGTGCTGTCGGGATACATCATGGAGCCTGAAGCATGCCAAGAAACCAAGCAAGGGAGCGTGGCCTCAGGCTTGCCATCCGAGCCATCCAAGCCAGAGGAACCCAAGTACAGCTGCGGGTGAAATGGCTTTGTTAGTTAATATGTAACATGTCGCCTCAATATTGAGCATCTCTGGCAGCCGCTGGGACTGCGGGCGCGTTGTTGGTCACACTGACCCAGACAAGTAGTCAAGGCAGCTTTCACCACAGATCAAGCAAGAGAGTTGGCAGTAGGTGGGGCAGGGTGGTCTCCGTCTGTGTGCACATGGTGCTCAGTGAGTCACATCTGCTCCAGTTGTGTAATCTCCGTGGTCAGTGAAGCAATGCTGTGCGCACAGTTCTGTGTTGTGCCTCTCCCGGGGAAGGGGTGTATTTGGCCTGTGCCCCACCCTAGCCCTCCTTCGTCTTCCCTCTTTCACCACGTCTTCCGGGGCTGGCTTGAGTGTGGGAGTCTTTCTGCCAGCTCCCTGCCTACAGCCGCCCACTCACCAGCCCTTCATGTGTGCCTCTGAGAGTCTTCTTCCTAAACCACCCCGTGCCCTTCAGTCCCCTTGTGAAGCCTGGGCAGTGAACATCCTTAAGCCCTTAGCAGCTTCCCTGAATCCACTCCTCGTTATCCTTCAGGAGTCCTCCCATATGGTCAAGCAGATGAATTCCTTGTTTCTTATTCATGTCATGCCGCTTCTCACCTCTGGCAACCCCAACTAACATGCCCCTCCCTCTTTTGTCTTTCAAGGTTTCATTCAAACCAAACTTCCTTCTTGAAGCCTTCTGCAACCCCATGCCTCTCAGTGAAACGTCCTTCCTTACTGTGCACATGAGCCCTGTGGCACGTGACAACTGTGCCTGGATACCCCAATTTCTCTTTCTAAGGCAGGGAATTTTCTTGTACTTCCTTTAGTCCCAGTACCTAGCAGAATTCTAAAAAACAGCCATTCAGTGAATGTGTATTGATATCAATGATTCTGGCACAGCTGACGGGGCCAAATAAATGCTAAGTAGTATTAAGAGTGATAATGGTTTTTAAGTAATAACAATACCTACCATTTATTCATTGCAATGGGTTGGTCACAGTGCTAGACCCGTTACAACCATCATATGATTGAATACAGCGTAACCAACCTGTGTCTTGGCATTACTTCCATTTTGCAGGTAAGAAGTGACATACCTTGACCAAGGTCATGTGGCTAGTAAGTGGCAAATGTGGAAGTGGGCCAGTGTTCTGCTTCTTGGCCCACACTCCCAACCTCTCAACATGTGTCCTCTGCCATAGCTGCATCTCCCAGATCGCATGGGATTTTTTCATTGTTTTGTTTTTGTGACCACGTTGCTTCCTTATCCCTGTGATTGGGTTTTGCCCATGTCTCTCCTATGAGAGCAGCCTTGGTAAGAAGCAGGGAGAATGGAAGGGATATCACATGCCAGAATGGTCAGAAAAATGAGGTTGCTCAGCAGGTGTCATAAGAACGGATGATTCATGCACTGTGCCTTAGAGTAAAGATGGAGAAATGCAAAGGGAGTGGGGAGCAGAGAGACGCTGACAGATGATGAGTGAGCACAAATGTTTATCCATGCTAATGGAGTGGGGACGTGATAGTCACTCTGTTCTAATGCTTATGAGGAGCAGTCTGTGGGCTGCAAATGCAGGAGCACAAGGAATCTTCACCCTAGTGGCAGGGGAACCTAAAACTCCAGGCTGCAAACAGTGGCTGGAGCATCTCTGTAACAGTCTGGCCTTGCAGATCCAAAAGACAGGTCATAGACAACAAAGACATCTGATATTTCCTGACACTGCCATCCTCTGGGCTCTGGGGGAGTCCAAGATCATTTGCAGCACTGCCCTGGGAGTGGTGACAGGCTGGAGGAAAATTACTGGGGTCTGAAGGAGTGCAGGCCCAGCTTTCCTCTTGCTTCTAAGGCCAACCCAAACAAATAATTGGTGCTGCTTTCAGAATATCCTCACATGGGACCACCACCACCTCCACTAGGCTCTCTGTCCCCAGCCTTCTGCCTTAGGCTTTTCCACCTCACACTACACTATCTAAATTCTCTACCGTAGAGCCAAGGAGTGAGGATAAGGGAAAGGGAAGCCAGGGGTTCTAAGGGAACCAAAGTAGTACCAAATTCCCCCGTTGGTCTGTGGTCTAACAGTACGGAAATGGATAGCCATCTGCATGGGGTGGAAATGTCTCTTCTTTGTAAATGTTCCACTGCCTGAGATTTCACCATTCTAGCTTTACTTTGCTTCCATTATTCCACAGTTTCCAGGGGAAGAGAAAACTTTACCTGGCTAACACCTTGATCAGAATCACTTCATCACAGATCATATACATCCACAGAGATGACTGAGGAAACAGAGAAGAGCTTAGAAAGCCAACTCTGTCTTCATCACCTTTTGGTCTTGGTCCTCCTGCCTTGGGGGTATAACCCTCTCTTAGTTTGTGGGAGAAAAATATCCATGGTAAGAAGAAAGATGTCAGGTCCAGGACAGCAAAGAAACCGCTCAGTAATAGAAGCAACTCCGATTGCATGAGCAGGCTTCTCGAGTGCTGTCCTGTCAGCCTACCGTCCACATTCCTGGTGTCATCAACTCTCTAGGGACAGGAGCACAGAACACGTGGGAGCCGTCACTGCAGGAGCTGTGTTAGTGACAGCAGCATTCACCAGAGGCATTTAAAGGCTGATTGTTTTATCCATAGCATTGTCTGGGCTTTGAGAGAGAAATCCTGCCTGCAACAGGAGAAGACTGAAAAATAGAAAACCATTGGCAGTATCAAAGGGTTGTCATTAGTGGACAAGTACACTGGCTTGATTCACTAGTGCTGTTATTATGGTTGTTATTTTAATTTGTCAAGAGACAATGGGTTGTTGGAGAACATGGGCAGTGGCCCTTGCTTCCAAGGAGGAAAGGCAAAGGGAAGAGAGATGCTAGGGGGTCGTTTCTGTAGAAAGCAGACGCCCAGGTGTGTATTTTCCCCACCACTGCTGAGCCCCACAGCATGGCTTGTGAATTTTACAAGTGATACTGTGACATCGAAAGCATTCCATTGCGTCTTTGTGAGAATCTAGGGTCCTCTTTTATGCTTAGTCTAAGTATCTACAGATAAACATGCATCTATATTATATATGTGTGTGTTTCTCCATACTCTGTGCATATACTTAAGTCTGTAATGTGCATATACGTGTATCTGTCTGAACAGTTGGATATATATAGATGTGTTGCAGCTCTCCAACCTTTACCAAAGAAACAAAAAAAAACCTAAAACCACACACACACACACGTGTGCACATGCAAATAAATAAATAGAGAAGGAGAAGGAAGAAAAGAAAACAGCCAGAGGAGGTTGCTTTTTCTGTTTCAGAGGACCTCAGCAGTTCTTCCCAAAATAGACTTCTGTCCTTGCTGGGTAACATCTAAAGGAGACGACATCACAGAGGGTCCAGGCAAGGGCTGTGGAGTCCGACAGTGGGGTTCAAATACTCACATGTGCTGTTGTGCTTGGTGCGGCAACTCAACTTCTCAAAGCCTCAGTTTCCCCATCTGAGGAAGAGGGACAGTCCTTCCTGGGAAGAGCACCCTGCCCTCCCCATGACAAGTGCTCAGCAATAGTCTCAGCCTTCTTTCACAAGGAACACAATTGCTCATCCTATAGTTACAGCTCAAGTTTACAACGCAAGCATCTCTCAGGTGACAGGGTCTTTTTTTTTAGACAGAGTCTCGCTCTGTTGCCAGGCTGGAGTGCAGTGGCACAATCTCGGCTCACCGCAACCTCTGCCTCCAGGATTCAAGCGATTCTTGTGCCTTAGCCTCCCAAGTAGCTGGGATTACAGGCACGCACCACCACACTCAGCTAATTTTTGTATTTTTAGTAGAGACAGGATTTTACCATGTTGGCCAAGATGGTCTCCATCTCCTGACCTTGTGATCTGCCCGCCTCGGCCTCCCAGAGTGCTGGGATTACAGGCATGAGCCACCGTGCCTGGCCAGGTGACAGGGTCTTAACATGGAGGCTTTCAGGACAGATTTGGTTTATGTCTGCCCTGGCATTCAGAAGGTGACAAGTGGAGCCCGGAAGGCTTTCGGACTAACTTCTGTAGGCCCGTGCCCTCTATGGCCGCAGAATTGGCTTCTTGTTCCATGTTGCTGCTAGTGCTTTTTGTGGCCCCAGCCAAGTCGGTTCCTATCTTTGGACCACAGTGGACCCATCGAGGGGCTCTCTGGAGTCCTCCCAGCCCACCCTTCTGTGCCTGGCCACTCCAATCTTGCAGGACACTGTGCTGGAAACTGACTTCAAGAGTAACACTGTTGTGGCTCCCACCTCCGGGGACTTCATAGGTTTGAGTATGTGTGTGGGAATGTGGTCTGTTTTATTTACTCTTGCTAATGAGGCTGAACGGAGCTAGTGAGGGCATTAAAACATTTTAGTGTTATTAGTTTTAAAATTAGCCCGAGCTGTTAAGGAGAGTCCCTGCTCACTTTGCTTATGTGAGAAAGGGGCTTCTGAATGCCAAGGTTGAATGCCCAGTGTCTTTCATCCTAAAAAAGACAACTTTATGCGCTATGCGTTAGAATGAACAGGGAAACTTTAAATATAATGATATGGGGTGCCTGGGCCCCACCT
Source organism: Homo sapiens (assembly GCF_000001405.40). Taxonomy (NCBI): domain Eukaryota; kingdom Metazoa; phylum Chordata; class Mammalia; order Primates; family Hominidae; genus Homo; species Homo sapiens. Next base: position 647,349 of record NW_018654718.1, read on the forward strand.
CCTCCTTTGCTTCACTGGCCCTCCCTGGACATCAGGGGGTGTGGTTTTTGCTTTTTTGTTTTTTAAGTTTTCCAAGTGGTTCTCGTGCAGCCAAGGTTGAGGCCCACCGGGCTAAACTAAAAACGTTTTCCGGTGTATGTGGGAGGCAGGTAGGAGGGAGGGCTGGCGTGCTGCCCAGCTGTGTACCATTTCCTGCTTGGTGGATGCTCAGGGAGTGTTTGCCAGAGAGCTCTCATCGGATGCTTGGCATGGCTAGTTCAGATGCTATGGACAGAGGGGTTCCTGTGGGACCAGTGCTTCTCAGTCCTGAAATCATGATCAGAATCCCCCCATGATCTTTGAGAAAATACAGATTCCTAGGCCTCATCCACATTGGCCGGAACAGAACCTCTGAGGGTAGGAATGAAGAATCTGTTATTCCTGTTATTCTTAGGAATAGTGAAGCTTCCCAGAAGATGCTTTTGATTCAGAAACCACCGAAAGGGGAAAACTTGATCCTCAATTCCTAGGAGTGAAGATTTTACATTTTCCTTTTGGTCATCTGATGGCCCTAGGGTTCACTAGATAGGCCACTTACTCACCATGTGACCCGGACAAGGCATTCAGCCTCTCTAAGCCTCAATGTCATCATTTGTAAAATGAGAGCCATAATGGTTTCTGCTTCCTAAGAGTGTTTCGAGGATTAAATGAGGTAATATGCGTGTTTGGCACATTGTAGATACTCAGTGTGTTCACTGCCATCATCATCATCAGCACTATCATTTTGTAACTCAGATAGAAGCTACACACTGTAAGAGCAATTTCTAAGATTTAAAGAGAATGAAGTAAAAAATTCTGGCTGTGAAGTCTGAGGCAAATCTAGAGGCTAGTGGGGGTAAATTGGTTTTAAACTTGTATCTGAACCAGAAGCTTCTCTGGAGAGAGTTGGAGTAAGATCACACAGGTAATCCTCAAGACCTGTTTGTTAAGAGTACAAAGCCATAATTGGGAAAACAGTGAGGTCCCGATTGTCATCCAGAATGAATTAATTTACATGCACTTATGGAGTGCCTCCTGTTTGCTCAGCTTTGTGCTTGGTGGCATCACATATAAAAAGGACCAGGCCGGGCACGGCGGGCGGCTCATGCCTGTAATCCCAGCACTTTGGAAGGCTGATTGCAGGTGGATCACTTGAATCTAGGAGTTTGAGACCAGCCTGGGCAACATGGTGAAATCCTGTCTCTACTAAAAATAAAAAAAAAAAATTAGCTGGGCGTGGTGGCATGCACCTGTTGTTCTAGCTACTTGGGAGGCTGAGGTGGGAGAATGACCTGAGCCTGGAAAGTGGAGGCTGCAATGAGCTGTGATCGCACCACTGCACTCCAGCCTGGTGACAGAGTGAGACCTTCTCTAAAAAAATAATAATAATACATGAAAAGGACTGGATTCCTTTCTTTCAGGGAATTGGCCGTCTGGTCTGGGAAGTACAATTAGCTCCCTTTGAAGAACAGGAGCAGGACGAGAGGATGTGTAATTAAGTGCTAAATTGTGTCACTAGGACTCTCCAGGGCTAGATGATTCAAGGATGGCAACACAATGAGCCATGGAGGTGGCTGGGGGAGCCTGTTGGGAGAGTAGGGAGGGATCTGGAGCAGGAAACTACAAGCAAATCCAAAGAGATATCCAAGGAGGGTCCTGGGACAAGAGTGACGGCTGAGATGGGGATGACGAGCAGCTGCCCTACCTGGATGGAAGGTGAGGGTCCCTGTTGTCCTGGAGCTGCACAGCCACTTATAACTGGGGTCATCTGGGTCTGTGGCCCCCTGACAGCTGGTGGTAGTCTGCAGGCATACACTCCGTGTCCTGTCGTGAGCCGGTCCTCAGGGCGGCATCTGCCCAGGAAGCCACAGGCACACTTAGCACGGCCCAAGAGCACTATCTGCAGGAGGCGCTTGGCCCCAGGGCTGAGCTGATGGTGGTTGGGTGGGGTGTAGGCGACAGGAGAGCAGGTGGCCTCCTTCCTCTGTGCCATCGCTTAGAGGGTATCGGTAGAACCCTCTGTCCCAGAAGTCAGCTCCGTATCTGTGGGTCTTAAAAACCTTCTGATCCTGTAAAATGACATTTACAAGAATGATTAGACCTTAAATTCTGTGATCAGGCAAGGTCTTAATTTGGGGCCAGCAGTTTAGCACAGAGGCAGGGCAGAATTTCGCACAGAAGGTACCTGATCCGTGATTTGCCCCGGAGGTGAAAATGAGCAAGGTTCTGTTAGTTAAATGAGCATAAGAAATGCAGCAGCCTCATCCGCCCCCCGCCACCCCACCAGAGAGTCACAAAGACGCTCATTGGCATTTTAAAGGCTCAGAGAAGTCCTGCAGAAGAAGTCCTCTTTAGAGCCCTATGTGGCCTGCAAACTGTCTTGACCACAGTACCCTTCTCACATAGTCCCTGTGAATGTTCTGGGCGACCTGTGACCCAGCCTGATCTCCTTTGGAAAAAACTGGAGTGATGAGGTCCTGCCAGACTGAGCCTGAAGGAGCCTTCCATCTGCCTGTTCATTTTCCAAGCCCCAGACTCTGAAAGGAGATTCCCAAGTTCCCCAGCCTGGCCCTGCAGTGGTGGGGAGCCTCAGATCCCAGGTCTGGTTTAATGTTCCTTAGTTGTTAACCAGCTGGAATTAAGGCTGAGAGGAGACTCGTGGGCAGGCTTTGCAATTGAATGAACTATCAGTGTGGTTGCGAGGCTATTTTGAAGACATTTTAGATTGTTTCTGGTTCAGTAATCTTACAAAAAGTATGATCCAACTGATTTATTAGGAAACAATTTGTAAACTTTGGTTCACTTACAAGAAAGAAGTGTTTGGGTTTTTGAAAAAGATACTGCTTTTGAGGCTGGCTGATTTTCGTGACTGACTAGTGTTTATGAACTGAAATCTGGCTGCCTCTGCCACTCAGTGAGCCTCGCACAGTGAATTCCTAGCCTGAGGCCTCATTCTTGCTATTAACCCATTCGCCATTCTCTCCCACTGCTGGGACTTTCGGATGGAGGATGCCTGGCCTGTGTGTTGGCAGGAGCAGAGGCTGACGTCAGGAACATAAGGTCATGCCATAATTGCTGTGCCCCCTGCCACCCCCGCCGCCTCTGCTTGCTAGTGCCAGGCTGCCCAAGTGCTGAGAATGCCAAGGTCACTCTTCCAAAGGAGGCAGGAGGCAGCCGTAGCGTCAGTCCCTTGCCTCGTCCATACTGCCCATCTTCTTCCAAAGGCACCAATTATTGGAAGTTCCTCCCCTTGTGGCTCTGGCCTCTGGGACGCCTGGGGACATTTCCACTTTGCTGGGAGGGGAGTGTCCTCCGGGCCCCTCGGATGCTCCACCAGTGAGCCAGGGCTTGGGATGGGTAGCGTGCCAACAGGGAGTGGCCACTTACCTTTGCTCCTGTATGTGCCCTGTCCTTAGAGGGGTTTAAATACATCAATAGCTTATTCGCCAAAATGTATCCAGAACTATTTTTAGTGCTTTGAACATGTTGACTCTTACATAACATTCATTCAGTATATATAAACTATTCAGTAAATATTCCCTCATGAGAAGAATGGTATTTTGGTCTATTTTGTCTCTCTGCCCTCTGTGTTCTAATTTGGGACCAGGGAGCCTCTCGGCTCCATCCTGGGGTTGGCCGCTCCCAGACCTCACTCCTGCTTTGGCTGGGCTTGCTGCCTTGGCCATGGTGAGGGGCTCTTGCGGCCCCGGGAGGGGGGCCTGGTAAATGCAGAGCCTGCATCACAGCAACAAGTGGGGAGCCCAAGAGCAGGGTGCAGAGCTCCTCCTTCTCCCAGGACGGAGGCGGGAAACCGGCCGTGGGAGCTTCCCTGGTCGGGACCATGTTCCCAGTCCAGAGGGATGTGGTTGCATGCTGGAGCCGCTAGTATGGACTCGTGAATGTGGCTTCCGGTCACAAAAGTGCCTTCCAGGTGGGAAAATGAGTGAGGAAACCTGGATTCATTTGCTGAGGTGCTGTGGCAGAGCACTGCAGACTGGGTGGCTTGCACAAGAGAAACAGGTTTCTTCTCAGGCGGGAGGCTGGAGGCTGGAGATCTGAGATCAAGGTGGTGCAGGGTTGCCTTCTCCCTGGCTTCTCCATGGGTCCTCACATGGTATCCCTCTGTGCGTCCGTGTTCACACTTCCCCTTTCTACAAAGACGCCATTCATGTTGGATAGGATCCGCCCTCATGCCCTCATTTTAACTTAACCTCTTTTAATACCCTACCCCTAGGCCAGTGCAGTGGCTCACACCCGTAACCCCAGCACTTTTGGAGGCTGAGATGGGAGGATCACTTGAGACCAGGAGTTCGCGACCAGCCCGGGTAACACAGGGAGACCCTGTCTGTACAAAAAAAAACAAACAAAATAGTATGCTACCTCTAAATACCATCACACATTCTGAGGTGCTAGGGGTGAGGGCTTTCGCACATGAGCTTTGGTGGGGACACATTCAGCCCATAGCTGAATGTCCATGCTTCTGTCTAACGGGCAAGGCTGCTCTGCAAGGCTGTGCGGAGTGGGCGCCGGGTGGAACTCCAGGGGAGGCACCTCAGTCTGATGTCCAAGGAGGCCCCCTGTGGACGGGCCTGGCCCAGAAAACCTGTGTGTTTCCCACAGGTTTGGGGAGATGAGTTGTTCTGGGGTAGAGACAGGTCTTGTTTGACTTTGCACCCCAGTTCGTATCTGCACATGGTGAGCGCTGGCTTGGCGTCTGGTGTGGAGTGGTGGAGAGAGATTGTGGAGGCACTTCTTGCAGATGGCCCCTGCCTCTTTCCTGGTGAGATGTGGGCTTTTCTTAAGAAAGCTGCAACATGTGCCCCAGGAGATACTTGGGCTCCCTTGCCCGGGGTGCACAGGACGGAGCAGGGACCATTTGCTGTGTCTTCTGTCAGATCTCTGAGGGATGTCCCTCAGGGGCTGTGAACTCTGGTGGAAAGTGAAAAAGTCCCAGGGTGGATTCCAGTGGGCTGCCAGCCGGGCGTGTGTGTGAGGCGAGGTGGAGGGCTTGAGGAGGTGCACGGCCCCAGAAGAAAGCTGGAGGGCGGTCCAGCCTAGGACACGCTTTGGGCTTGCAGTTCCTTTCCTTCCTTCAGGGTCAGGCTTCACCAAGCAAGCCAAGGGTCCCTCTCACAGCAGCGACAGCAGCAACATAAATAGCACTGATATCCAACCCGGCACCGAGGCAGATCCCCTACCACCAGCTTGTTCTGAGAGCGTGAAATCACCTCCATCCTGACACGTTTGTCCCCCTGTGCTTTTGCTGTGCCACCTCCCGAGCAGGGCTGGATTAACTGGATAAAGCTGGAAGAGTAAGTGCCAGCTCCATGACCTGGCCCCAGGGCAGGCAGCCCCTGCCTCCTCCTCTCTGTAAAGGCACAGAGAGCGGGTTGCTCCACCGGCCACAAAGCACATTCCCAGGAGGCTCTGGGCACATCCAGGCCTCCTTGAGGGCCAGCCCTCTGCACCACACAGGTAGATCCCTTCCTGCTAGGACAGCCAGTTGTTTCTAAATTTAAAAAATGCTCCTTGCATCCAAATGCAAGAGCTAAGGTGAGGTTTGCTGGGCATCAACACCTGGGCACAAAGAACAGGTCTCAGGCAGGGCAGGCAGGGTGAGCAGAGGGTTTGGGTGAGAAAAGCCGCCATGCCCGGGGGCTTTATGTTTTTACAGAGCTTTCATTTCTAATGTGACGTTAAATTCTTCCCTAGTTGAACACTTCTCTTGGTGGCTGGCTGGCAGCTGTGTGCGGGTGTTTGCAGGATGATAACTGCCTCAGCATCCATGCCATCCTGAGCTGCTGGGAGGACTGCTGGGCAGAGACTCCTTGGCAGGGGCTCTGGGAGGCATCTGAATATCCATCTTCCCTGATCTCCTGTCCTGCACACAGATGCACACACTGCAGGGCTATTTCTTTATTCAGTTTGGTTTTGCTTTTGCCCCCTAGCCCTCCCTGTGCCCAGTACCTGGGTCTAGGAACATAGAATTTAAAAGCTGGGGCAGATTCTGAGAGCTCTTATTTCAGTCTCATCACTTTACTTGGGAGGAAGCTGAGGACCAGAGATGTTGAGACATGTTCTTAGGACAAAGCAAAGTTTATGGTGCAGCCTCAGGTGGAGCCCAGGTCCCCTGGCTCCCAGCCTGGTGCTCCTTCCCCTGGATGACAGCATATCTGTCCTTCTGTTGATTTGTCCTACCTGGGGTGTTTTCCCCATCCTCATGTCCTTCTTCAGCTGGACATATTTGTGGAGGTCCAGACACAACTCAGTCTGGGTCATTTCTTCCCCACCCCTCAAAAAACAGGTTGCTCAAGGCAGATGCAGAGGGTATGCCTGTAGTCCCAGCTCTTTGGGAGGCTGAGGTGGGAGGATCACTTGAGAACAGGAATTAGAGACCAGCCTAGGCAACATAGTGAGACCCCATTGCTTAAAAAATTTAAAAATTAGCTGGCCATGGTGGTGCATGCCTATAATCCCAGCTACTCAGAAGGCTGAGGCCAGAGGATCACTTGAACCTAGAAAGTGGAGGCTGCAGTGAGCTGTGATTGCACCACTGCATGCCACCCTGGGTGACATAGCAAGACTTTGTCTCTTAAAAACAAAACCCAGATTACTAGTGAGGCCAAATTGTGATATAAGGTTTGTAATAGAGACACTTTTTTAAGGCTGACCATGTGCCAGGCCCTATTTAAATATATTACTCATATTAGCTCATGTAATCCTCATATCGACCTTCTCCACTTTACAGTTGAAGAAACGAAGGCACCAAGAGGTAAGGAACTTGCCAGAAGTTATGCAGCTGAGGGTAGTGGAGCCAGGATTTGAGCCCAGGCAGCCTCACTGCAGTCCTTGAGTTCCTAACCTCAGATGCCTCTCCTCTGAGGGGAGCCCTGCTGTGCTGCTCATCCTGTTGAGTGACAGCCTGCTAGGATGTGAAGGGGACATTGGATACTTCCGGAAGCTGTGGTTTGACTGTGCAGATGGTTGTTTCTCAGGCTCTGGTCCATGGTGGGAAGCAGTGAGTGAGCAGATCAGCCCACCTTCAGCCTGTGCGCTCTGCCGTCTGACACCTTCCACCCTCAGGGCCTGATCACAGGCCAGCAGGCAGCTGGGGGCCCTCTTGGGTCCTCTGTCTTCTCCTGAGATCTCTCAGAGACAGCAGAGAAACGAGAGACCCTGGAAATGCCTCATAGCTAGTTTGAATCCTAGCACTTACACAGTCATAAAGTTAAGTCCTTGTGGTCTTTTATCCTGTAGAATAGAAAATTAAAGGGAAAAGGTCCTAAAAAGAATTCCTCCTCTGCCTGTCCCGTCTTGCCCAAATCCTCAGAATGTCAATCTTTCCCCAAACTCTGCACACTCTTCAAGCACTTCAGAAACTAATACTTTGGTATATCCCAAATTGACTTTCAAAGAACGCTGGATAAAATTTTCTTGTAAAAAGGGTATGTTAGTCAAAAAAAGTTTGAGACACACTGGCTTAAAGTCACGCTAAACAAGTTGATGTGCCACAGGATTTCTCAGGATCTTTGATATGCAAATGTCCTTGGGAGGCAGAGCTAATCCGCAGTTTGGTAGAAGCTGAGCCCCTTCCCCTCCATCTCACATACAAATGAGGAAGTGTTTTCAAGGCCTGTTTGCACTGCCAGTGGCTGTCATAGCAAACTAGTAGCGTCCATTGGCTGTCAGGAATTATGCTGTTGGCACTTCCCCAGCCCCGTGACTAGCCTTAGAGGAAATCAGGACCCCCCTCACCAAAACCAGAGCCCACTCTTAGCCACCTGCCATGGTCTCAGCTGAAGCCATGAGGCACCCCTGCCAGCCAGTTCTTCACACCTCTTCTTGGGCCTGCTGTTGACTTCCCTCCTGTCAGCTCCTGGGTTGTACCCTTGGGATGTGCAAAGCTGCAAATCTGACCTGGACGTTAGGTCATTGGCCCAGAGGACTCAGAGTTGTGTTCTTTGGTCCTCTGGGATCCAGTAGGGCTTCCTGCTTCACTTTCATCTGCTTTCTCTACCCAGGGTCTGAGAAAAGTTTCTTTGGCAAAAGCATTTCATTGCCAAAAAGAAAATCTGAAAGCTGCTGATGTAGTTTAACCTCCTTTATTTAACAGTTGAGGCAAATTAAGGCTCCAAGATGCTGAGACCTGTACAGGATCACACAGCTCCTTGGAAGCAGCTGAGCCAGGACTAGCACCCAGCTCCCTGCTTCCCAGTACTCATGGTCTTTCGGCTGCATAGCTCTACTTCTCTGCAAAGGGTGCTGGGGCCGAGATTCATGGCCTTTAACTATGGTTCTTAAATGTTACTGTGCCGCAGACCCACCCAGGGCACTTTGTAAAAATTACAGAATCATCCATCTTGAAGGGCCAGGGTCTTGGGAAAGTTGCTTCATCTTTTGAGGCTCTAGATGGAGTGTTCTTTCTGCGCTGCTGAACCTGGAGCACTGAGAAGCTTTTCCTGCTCTCAGGTGCATTTGAATTTGCATGGTCTGTTTTACAGGGCAGGAGGTGCAAATTCCTATTGCTTAAGCCCACTTACATAACAAACTGGCCACACCTTCAATTCCAAAAGGCAATGCGGCTGCCCACTATTGCAGACTATGAAAAGTAAGGTAGAAACAAACTCTGGGAGCCACAGAGGCTACTCTTCATGGACTTATTTAAAAGGAAGACCTCTGGCTCTTTCCCCAGAGATTATGATTTAGGAGGTCTGGGGTGGAAGACAAGAATCTGCATTTTAACCAGCACACCCTCTTCCCACCTCCACCCATGTGGTTTTGATGCAGTTCATCCTTGGACTACACTTGGAGAAATACTGACTTACATAGTAAAGAACCAAAACTGTGTAATTATAGGAATCACTCAAACACCCACATGCTAGGATATGAGGCTAGAAATTCAGGTTTATGATTGTCCAAGTGGGTTAGAGAAAGAAGCAAGGCATCTTGATTTTTAATGTGGATAACATGTAGCACAATGATATCATCCTGATAATCTTTTTAAAATTTTTTTTGTTATTGAGATGTATGAATATATTATATATTTTGGATATTAACCCCTTATCAGATATATGGCTTGCAAATATTTTCTTACATTTAAATCTTTAATCCATTTTGAGTTGATTTTTGTTTATGGTGTGAGATAAGGGTTCAACAGCCAGTTTTCTCAGCACCATTTATTGATGAGACTATCCTTTCTCCATTGTGTATTCTTAGCACCCTTGTCAAAGATTAGTTAACCATATATGCATGGGTTTATTTCTATGGTCTCTATTCTGTCATTGGTCTATGTGTCTTGTTTTTGTGCCAGTACCATACCATTTTGATTACTATAGCTTTGTAGTACAGTCTGAAATCAGGAAGTGTGATGCCTCCAGCTTCGTTCTTCTTTCTCAAGAGTGCTTTGGCTATTCAGGCAAATAACCTGATGGAAAAATGGGCAAAGGACCTGAAAAGACATTTTTCTAAAGAAGACATGCAAATGCCCAACAGGCATATTGAAGGTACTCAACCTTACTGATCACCAGGGAAATGCAAATCAAAACCCCACACCTGTCAGAATGGCTATCAAAAAGACAAGCAATGACAAGTATTGATGAGGATATGAAAACAAGGGAATCCTGCAGGGTACACTGCCAGTGGGAATGAAAATTGGTACAGCCATTATGGAAAACAACATGGAGGCTCCTCAAAAAAATGAAAATAGAACTAACCATAGGATCCAGAAAGTCCACTTCTGGGTGTATATCTAAAGGAAATGAAATCTGTGTTTCTAAGAGATATTTGCACCCCCATGTTCATTGCAGCATTATTCACAATAGCCAAGATATTGAAACAACCTGAGTGTTAGCTGGCAGATGAATAAAGAAAATGTGATTTTCTATATATAATGGAATATTATTCAGTCTTAAAAAAGAAGGAAATCCTGCCCTTTGCAACAGTGTGGATGAACCCAGAGGACACTATGCTAAGTGAAATAAACCAGACACAGAGGGATAAACACTGTGTGATCTCAATTGTATGTGGAATCTAAAAGAGCCCAACTCATAGAAGCAGAGAGTAGAACATGTGTTGCCAGGGCTAAAGGGGCTTGGGGGAAGAGGTAATGGGAGATGGGGAAGGGTTATAAACTTGGCAATCTAATGTACAGCATGGTGACTGTAATTAAAAATACTATGCTGTATATTTGAAATTTGCTAAGAAAGTAGATCTTAAGGCCTATGACACCACACACACACACATACACACACACACACACACACACAGAGGGAACTGTGTTATTCAGCTCTATTGTGGTAATCATTTCACAGTGTACACATAAATCATCATGTTGTACACCTTAAATATATACAATTTTTTAATTTGTCAGTTATACCTCAATAAAGCTGGGTAAAACTGTAAACTATAGCTATATTTAAACTACAAAACTGTAAAAATATAAATAAAAGTAAATAAGAAGAAAGTATTAAGCATCGCCTTGCAGGGGGCATTGTGAGTACTGTACTGCATATGCCTGCAGCAATCTGCACAGATATGGCCCCTGCCTTCTGGCGACTTACAGTCCAGGAGGGAAGAAATGAGGAAGTGGAGCAGCGAAACACCAAGTAGCAAATGCTGTGGAGGAGACAGCTGGATCCTAGTCAGCCGGGGAACTGCATGAGTTTCCGAGGTTTCTTAAAGGTCTGTATGGTATCTCTCACCCTCTAGCATTTTCAGCAGGGAGCAGTCTGGTAACACCCTAGTACTACCTGTAGTCAGAGACCTGGTGGCCTGGAAGTCTATAAGATCTATGTTTAAATCTTTCTGTCTGGTCCGCAGAGCTGCTCAGCTCACTGGTTGGCTACGAAGCGGAACACTTGCCATACAAAGCCCTCTGCGATGATTAGCTCATTTAACCCTTTAACAACCCCATCAGATAAGTAGTATTATTACACACAAGGAAACTGAGGTGCTCGGAGAGGCTACATAACTGAACCCAAGTCAGGGACCCCAACTCAGGTTTGTTTGACTCCAGGGCCTACATTCTATTCCCTTCAGTTCCCTCAACAGGAAAGATGGGGCAACATCCTGTCCTGTCCTCTGCCTCCCAGTTAAAAAAAAAAATATATATATATATATATATGTATGGGAATAAAGACTTCTTGATGTGTATCACCAACATATCTAATTTGGTTTTGAATGTGGGGGAGGCAAAATGACATTGACAGATAATAGGACTTACATGAAATTCTGGTTTGTTTAGAGATGCTATAAAGAGCTTGGCATTGTCGACTCATTTGGAAATTCGACTTCCAAAGGAGCAAATGCAAAGTATTTCTCAAGCCCCAGCCCTCCATTTTTAGATCTGAAGAGGGAAACAACAAGGTAGGTAACTGAAAGTCTGGAGTTGTTTCTATTTAGTTGTTCCTAAAGGCAGGGGGATGGACTAGAGGAAACCTGCAAGGGCTTTCGACTCACAGGGTTCTTTCATTCTGTGGGCACCAGTTCTCTGGGCATGAGAGATGCCAAGGAGCTGGTGTGTTTTGGAGAGCTCATGCTCTGAAGCACATCAGAAGAACCAATGGTTGCCGCAAGACCCCCTTCCTAATGCAGATGGAGTTTTCTGTGAATCCCGGAAGGTGCACTTGGGTGGGAGGGAGTTGAGGGGTAGAAAAAGGAAGACAGCCCCTACGTTCAGCAGAACCCAGGGCTGATGTCTGCAACAGCATAAAGTGCCTTCTAGAGTCTAATCCTGGTCATCCGTGTAGCATCTCTTCTTCTCTAAACCCTCATCCTAGGCTTTCTTTCACGCTTATGGCCACACACAGTGAGGCTTTCCTCTCTGCCCGGAATCCACAGGGCATCACCCTTCCTCTGGAGCCAGCTTGGGGCTTTCCTGACGTCAGTAGTTTTGGGGGAAGCCAGTGTCACCTCATCTCTGTCTTGAAGCATATTTAACTTTCCCAAATAGCAAACTCTGGTTCTTTGAGCAAATGACTTCCAGATGCTGGAAGCAGCGGCTAGTGGAATTTTATTGCCCCCAAACTGTGGTTCTGGGCTGCATACTTCTGACATGAAGGTAATTTGGAATGTAAACATTGCAAGACGTGTGCTGGAATTAATTAAAGCAGCCCTGTATTCTCTAAGGCCTGCAAGCCTGCAATTAACTGTTTACATTAACACCAAGCCAAGCAGATCAACCAGAGGATGCAGGGACCCTTGATTTTCACTTTCTCCCTTTACCTTCAGAAAACAGTGAAACGGGAACCAAGCTGACCCATTTCCACAGTCCCAACCTGAGAAGAGGCTGCTTAAGCCATCCTCTCTCGCACAGCAAACAGGCGACAGCGTGAGAAGCCTAACTGGGCATCACGGGGAACCAAGGGCAGGCAGGAACCTCTTCCGCGATATGTCAGACGTCAGAGGCTTCTTTAGCCAGAAATACAAGTGTGCCCTTAAACACGAATGGCCACATTCATGGTGGGCCTGCAGAGAAAAACCGTGGCATCTCATACTTGCCTGATAAAACTAGAAACAGCTTTTGAGAATAATTTTGTAACTTCATCATGGCATTTAAAAGTAGCATGAAAGTTTTGGAGCAGGATGGTGATGATGATTGCATAATAACGTGAATATACTTAATGCCACCGAACTGTAAACTTAAAAATGGTTAACATAGTAAATTTTGTGTTATGTATATTTTATCCCCCAAATAAAAGAGCAGGGTGTTCAGACTATAAAGGCTCTTTGGGATTATGTAAACTAGGAGAACCCCTGGAATAGTCCTCATTTATTTCCCCCACGTAATACAAGAGGGTGAAGTTCTGGCTTCCTGGGAACAGGCCCACACAATGTCAGGATATTTCAGGGCATTTATGTAAAACACCAGAAACCCATGCCCCTGGAGCTGACCAATCCTTCACACCCGCTCCGAGTTTGTTAGAGGGGTGACTCTTTTGGCAGGGAGCACTGAGAAATGCTGATATGTGGTTGCCTTCACTATTGGCTGTAACTATGAAAAGAGTTGCTGGAGGCTACCTACTTACCCTCTCTCCCCCAAAGGAGAAAGACTTCAGTATCCTGCAGCGTGGCAGTGGGGCAGGCGTGCGGGTGTGCACATGCGAGCTGTTCTGTTGTTGAGACTCTAGTTGTTGCCGGTTCCTCCCTCTTTATATGAAGCAAGGCAACACCCACAACAAAGCACTGTAATCTCTCCATTGACCATCCTTCTGCCCTCAGATCAACACAAGGGCCAATTCCATTCCAACAGCATTATACGACTTTGAAAATACTCTTTGTGTCCCGCCAGAACCTCCTCCTCTTCTCTTCAGTTTCTTCCTCATATGACACAGCTTCCAGACCCTAACCACCCTGGGTGTCTGCTTTGGGTGTACAGTAGTTTTTCAGGATAATGCCCAGAACTAAACCCAATACTAATAGTGGTCTGCTCAGAGAGGGGTATGGGAATTTTATCATCTGTTCTGTTTTGACTTCCATATGTCCAACATTATCCCCCAATGTTGCATTTCAACCGTCATACCATCCTTTCCTTAAAAAAGCTTGTGATCATCTGAAGCCTCAGGGATTTTTTTTTTACATGAATGACTGTTGAGCAAGGGCTCCCCAGTCCTGAAATTAGGTAAATTTATTTAACTTAAACTCAGAAATTTACTAGAAATCTTATTCATTATGTTAAAATCAGGGCCTTTGATATCCAGATACTGAGTCCTGACTCCCTCACCCACTGTCCTTCCCTAGCTTTGGGTGTGTCTATGTCTTCATCTGAGTTAGAATTCTATATAGCAGAACTTGATTGAAATGCTGTACAGAATTGGCCTGGGAGTACAGAGACCACCTTTTCAGTTTATATCAATCAGAGTCATGTGGGTGTGGTAAGGCCGCCCTGAGTCCACCCAGCCACCACCATCCAGCTTGGGCTTCTCCACTTTGCTCCCAAGGATTGATGGAGAGTGTGCGAGGACTGGTTAAAGAGATGTATGCTGTGATAGACAGGGCAGGCTAGCAGGGGGATGTGGTGCCTGGCATGTGGCAGGCATCCACTACATTCTGCGGGCTGAGATGGTCAAGGTCATCCCTAGCCTCCTTGCAGGTGATCATTCAGACTTAACTTCCTCCCCACCCAAAAAGTTGCCTCAAAACTGCTCACAAAGTGGGGGCTTTGAGTTTAATTTCTCCTGGAGCCCTCTGGTAGGACACGAATCAGCAGGAAACTGGCTTGCAGGTCTTTGGAAAGAGAAGTAGCCTAAGATTAAGGGCCTAGAAAATCCCCCAGAAAAAAAGAGCATTCCTATAATCAGTGAGGATAAACTAAATGACAGTTTGGGACAACATTTGGTTTCCTTGGTTCATTTAAAACATTGATTCAGAGATTGGGGACTGGCTTTTCCTGACTTAAAAGCAGTGGAGCCCTTTCCCTCTAATGTGGACACATGCTGGTTCCCTCCCTGCCTTAGGGAAGGAGTCGGTCAGGTTGGAGCTAAGAGGGCCCGGGAGGGTCTTTCTTGGTGAAGCAGCATTAGCCATTGGTTGAGACTGAGGCAGACAGGGTTTTAGCTGAAAAGGCTTTTATCGCTTTTTATCTATTGACACTTTTTCAATTAAGGAGTCTCCCCTGAGATGATCTATCGCCTCCCTGTCTGAGCAGGAAATAATTACCAGCAAAGCAGCTCCATCACCTGCCGCATGTTTTCCCATGGCCAGGGAGGCTCAGGAAAATATCAACAGCCTGCCTGCTGCTGGCGGTGCCTATGTGGGCACAGGGCACACGGCCTTTCCAGATGGCCCAGCCCTTTCCTCTGTCTTATCCTCCCCCCCACTTCTTATTCCCTTTGACCAAGGTTTTTATATTATACCCTGTCACCATCAGGGAATCTAGCCACGTCACCTTCTCTCCTGGGCACCTGCTCTTCTGAGGAGCTTGCAGCCTTCTAGGCTGGGTCCATGCCTCCTCTTGTTCCAGGGCCCCCTATACTGCTCATATATTCAGATGCCCAGGGACATGTTCCAGCGGAGGCTACCCAGGATAACATTTCTATCTCACTGAGGTTTTTTTGGAGCCTTCAAAATTCCATGATCTGATATTTTAAAGTAAAAGCTTTAAATATAAATGTCATTGAGGTACAGCACACAGACGGCAAAATGCAAACATTGTGAGTGCACAGCATGAATTCTCACCTCGTGCACACGGCTGTGTCGCCAGCACCCGGGTCAAGACACAGAACGTTACTCACACCTCTCGTGCCCCAACTAGTCACTGCCTCCCTTCCCCAGGAACCACTGCCCTGACTCCTAAATGGCATAGATCCATTTCCCCTCTTGTTGTACTTGATATAAACTCATGAAGTCTATATTTTTGTCTAGATTTCTTGACTCAGAATCATGTTCATGAGATTCATCCATGCCTGTAGTTTTAAAGTTGTTCATGTTCATCGGTGTATAGTATTCCATTGTTCATGTTCATCAGTGTATAGTGTTCCATTGTACAAGTGTGCCACGGTGTTTCTACCCATTCTGTCATTGATGGATATTTTCTGTCTTTTTTTAATGGAGAACATATGCATGTACTTTAATTACCTGTAATGCCTAGGAGTAGAATTGCTGGGTTGTAGGGTGTGTGCCTATGTTTAGCTCAATTATTGCCAGTTTTACAAAGTGGTTTTGCAACTGAGAAGTTTTTTCAATGTAGAAAATGTGAGAACATTTATCTCCTCAGCCCCTGCCGACTTGCCTTTATGAAAGAAAACACAGAGGTGGGGACTTGTGCAAGGTGAGGACTGCTATTTCTTGATTCCTGGCCTAGTTGCCTTTCTATTAGCCTGCAAGGAACCTCTCTTTTGACGGACATGAGAGAAAAGGACACGTCCTCCTCTCTCCCGGGTCACACTTTCCCCCAACCCATTCTATAGCTCATATAATTTTCCACAAAGTGCCTTATTTGAACTTCAAATCTTCAAGGCCAGATGAGCACCACAGACGTGGCCTTTTCTTGTTTATCCAGAGGGTTTGGGGAAGCACAGCTCCCTGACATTCATTGATGGATATCATCTGCAACCGTCTGCTTTCCTTTTGTGCCAACAATCTGGGCACGAGAGAGAGATGAGTGTTTGCTTGAGATTGAATTTATGACAACACGGAACCAGCCTCCATCAGCTAGACTGATGAATGCCTGGGTGAACATGCCACAGTTTGTGTTTTTTCCCCTTCTAGTCGCCACCTTTCTTGATTAGGAAGCTGTGTTGTCAGTGTGCTGACTTATTAGGGAGAAGAATGGGCTCTAGCAGGCCTTTAACCATCACAGTTCTCATTCAGGAAAGAAACGAAGGCAGGTGTTGTACGCCCCGTGCCTCCCACAGAGTCCCGCAAGCTGTGAGTGTCCTCAAACCATCCATCCATCCTCCCTTGAAGGGCTTGGGGGAAGGGGTGTAAAAGGGAAGAAAAAACCCTATTAATTGTACGCACATTAAGTTCTAGGCACTATTTTAGGTGCGTGTGTACAATTTCCGGAGCAAATGAGTGAATGAATGATTAGTTTTAAAATACAATTAAGAGTTTTGCTGGCTTCCCCAGAACAGAAATTTTCTGAGACTTTTCCTAGATCACTTTTAGCAGTAAGAGTGCCCTAAGAATAATGGCTTTTTGGTCAAAGTCTCTTAATGTCACTGAAGCTTGGGAACATGTTCTCATCGGGCAAGAGAACAACAACAGAAAGGAACTGCATTCCAGTTCCTTGTGTATAAAGGTGCTCCTGACCTCTTTGGCCCCAACTCTAAGGGTAAGAATAACCATAAGTTATTGCCAGAGGGCAGCACCTTCATGGACAGAGAGCAGGTGTTTGAGGGTCCCATGCTCCACCCAGGAAGCTGCTGGCTCCACTAAGAGAATGGGCTTTGGGCCTGTTCAGTTTCTACCAATGTGGGGCAGGCCCCCAAAGCTGAACATAGATGGAGACACAGAAGGGCAGAACAGTTAAAAATTTAATTCCACCTTTGCCATCTCTTATCTGTATGGTCTTGAGAAAGTGCCTGTGTTTCTGTGAGACCTTGGTTTCCACATCTGTAAAATGGGGAGAATCATACCTCCCTTATTGGGTTGTTATGAGGATTAAATCAGTCAGTGTATGTAATGTGCAGGGCATGTGGTAAACGTTCAAGAGTGTAGGCTTTTTGTTATTGGAGAAAACATTTGTCAGGTATCTACTGTATGCAGACAGAGGCCAGACATGCCTTCAGGTACCTGCTTCATGCACAGCTGAAGCTGACACATAGTGCTCAGTTAGTTACTTGAGACTTTGCTTTAGCTGACAAGGAAAGCCCTTGGTCATCCTGTATACCGTGCCAGGCTTGGTCTCATGAATAGGTGGAATAGCATGTATATGGTCACTGAGTTTCAGTGGAGACCCCAATGGCCAAAAAGAGAAATCCCACCTTTCTTGTTGATGCCCAAACACCATGAACTCATTAGTTCACCAACAGAAAACTCCCAAGTATCTGCTGAAGTTAGGGCTTGTGCTGGCAGCCTGCGTGACTGTGCGGGTGTGTCCTATGAAGAGCTGATTTGCAGTGGAGACCCATGTGCACAGGCACAAAAAGATGGCCAGGGACCTCGGGGAGAATGCGGACACTACCGGCTGACTGCTGGTGAGACTTGGACTGAATGAGAATACTCATGCCAAGCACCCAGCATAGTGCCTGAAACATAAAAGGAAATTATCTCAGACCTACTAGGATTTTCTTATTAAACAAAACAAAACAGAAAGCAGAAAACAAGTGGTGGCATGGATGTGGACAGATTGGAACCGTTGGGCATTGCTAGTGGGAATATAAAATTGTATCATTTAGAAAAATGGTGTGGTGTTTCCTTAAAAAATTACAAATATAATTCTCATACCATCTAACAATTCCACTTTTGGGTATGCACCCTAAAGAATTGAAAGCAGGGCCTCAAAGAGATATTCGCACACCCATGTTCGTGGTAGCATCACTCACAAAAGCCAAAACGTGAGAGAAACCCAAGTGTCCTTGGACAGATGAATGGATAAGCAAAATGTGAAATGTGATTGCAAGCTTTAAAAAGGAATGAAATTCTGATCCATGCTGCAACATGGATGAACCTCGAGGACATGACGCGAAGAGAAATTAGCCAGTCACAAAAGACAAATTCTGCATGACTCTATTTGTATGAAGTGCCTAGAGTAATGGAATTTATAGAGATGGGAAGCAGGATGACGGTTTTCAGGGGCTGAAGGGAGTGGGGAATGGGGAGCTATTGAAGGAGTACAGAGTTTCAGTTTTGCAAGATGAAAAGCCTTCTGGAGATCAGTTGCAGAGCAATTTGAGTGTATATAACACTCCTGAACCACATACTTATACATGGTTAAGATGGCAAATTTTAATGTATTTTCCCACAATTTTTAAAAATAATTAAAAATTTAAAAACACAAAAGGAACTCAAATGAATACTTGCTGTATCTGAATCCAGATGAACAGAAGAAATCCCTCCAAGCACTGTGGCCCTGCGCAGGCCAGAGGCTCTGGTGGCGATTGGATGTGGGAACACAGTCTGGGTGGAGAGGAGATTTCAGGAGAGAAGAGGAAACGGCGCCATCTCCTTCATTTCATAATCACACTGAAAGCAGCCCTGGGAGAGGTGAGGATGCAGTGGCTTGATCTCATCCTAAGGAATAAATAACTGGCATCACATTTTAATTAGTGGAGAAGCTCCGGGAGCCAGGCCTGAGGAAGTGCGCCTTCTGCCGGTGCTCAGAGGCAGACGGGGAGAGCAGGGGGCGAGCCGAGGGTCCAGGACATTTGAAGGGTGGTGGGTAGGAGTGGTGCTGCGGATGGCTTGGTCTGACCGGCCCAGGGTTTGGAATAGACAGAGTTTTTCTCACTCAGTTGACCTAGTTGACCTTCCCCTCTGAGAAAAATTCGTGAGGCATTTAAAGAATGATCTTTGCGCCCCTTGGCCTGGGCGCTCTCCTTCTGGGGCGGGAACTCACAGGATGAGGGAGATTTTGTTGGAGCTGTGGAGTGTAATTACAGGCCTGACAGGTGGCAAGTCAGAGGGAACATCTTACTCTGCAGCCGCTGAAACAATGATTTTAAGCAAGGCGACAGCGGAGAATTCTCCCTATTGTGCAGGGCAACCCTGTTGAGCCATAAGCCAGCACCACATCCCCAGTAAAATCAATCCCAGTGGTGGAAGGAGGCCTCCATCCGTTGGACCTGGCACCCAGCCCACATTGCTCAAGAGCTGTCTCTGGGCCTGGTATATGCTACGCCCTGTGCTACGCTTCTGTAAGCATATGGCTCCTGCCCTCAAGGGGCGCAGAGTCTAGAGAAGGCTCTGCTAAGGGTCCCAGAAATCAGAGGAGTCAGGCTGAGTGCTGATTCCCAGCTTGGAGGAGTTTACAGATCACCAGACAGGCAGGCGCCACACGGCACCTAGAATAGTGTTGGGCACGGACTAGGTACCAAAGAAAGAGAATGGAGGGAGAGAGGGAAGGAGGGAGATGGCATGGGGATGGAGGATGGGAAATAGGGCAGGGAGACAGAAGGTGGGGGACAGGGAGTGCGGGGCTAGAGGAGCGGGCAGAGAGACAGGGAAGGAGGGAGGGAGGTGGATGGGGAGGGTTGGATAGAAGAGAATGGAGAGAGAGAAGGAGAGGGAGGAGAGCAGGGAAGGAAGGAAGGCAGGCAGGGAGGGAGGCCTACTCCTCTAAATCCTCAGGAAAAGGACTGGGAAGCTCAGAGTTGAGCTCCTTTTCTGACAATAGTGGTGTTTCCAAGGACCAATCTTTACTCTCCAGAGTGGGGCTTGTGAGTCTCTCACCCCAGCTGTTTCCTGGGGCTGTGAAGTTCATCGGCTCCTTTTCCTACCCCATCACCTACCTGTCACCTGTCCTGGGCAGGCAGGGGTCCCCACATATCACTGCACCCTCGTGGGCTCCCCTGCCCTGTCCTGGCAGTGTACATGATGAGCAGCTTACATGATGTGTAGTGTACATGGGGGCGGCGTGCATGGTGGGTGGCCTGTGGGGGCAGCGTGCATGAAGGCGGCATGCATGGGGGTGCCGTGCATGGTGGGCAACATACATGGGGGCAGTGTGCTTGGTAGGCAGCGTACCTGATGGGTGGCGTACATGGGCAGCGTACATGATGGCCAGTGTACACGATGAGCAGCCACCATGCATCAGGAGGAAGAGACCTCGCTCCCACGCCACAGCCCCAGGCCCCAGGCCCCTGACACCCTGGCTCCGAACCCCCAGCAGCCAGCGGGTGGGTTGGATTCCAGGGTCTCCACTCAGGGGCATTGCCGGGTGAGCCTGAGATAAGGGTGTAGCTCTGCTCATTTCTGGAGGTCTCCACACACCCTCCGGGCAGACCTCATCTTCTTCAGACATTTCTTTTACTCTTTGGCTTGCTCTTGCTGTGTATTAAATTTGATCTGGGGTGTCTGCAAATGTTGGTGCTCACGGGGGTGTGCTGGGCCGGGAGAGGATGAGCATTCCTCAAGAAGGGAGACAGCAGAGCACTAGATGGGAAGGGGCTGGACCCTGAAAGAGCCTGCCAGGTATCCCCTTCTAGCAGGAGGGGCCCCCAGACATTTCACTTCATTCCTTAGGTGTGAGTCATGTTCACATTTCAGGGAAAATGCACATCCTTCCCAGAGCTGAGGAAGCCCCATGAGCTATTCTGGTCCTGACACCGGCTCCCACCCTTTAAAGCTCCTGTCCCTGGGGGTTTTGCTGCAGGATGGTCTCTGAAGTCTGCAGCCAAGTATTTCCCTTCCCTTCTTAGAGGGCCACGTCCCTGGCCTCTTCTCCAGCCCCGGGGATTCAGGCCATTGGGTGTGTCCCCTGCCTGAGGATAAGCCACAGTGTTACTGACCTGGGCCCCTGACTCCAAATTGAGCATTAGATTGGGTTTCCAGTGGTTGGTCAGTGCCATGAAAATCTTGGACTTCAGGTCCTGTGGGATCCAGCTACCCTCATCCTAACTCCCTCCTTTGACTTTATTCCAGGCTGACAGAGCAGCCTGCAGTTCCACCCTCTATAGCTGCCTCTTGGCCTTGCTTTTGTTTAATTCCCATGTATTTGTTGAATATGTATGCATATTTTAGCAAAAATAAAAAGTAAGCAGAACCCAAATACCAACACGTCCTAGTCCATCAGGTGGCAGTGTATGTGCTCTCAGTCTGAGAAATATACACAAGTCATTAAATAGCAATTATTGTAATTAGCAGAATGTACACGTGATTAATCACCCTCTGCCCCCGCTCCTCCATTTACCTTGCCTGTGGCATTAGTGGATACCGTAAGGGGCTGGGAGCCAGCTTGTGGTATAGAGGAAGGAGAAGGGGAGGGCTGGTTTCTCTGGGGTTTCTTTTCTCTCTGGGGGTGGATGGTTCTTTCTGTGTTACTCTGGACCCCCTCCAAGGCCACCTCTTCTCTCCTCCCTTTCTCTGTGACCCATCCCAAAACACGGCTTCCCTCAAGAAAAGCTCTCTATTAAATCAGCAGCTTGGAGGTGTGCAGTCTCAGCCAGGCATTCAGGCCAAGGCAGCTAGGGGTAGGAGCAGGAGACAAAAAGGATGAGGTTCCTGGGTGCTTGGAAACCCTCATTCCCTGCACCTATGGCTCGGGGATAGTCACAGGTCCTGGGTGACCTGCCAGACAAGCTAGACCATCTACAACCCTGGGGGGCCCAGAGGAGGGGCTTCCATCACCACACGGATGCTGCAGCAGCAGCTGTGTAAGGCAATGGATGGCTGAGGCTGCAGCCTATAATCACGTATTTACAGTTGCTGCATTATGGAAAATTAAAGGTGTGTGAGGCACAGCCTCTTCAGCCAACAGAGGCTGTCTGCTTGGGCTCAGCTCAGGCAGCCAGTGTCACCTGCAGCTGGAACTGCTTCAAATCCTCCTACCTGTCCAGGGGAGGGGCTTTTTCTGGCTTCCAAGGTGGTCGTTGGGGGGGTGGGGGAAGAGCAGGTGCCTGTACTCACCTTGGCTCCTCCTTTGTTCCTGGGTGGGATGGATTTGTTCTGTTTTCTGTCCACCTGTTAGGGCAACATAGCTTTTGGAGTCCCATTTTGAGCAAGGTGCATTAGCCTGGCTCAGTTCCTTATCTGTAAAATGGGCACTTGTACCCATCTCGTAGGGCTGATGGGATGATTGAATGCAATACTGCTTAGCCTTGTGTTTACATTAATTAGTTTATTAATTCTGGTGGTTTGATAAATATTGAGCACCTACAGTGTGTCAGGATGAATGACTCTAGGCTCTGGGGATAAAGCAGTGGCTGAGATACAGCTTGCATTTAGTGGCATGTGTGAGCATGTGTGTGGGGAGAACAAACAACTAAGCAGGTAAACAAGTGAATAAACAAGGTAATTTCATATAGCACTAGGTGCCATGAAGAAGGTAAAGTCATATGGGCTGGGAGGTGCGGGCTCTGAGAAGGTGACATTTGAGCCGAGACTTGAATGAGGATGAAGTCCTAGCCATGTGAAGATCTGGAGGAGAAGTTGCCAGGCAGAGGGAACAGCTCGTGCAAAGTCCTTGGGGCAGGAATGAATGAAGTCTGTGATTATGTTGTGATGGCAACTGGTTCCTTCCTCGAAGGTAAAGTCTGGATCAAGTTTGCATTAAATCCCAAGGTGACCTGGTGGTATACATCAGAGAATCTTCCACCTGGGAGTGAAGGGCTGAGTTCTTGGGAGGTGTCCCAGATTAGCCTGATCTATCAGAACTAGACGCAGCTGCTGAGGCTCATTATTGTGTTCAATAGCCAAAACTAATTTATTTATAGGGCATTATTAAGAAATCGATTTAATTTGCACTTTGGGTCAATTGAGTTGCTTCACACTTGTGTGTGCACATTGTTTATCTTTACAAGTTATTTTCCGTGCACATGTGCCTGTGTGGGTGATGAACAAGGAGAAGTGCTTGAGAGCCCGGGAAAGGCACATCTGCCTACAAGGTGAATCGGGCTGAATCACAGGGGCACTGGAGCCACCCCCAGATGAAGACATCTATTTTCAATGAATGTAGTAAAGCTTTTCCTAACTTCAGAAGCCAGCAGGTGGACTAAGGGCTGGGAGGGCCCGAGGGCCTGCCCAGCACATTGACTCTGGAGACTACGCATTGTATATTCCTGCCACCGTGGGAGACTCCCAATGGCCACCAGTGGTCATGATGCCCGGGCATGTGTGGCGCTGTACAGTCATGAATCACTTCCATCTGCACGATCTGCAGGCTCAGAACAGCCCTATGAGAAGGCAAGAGAGAAATCATCTTCTCCATTTTACAGATGAAAAATGAGGCTCTGAAACCTTAGTGGACTGTCCAGGCTAGAAACGGGACCCTCCCAAAGTCAGGTGTTCCTCCCCCTTGCCTCCCTCTCTCCCTTCCTTCTGCTCACCCCAAATGCTTTGTTGAGCCCCTTCTTACCATGCCGCGTTGCACGGCAGTTATGCTGTGGCATTGCCACCTGCCAGCTTGCCTGGGCTCGAATTTCAGCTCTATCCCATAGCCTGTTGCATGAGCATCTGTCTCACGAGGTTACCTTGGAAGTTAAGTGGGTGAATACATGGCAGGTACTTAGAGCAGCGCTTGGTCCATAGCAAGCACTCCACAAACGTGAGTGGTTGGGTGATGAAGTGGCCCTCCGCCTGCCTGCTGCACCACGCTGTCCCGACGCTGTCTGTTCTGAAGGTCCTCACCACTCCCCATAGCTGTGGTCCAGCCCTGGTCTCTGAAGTTCTTCTTTCTTGTCCTCTCCATTTACCTGCCTGTTCTCTGTGACGATCCTCAAGCCCTATGCTCTTTCCCCATCTTCTCCCTCCCCGCCTTCCTCCTTCCTTCCCTGTTTCTCCTCTCTTCTTTGCACACACGGGAGACAGCCAGACACGGCTGTAGCTCTTTTTCAGCCGACCTTGCTTCCTCTATCTCAATCTGGTAATTCACAACCCTAAGGAAATTTGAAGTTCTGAAGATGTTCTTTAAGCTCACAATCCAGAAAATAATAATTTTTTAAAAAGTATTTCAGCAGCCTTCACTGGCCACAATGTTGAGGGGCTCTGCTCCCCCTGGAGAGGTCTCTCTAGCCTAGATATGCTGGGGTTCACTGCCTGCAGCTGCACCTTGGCAAAGACCAAGGGAGGAAGTTGGGCCTGTTTGTGGAATAGGAAAATAGTGGCAGAATCTGAGAGGACGGTGAGTGTCGCCATCAGAATAGGATTAGAGTAGACCCACATAGGAGGCGGGATCTTCAGCTGGCCCCACCACACCTACCCCTCACCACCCTGTCCTCCCCTGCAGTGCCCACACACTGAGCTTGCTGCCCTGGACCTGTCCCCTGCGACCCTCAAAAAACCAGACCTGAGGCAGCTTCCATCCCTGCCCAGTGACAGCTCATCCCACAGTTTATCTTCTGCGAGCTCATGCTTCCTGTTCCTGGGTTGTAGCCCAGCACATGACCAGGAGATTTGGGGAAATGGTGCATTAACTTCAGGGTGGGTCTAATGGAGGCTGCGTAGGGCATTGTGGGAGTCCGTGCAGGGAGGAGCTTTTGGTGGGGGAGGGGGTTGGGGCAGGGACCTCTGTCTCTGTCTGGAATCAGAACCTCCCCCTGGTTCCCAGCAGAGCCTAGACGGATGGGGGCGTACAGTGGGGTAGTGGTGGTGAGTGAAGGGCATGGAGAAGATGAAATCTGAGTCCTTCCATTCCAGTTCTCCATCGCAGGAGCCGGGTCTGTTTATCTGGTGAGTCTGGCTCATGTAGTCAGTCTGGACATTTCCATTTGAGAACAAGCCAGTTGGCTCTATATATAACCCAAATGTCCAGAGAATTGTCAATCCTTCCCTTCAAGTCTAAAAATAGGAGAGCAAGTCCCAGTTCTGATGCTTAAAGATGACTCACTCTAGCCACTCTAGCCTCAGTTTCCCTCAAAAGCCCGGGGGATGGGGCTGACACCTCAGGGCTTCCATGGGCCTGGCACAAAACGTGAAACCACCTCACAGGGCCACAGACACTTAGAGGGGCCTGACAAGTGTTCATTTCTCGATTCATTTTGCTTTGGGGAGATTTTGGATTTTTTGTCATCTCATTTCTCTGGACCAAGAAGGGACAAGCCGCGCCCTTGCTGCCCGAATCTCCACCTGGTGGCACCTGAGTTTGTGCCCAGATGACACGCTGGAGTTGTCCTGTTTTTGTCCAAGACCATTGCACACATGCCTGAGGAACACACAGCAGCCCTGGGTCCCGCGCTTGCACTCGGAGCTGCCCGGGCCCCGCCTCCCCAGGAGAAAAGGCTCCCTGAGCTGCACCTGCTGGAGCAGGCATGCTGCCAGGACCCTGATGTTTCAGCTGCTTCTCTGCTCTGTGATTCTGTCTGAAGTAGGAAATAGGGCAGGCTTGCTGGTAGACTCCAGAGGTCATTAAAAATATGCAAAGGAAATAAACAGGCCTCCATCAATCACTTCCTTGGCGGGCTTGCTTGGAAGGGTGGCTGGGGAAGGGCATGCTGGGTCTGGGGCACAGAGCTGGGCCTCTCGGGGGGTTTGCTGTCTGTCTTGCTCTCCATGTGATGAACTCTGTCAGGAAAATGCCATGGAGTACCTACTACGTGCCAGGGACTGCGCTGGATAGCTTTCTGTAAGCTATTTAGTCGTTACTGTTGCCTGGCGAGGAGTGAATTACTGTCCATTTCCACAGATGAGAACACTGAGGCTCAGAGAGGTTAAATGACTGACAAAAGAGGTTAAATCACACAGGTTTAGACCCAGCTCTGGTTTCAAAGCTCTGCCTGGACCTGGGCTCTCTTTCCCAAGGTCTGTGCCAGCCGAGAGCCCTCTGCAGTCCTGTAAAGCGGATGAGTGTGCCGCCCTACCCTGGCTCCCATCTCCTATGCTCTGTGTGTCACCTGCTGTCCGGAGGCACCCACCCTCACTACAGCCCCTCCTGGGCAACCTCTGCCCACCATCCATACTATCTGGTCTCGAGACCCATTTCCTCTGAGCTGCTCTCACATTGGAAAATTATCCAAGAAACTCTCTGATACAGTGAGAATACCTGGTCGGGAAATAGTAGATTAGTTTACTAGGGGAGCACCTTGTTTTCACAGAGGCAACGTGTTTTAACAGAGGACTCCTGGAACCAATCCTAAGAAGTAAATGTCTAATAGTTGAAATTTGTTCTTTTTGGGTACATGGTATATGGTTTATTGGAAGGAATATCGGCTGTAGAGTTACATATCAAATCCCAACCCTCACTTACTCGTTGTGTGAACTTGGACAAATTATGCAAACTCTCTGAGCTCCCACTGTACCATTTGTAATACGGGGATAAGTGAAGTTACGCACACAAAGTGCACAGCACAGAGCCTGGCATTCAGCAGGACCATCAATAAATATGAGTTTCCTTCCTTTCCCTTTGAGGGCAAACAGGTTTTGCTGCTTTCCTTCAAGTCATGTAATAGCCACCAACTTCACTTATGCATCAGCCCAGCCCTGGCCATGTAGACAAGGTGGTGGTGTTCTGTACCTTTCGTGAAGGGACACTCAGGCCACGAGCTCTGCGGACAGCAGGAAGTTTTCCCTAGGCCAGGGAGGAAGAGGGGGACTGAAATAGGACTTCCTTCAGACATCGCCACCAGCCGCTACTGTGTGTGCGAGCTCAACTGGCTTTTCCCAAGGGGCCCTTCATTCCACTCACGGCAAACATCAGCCTGGCCAGCCCCCTGAGGACGGCTGTGAGGAAGGGCACACAAGGGCCTGCAGAAACTCTGGGGGCAGCAGGGGGAGGCAGGACTCACCCACATTTCAGGGGGAGCGTTTTTGTTCTTCATCATCAATTTTTTTCAGAAGGGCTTTTGAGGGGTGGACTAAAGGAGGCAGGGAGAGAAAAAGGAGGATGACGAGGGAGGAGAGAGAGAGCAGAGAAATGGTGCATAAAGGGGGCAGATAGTTAGGAGGATAAAGGTGGACGGTATAAGCTGCCCTTCATTCAGAGGGAACGCGCTGATCTCATGTTCATTAACCATCAGCTGGGAATCTTGTTAAAACTGCACATTTTGAAAACTTAATGCAAATCTTTGAACTTTGATTCAATAAGTCTAAACTAGGGCCCTAGGAATATGCATTTTAACCAGCTCTTCTAGCAATTTGGATGTAGATATTTGGAGACCACACTTTGAGAAGTACAGAACCTTCAGCTGGGCCCTGGAATGGAGATTCTCGAAAGTCCCAGGCTCCTTTCCCTGGTAAAAGCAGATTCTTTATCTCATTAGAGGGGCTGCCACTGCCCTTGGACTACAGGAGCTATTTTCCAGGAATGTAATCAGGCTTGACCCCTGCCTCCTAGCTCTCGCCATGCTGTGTCTCCTAGTAAATACCTGCCTGCAACTCTTGGCATTGTTTTTGGCCTTGAGGGCCCAGCCTGTATTTCACCCTGTTCTCAAGGCCTGGCTGCATTGATCAGCCCACTGGATTTACTGCCTGAAACAAAGCTTAGCGTGATACTTGATCGATCTCTCCTCATTTCATGTCACTCAGAATGGCTCCTGCTGGAAGGTACCTGAGAGACGATCTGGTTCAATTGTCCTTAACCAGGGTAGGCATCAACAACTGCTTGTGAAGCTTTGTAAAAATAGGCAGGGCCAAACTCCAGGAGGCTCCTGATTTGGTGAACATTCTCTCTATAGTGCCATGGCAGATATATCAGTTACCCTCTAGTATTCATTCTTGCCTCCTTCTTCCTCTGCTGGGAATGTGGATGTGATGGCTGCAGCTTTAGTTGCCATCTTGGACCATGAGTAGGAGATGATCAGCTAGTGAGCTGGAAGCATCTGGTGTCCACAGACTGAGTGGAGTAGACTGTTCACCTCGGAGTTTTACATAAGAGAGAAGAAATGAACTTCTATGTTGTTTAATTAACAAAAAAAAAGGAAGCCCAGACCTGCTCCTTGAGATTGAGGTCCTGGATGCTGAATTCCTGTTCTTCTCAATTTTCCGCTAGCTTTGTAAGTTATTTGCAGGTAACTGCTGTACGTATACTTCCTTTGCAGATCTTACGAAATGAAACACACTGCCAGGCATCTACAGTCAAACAACAAACACTTAGCTGACTGAGCAAGTGGTTGATTAGGTTGCCTATCCTCCCCTTTCTACTCAAAGAAAATGGGGTTCATTGGTAGCGTCAGGAATTCTGGGCTTTCTTCCTGATTCTGATTCTGATTTCGTTCTGTGCCTTGGCATTCACTGTGGTCCACGGTAGAATGACAGTCTTTAACCAGACGACCTCCACACTCCATCCATTTCTAACATTCTGACCTAACGGTAGTTCTGAGAGGTGTTCGTGTGGTGTGAGCAGGAACTCGGAATACGTGAACCTGATTGGCTAAGCTTACCTTGTGGTTGGTTGACAAATGACTAGGAAATGGATGGAGTTGAGGGTTGATGCAACAGCGTAATTACAAGGAAGATGGTGAACTTGGAAGGTTGCCTTGCCAAAAGCAAAACGAAAATTCAGTTACCTCATTATAGGTACTCATGAAGGAAGATGGTGTCAGAGGAAAAATCGGCATGACTGGACCTGCTGAGGTGAAATCACTGGGAGGTGAGGTTGTACCTGAAAACTGGACCTCAGTGGAAAACCCTCAGATGGTTCCTCACCTTACTTCCTCCTTCACCTATGGCCTGTTCTCCTGAATATCCAGTTCAAAAGATGAGATCATTTAATTACTCTGTAGGAGAACATATCTTCCAGATGCCCTAGATAGGGGGGCAGTTCTTTGCAGAGGAAGATTTTGATAGAACTTCAGCCAAAAGAGTAGTTTCATTAGATCTGTCAAAGCGGCAAGGCTGCTGGCTCCTTTTCTCCCCGTGCACTGAGAGTAGAGAGGGTGCTGGCTGTAATATCTCTTGCCCCCCAAATGATCCTTGAGCTTTCAAGGTTCACAGAAATTTCCTGGATGCCCCAGTTCTTTCTTCTTAGTACCTGGGTAGCAGAACCTCCCTGGGGATACTCAGCTCCCTTTATTAGAGAGCTTCTGCCCAGTGAGGCTTTGTGCCCAGGTTTAACATAAGTTCCTGGGGTGCTGTGATAGCAGTGAAGTCACTAGGATTCTAGCATTTTTGCCCCCTTCTTTTATTTTAATTTGTCCAAAGGTGTGACTTAGTACTGACCCCAGAATGGGTGTTAGAATGAGCTGAAGCGATGGGTGGATTAGTCAAGTTTAGCTCCAAATGCAGCCCTGATTGTCTGCTTTTGTTCATTCTCCCTAGGAAAGGCATTAAGAACCCCAAAAGTGAACATTAGTGAATTATCACTCTTCAGACCAACTGGAGCAGCTTCAGTATGGAAAACATAGGTGGGCATGGGCTTGATAGATGAGTTTTATGGAAGCTGAGAACTGAATCAATGAATGCCACTTGGTCTGTTCTTGGGCCATTTATTCGC
The DNA here is from genome assembly GCF_000001405.40 of Homo sapiens. Taxonomy (NCBI): domain Eukaryota; kingdom Metazoa; phylum Chordata; class Mammalia; order Primates; family Hominidae; genus Homo; species Homo sapiens. Next base: position 676,828 of record NW_018654718.1, read on the forward strand.
CATCTTGGTGCAATTAGACAAGGATGTCTAGATGGGGGCTTTTACTGTGTCAGCTTCAATTAGCAAGTCATTTTTAGTTGTTGCTAATGCATCTTCTTTATTGTGCCATTGATCAATTGCAACATTCACTTTGACAGTGTGGGTAGACAAGGCCACTCAAGGCAGCCTCCACAGAATGACTAAGGAGCAATGCGGTGTCTCATCTGGGACCAAGTGGAATTTGTCTGTGTAATAATCAGGTGAAATTGAGTACTGCTTGTTGTCACCCTTGTTCTATTTTTACCTCTCGGATTGATTTTTTCAGGATCAATGACAGTATGGGCATTAACAAAATTTGCTGTGGATGCCTCCTGGTTTTGTGATAGATAACTAAAGATAGCACCCTGAATAGCAATGTTGGTATACAATGGCTTCCTGGTCCTGTTGGCCACCTACTGAGTCTACAAACACCGCAGATCGATGCTGCTGGTCTAATGACTGCATTTCAGTCTCCACCCATTTTCTCTACCAGTATCATGTTCTTTTCCTGTATGTAACTTTGGAATGGTTTTGATTAGTGGAATAACAGCATCAACAGTTTCTACCGTTATTACAATTTTTCAAACACATGGAACTCTGTAATGCATTAGCCAGAATTAGGTGCTCTGTCTTGACATTACCTAGCTGTTTGCCCTACTCAAGCCCAAGTGTGGAAACTTGCTCATGAGGAAGAGTCCCTTCACCTGCAGTGTCAGTGCACCACCAGCCAATGCAGTGAGGGCCGATGCCTGTCCCCATCAATGAACATCATTCCTTTGTGCCTCTTGTCAAGCAAGTGCATCCTATTCTGCACATGCCACATGCTCTATCCCGACTTGTCACTTTAGGCTCTTCCAGTCTACCCCCCAAAAATAATAATAATTCTTGATTTTAGCATTTTGGCAAAAGGAACCGTTTTTGCTGCTATAGATGTTGTGTGGTTGTGTGATTATGGGGACATGGTGAAGAGTCCAGTGTGCACTTTATGAAGTTCACATTAGAGGAGAATAAAGTAGGAAAAGGGGAATGACCTAAGACAAAAAACAAGTGGCAGCTGGGCGGCTGTGACTTCACTCTCATAGTCCTTGTAGTGAATAAACTCCCCTAGGAAAGGGCCGTGCTGCAGAATGGCAGCCACTTCTTGTGAAGGCCATGACAGCTGGATTTTGCTCCAGGAGGATTAGAGGTCTGTTGCTGGAACAGTTGAGCCCCAGATGGAATAACGTTAGTTGGTTTACATTTAGGGGCCGTGTTGTTTGAAAATACATATCTTTAAACACTGGAAACCCACTCAGTGTGGTGAAGAAGGCCACAGGAACTAAGAAAGACAAGCTGAACAGCTGTCGGGGTCTCCCCACTCACATGGGGTGGACATATGCTGAGAGAAGGGTGGATGGTACCACACATCCTGTTTGAATTGCATCCTCCCGCCCTCTCACCTTCCCTCCCTCTCCTTATCTCATAGAGGAATTTGCCTACGTAGGTCAATGCCATGGGGCTTGACCTGAGCATGAGATGCCGGGGAAGACCTGCGTTCTCGTAGGAAATGTATCGGTGTGGGAGGCCTGGGGTACGTGAGCTTGGAGGATCACCTCATATTGCTAAGCCTCATTTTCCCATCTGAGAAATAAACAAGTTAACATTAAAAACAAGATAATTTGAAAAAGAATAATAACTAAGATTTATTGAGTTCCTCCATGTGCTAAGCACTATTTTAAGCATTTAAGTGTTTTGACTCCTTTAATACTCATGATATCCTGCAAGGTAGGTGCACTGATTAGCCCCATTTTACAGGTGGGAAAGCTGGCGACTTGATTTGAATCCAGGCAGCCTGGCTTCAGTCCAGAGGCCAAGTGCTTAGCCAGGATGCTATTTTTCCAATGTCCTAAATTATGTGGGACTAGGAGAGAAAAACAGTTTTACCCTGCAACCTTTATAAAGCCCACTTGGCCAGATGGAGATACAAAAAGCAATTTCTAAAAACAACAATGATAAATCAGTGATGAAGGGAAGGATTATATAATAAATGGTGCTAGGACAATTGGTTAGCTGCTTGGAAAAAATATCAAAGCGATTTGGATCCTCATCTCATACAGTTTGCCACAATATATTCCAAGTTGATTAAATAGATTAATGGAAAAAGAAGAAGAAAATAGAGTATCAAATGTCTGACTGGGGGAGGACTTTAATAGCTCAAAACAGTGAAAGAAATTACAAAAATTGGGGATAGTTACAACTTTAAAAAACTGGAAGTCTCTGCATCAGGAATAAAAGAGCAAACAATAAATTTGGGAAAGTACTTACCACGAATGTAGTATTTTTCCTTAATATCCATATTTAAATATGTATCTAAAGAAATGCGAAGACTCTGATAGACAGGTGTGCAAAGGAGCCGTATGATACCCTAATAACATTTGGAAGTGTTCAACCTCAGCAATAATTTAAAAAATTCTAATTTAAAAAGAAATACCATGTTAATATGATTATATTTATTCATCTATATCATATGTACATGTATGGATGTATATATAATATGGATTATGTACATACACACATATGTACATATCCCAACTCGAGAGCTGCTGAAAGGACTTAGAAATAATGACACCCCTAGAGCAATATGTGAGTCTAGCATCTAGATTTTGGTTTCTAATATTGTGCTTTACTGAAAGGAATCAAAGGCAAAGTCAGCACAAGAGAGCTTCTTGCTACATCTGGTGCCAGAAAGTCATGCTCTCAGAAGGACGAGGTCGTGTCAAAGGACACAGAAGTCCCATCCAAGAGCTTCCTACTGCCTAAATCCCGGATAATTAGAGCATCAAAAGAGAGGAGACATTAACAGCTTAAATAAGAATCCATGAGTCTATACCGACATACGGAAGTTAGTGAATAAACGGGGCAGAATGAGGAAAACTTTTCCTTAGGACATAATGCCAACTAACAAATGTGGACACGCCACCCAATGTGATATCCCAAGATGGACCCAACATCACTTCCGTGGTGCTCCTGCCCAAAATGCGTGATTCTGAGCTAATCAGGAGGAAATATTAGACAAACCCAAATTGAGGGACATGCTACAAATATCCTGGCTTGTTCTTTTTAAAAAGGTCATGGTCATGGAAGACAGAGGGATGGAGAGAACTGTTTTAGATTAAAGGAACTAAAGATTAAAGGAACTAAAGAAATATGACAATTAAGTGTAATGCATGACTTAGGTTGAATCCTGAACTCCCTTTTATTAAATTTTTTTTGGTATAAAGGGCATGGGGTGAAATTTAAGGCCTACAGATTAGTTACAGTACTGTGTCCATGTTAAATTTCTTATTTTGCTCATCACAGTATATGAAAATGTCTTTGTTTCTATAAAATACATGCTGAAGTATTTAGGCATAAAGGACATCCTGTTTGGAACTTAGTCTCAGATGATTCCAAAAAAATATATGTGTGTTTATGTATGTGTATGTATGTTACATATGTATATTTCTGCCTACATACCTATCTATTGAGGAATAATAAAGCAAATATGACAAAAATGTTAGCAATTGGACCATCTAGGGGAAGCATCTATGTGAGTGTCTTTCTCTGTTCTTGCAACTTTTCTCTAAGTTTGAAATTATTTCAAAATAAAAAGATAAAAAGAAAAAGGCAAGTGCCCTATTTTGCTTGTTGATGAATAAGGACAAGCCATTGAAGGAGAGGATGTGAGTGTGTAGCAGGAACTCCTAAACCCTAGCCACAGGAAAGACTTGGCCAGACTTTTCTGGAATGTAACTTGGCAATTTGTATTAAGAATCTTAAAAATATCCATAACTTTTAGCCCCATTTCTGCTCAAATAAAATAAACAAAAATGCAAAGACGTATGCACAAGTATCTTATGACAGTGTGACTTCCAACAGTAAAATATTGGAGACAATTTAAATATTTAACAATGGGGGCCTGGTGTAGCCCTACCATGGAATAGGATGTGCCCATTTAATGATGTCTCTGAAGAGTTTTTAACAGCATGACAGCATGCTTACCTTATCATGTCCTGTGAAATACCAGAATAAAATGTACATGCAGTAGAATCTCAATTACATCCAAAATACGCATTATAAATCTGGAAGAAAGTAAGCCAAAATGTGGAGTATACTTGGTAGCATTTCTCCCTACTTTTTAATATTTTTTTAGTAATATCACATTTTTTATCATAAGGAAGTATCCTAAAGGCAGAAAACAACAAATAAAGTAGCAATGAAGTTCTGAGTCTTTCTGTGACTGTGTGACGACAGTGTCTGAACAGTTATCCCTCCGGCAGTGACGAGCAGCCCCTTGGACATGTTCCAGTCCCAGTTCTTCAGACTTCAGAAAGTGGGGAAGACTCCGTGGGGGAAGAGGAGGGGTTGCTGATGTCATGGTGACAACGTGGAGTGTGGCACACCTACAGGTCTTGATGGGCTGTGTGCTGGGCACTCCGGAATCTCATTTAATCCCCCTAGTGGATAAGGAACACTAAGTATTGGAGAGACAGAATGATTTACCCAAGGCCAGTGTGTAGTAAGAGGTGCGGCTGGAATTCCAGGTGAGATTGGGAGACTCCAAAACCTGTGCTCTTAATTCCAGCCCTGCCTGGCCTCCTGGATCATGCCCATGGTGGGTGAACTGGGGGCGCTGGCCCCCACGCTGCCATCCTGACTTGTCAGCCTGTTTGCTTCCTCCTCTCTGTTGTGATTTCCTCAAGCTTGTTATTAAATAACAAGCATCCTTCCTGCGTTTTCTCCTGGAATTCTCATCCCACAGTGGCCTAAGGGGAAGGCAAACTGTATGCCTGTGCATAGGAAGCATGACCGCGCCATCCAGCCTCCTTCCAGTAGCAGTGGATGCAGCCTTGTTAGGGTGATTCTGACCCCTTGTTCTCCGTCACCTCACAAGGCGTAACGACAGGGGACAGCTGCAGAGAGAGATGGAGGTTGGCATTCAGAAGCCTTTCTGACAGCAAGAGTGAATCAACACAAAATGAATCACACAAAGACACCATTCACTGTCTCCCCAGAGAGCCTGGAGAAGAAATGCCTGCCATTTGTGTAGCTCTTTTTGATGTTCAAAGCTCTGTGGCACACAGCCCTCCTTAGGGTCTCACAAGAACTCCCTAAGAAAGACAAGACAGGAATTACTTCCCTTAGGAAAGGAAACTGAGGCTCAGGGAAATCAAGTTACTTGCCTCCCGTCATTGGTGACTAGGTCAGTCTTCTAACTTCCTCTTTATCCCTTCTTACTCCTTCTGCAAACAGTACGATGCTGGGCAGAGTGGAAGATCCCTTATTGTCTCACCCTGGGGCAAGGAGATGGGCTAGATCATTCCTAATGCTGCTTCCTGCCTCAGAAGATGAATTTGCCTACAAGAGGTGGGCCCTCCATGCTTATAAATCCTTCTCCTTCAGGTTACCCCCACCTAGTGAAAAAGATTTACACAAGGCAGAAAGTGGGTGGAAGCCATTTGGCCACTCATGATGTCTTATTCTAGAGGAGGCCCCCTGAAGTGAAGGTGCCACAGCATTACTGCAGTTCAGCAGACATTTACCAGCATATGCCAGTCACTCTACTGGAACTGAGGAGAGAGAAAGCCAGGGAAAAGGTTGCCATGGGTTGAGTCAAAAGAACTCATTCTAGGCTCAAAAGGACAGGAGCGCTGGTTCATTAGGATGCTCAACTTCCAACTAGCAGACTGGGCACATGTCCTAGAGAGGAATTGTGCTGTAGTGAGGCGAAGTGGGCTTGGATGTCTGGCAAGTCATGGTTCAGATACTGACTCCAGCCAGGCACGGTGGTTCACGCCCATAGTCCCAGTGACTCAGGATGCCAAGACAGTAGGATTTCTTGAGGCCAGGACTTTGAGACCGGCCTGGACTACATAGTGAGGCCCCGTTTCTACAAAATAATATTTTTTTCAATGTTGACTTTATTTCTTAGCTGTGTGACTTCCAGCAAATTCTTTAACTTCATTGAAACTCAGTTTTTTCAGCTATAAAATTAAGAGAATAAATAAACTGTCCCATTGTATGATGCAAGGATTAAATGAGATGACAGCAACTAAAGGCCTGCCACCATCAACTCTTGGCAATTTATTTCCCTCCTAAATTAGATAGAAATGTCATGGTTTGGGGTTTCCATTGTGTGTTCAAGAAAGATAAGACCGTAACGCCTTTCTTAAATGTCTAAGCTTCATTATCAGAGCTTCTTGCACGTTCTCTTTAAGCTTTTCCCCCATAGACCTATCCAATGGCCCCAGGCTGAGGCACCCATTCCAGGGACTCCCACGCCTGCTTCCAAGCTAGCAGTGGCCTCTCATGAGCCTCAACCCTATTCTGAGATGCTCTGGGTTTGGAGGTTCTAGTATCTCAGCCACACATAGTGCCATTTTACCTTGTCCCAGCTGGCCAAAGTGTGACTGTGATCCCCTGTCTTCCCCCTCACTCACCCGGCAGCCTCATCTTGGCTGCTGGCGATTTTAGGCTGGGTTCCACAAGTGGCCCCAGTGATTTATGATCCATAACTCAGTGGTCTCTTCCGCCATGCCTGCAGGCTCCCACCTTCCGGAAGTCACTGGAATTTAAAACACCATGAAAACAAACATCTGTGATTTACGATGTCAAGAGCCATTTCCTTCCTCTTGAGACAATCTCCAGGGTGATTTTCTTTAGGTCATCTGCTCTGTAGAGCATATTAGTTAAAAAAAAAAAACCTTAAACATAATGTAGAAAGATGTGCAGGTATGGAAGACAGAATGGCAGCACCTTTCCACGGGTGGCAGCCATCAGACAGAGCAGGACATGCACAGCGTGGCTCCCTCCTGTCCCTGGAAGGCAGGTCTGCTCTGTTCTCTTCTTTCACATGTGTCTACTCCCAGCCTTTCCAGGTGCAGGACAGGGCAAGCATCAGAAACACTGGGTGAGGGACCGGCCCTCCCTTTGAGTGCTTCCTCCCTGCACATCTGAGTCCCATCTGTAGACCCAGAGTGAGGACATCTGCCCAACCTCCCTGCAGGCTGTTGTGAGGTCAGCAGAGGCCCAGAAGCCATGGTAACTTCTATAGGAGAGACGCAGGATGAAGAAAGTTGTTGTGACTTTTGCCCAGAATTGTCAAGAATACTTCAAGTGGTATAGATGTTTTTCCCAAAAAAAAGTAAGGCTGAAAAAAATCAAGGCTGATCCTAAGGCTGTTCAAGTACAAACAGTTTGCAAGTAATGGAAAAAGCTATAAAATTTTAATATAGGGAGACCTCAAAGCCTTGAAAGGAAATATAAAACAACTCCAAAAAAAAAAAAAAAAAACAAACCCTAAGCATCCTCTTTGTTCCTCAGTGAAAATTTCCTTACTATTTTAAGCCACATTGATTCCCAAGAGAGAAACTGGCAAAGCATGGATGGAGAAGCTTCATTTCCCTACCACTGCTGTGAAAATACCCTATGCTAATTTAAGGATATAGAATTTTCTAATAAAAACAACCAGAGTGCACTAGGCACGATTATTCCAACCTATCTTTCTATTGTATTGGTCCATCTACTTTGCCGATTTCCAAAGGAATTAGAGACGGCTTTATTACATTTAAGATAATATGAAAGAAGACAAGTATAGCCCCTCTTTGATTTTTATGTTACACATTGGGCAGTAGGTTTTTAAAGAGCCGTGTTTGACTCTGTCCTATTTTGGGGCCCAGGTACATGATTCCTATTTTTAGCAACTCTCTGGTATTGTGAATCTGAGATTTCAACCACCAGTGAGTCAGAAGGTCTGGCTGCCCAGAGATATGTGACTCAGACAGGCAGGAATAGTCTGTTCACCATGAGATGAGGGCTTAAAGGGGAGCTTTTGTGCTTAGTGAAACACGCAAATGAAAACAACCGTTTAAATAGGAACCTATTGCCCTTCCGGAAGGCTCTTTGCCTGTCCCCGAAAATTCTCAGCTCACACCCAGGGAAGAGCTGGTGCTGCTAGCTGGGAAATGAGGCCAACCCCCTGGCTACTTCCTCCTCTTTAGGGGCCCTCTAAGGCATCTGGGCGGAGGTTTCTGGGTGGCTTCAGCCTTCAGAATTAACACAACAGCCTCCTGATGGGCAGCAGTGGTGGGAGAAAGGAGCGAGTGGAGTGCCATGTCGGGCAGGGTTGGGACACAGGATGAGATACTACTCTTTTAAGAGTAAGACACCGCAAGAAAAGGTGGCTTCCCCTGGAAAGGTGGGAAGCAACAGATTGGTGTTTTCTTGATTAGAAATGCTATGGAATTCATTCATCCATTCACCATCCATCCATCCATCCAAACAACCAATGCATATGGGAAGCTGGCTACGTCCTCGGTCCTTTGCTAGGTACTAGGGGACTGGTTTCCATCCTCGAGAAGCCCACAGGCTTGTGGGAGGAAGATAAGCAGGTAGAGAGGCAGCCTGGCTGCAATGCCCTTCCAAGACCAAGGTTTTGGGATTCCAAGTTTCTGAGGTGTTCTGCATGGTCAGTAGTCCCTGAGAGGCCCTTCCCCTGTAGAACTGAGTGAGCATTCAGGGTAAACCTGGCTAAACACAGACTAGCCAGGACCATTGTTTCTGGCCGTATGAACACCCTCCTTTTCCTTTCCTCCAGACTTAGACTCCTTTTGGAGCCAAGCACCCCAAGACTGTAGGCCTTCTCTGGGCGTGAGCCTGAGGGTCACAGTGCTCACCAGCCCTCCAGCCTCGCCACAGTGAAGATGCTTATCATGGAGGCTGGGATAGTTGTGTTTTTCGCTGGTGTTTAGATGTTCCAGTGTTCCATGAAAGCTCCTGAATCTCTTCCCTAAATAACAAAGTCCTGTTTGGTATTTGGTGAAATGTTTGGAGTGCCGTGTTCAACCAAGCTGAACTAAGCTGCTGACAAAATACTGTCTCAGCCCTTTAATAATAATAGCTAACATTTGTATAGCACTCTACAGTTTAACAAAGCACTTTAAATGCACCCAGCCCCTTTGAGATGCGAGGGCAGAGTTATCATGTGCGTTTCACTCAGGAAAAGTGGGCTGCCCAGAGGAACTGAGTAACACCCTCCAGGACCCACCACTGGGGAGGCCAGAAGCTGGCCCTCCTGAACCAGGCACTTTGCCCTTGGCCACCTTCTCTGAAGCCTGTGGTGACCACGCCTCCTCCTCTGACTTCAGGTTTGGTCTTTGCCTCTGGTCTCAGCCCCCTGTAGTATCCCACAGGCAGCCCCCAGGCAGATCTCCTTAATTGTCCCCTTTCTCTGCTTCAGCACCTGGAATGACTGTCCCAGGATTAAGTCCACACTTCCAGCCTGGAATCCCCTCTCTGCACAGCCTGGTCCTATCCCAGGACCCTACACTCCCCCTCACTACCCCCAGCATGCCTTTCCTACAGCCAGGCAGGACTTGGCAGGAGCATGCCACGCCAACTTTAGACCCCAGTGCTGGCTACATGGGGGGAGGAGAGGGCAACTCGTTTTTTAACTATTGACCCCTCCTTGATGTCTGGCAAGGGGCTAATTAGCAGCAAACGTCTTCTGAATCAGTAAGTCAGAGAATCGGTAAATGAAGAAAACGGACATCTGTATAGGCATAATAGCATCCCCATGCAGTCCATAGCAAGAAGAGACCCCAGGGTGGGCGCCTTGTGCACAAGGGTCTGTCTGAGATAGATGCCAAGGCCAATGGACACATGCCGTCCACAGGTCCTGGCTGTGTGGCTCAGGATGCACTGGAGCCAAAAGTGGCTGCATACCAGAAATGTCCCCCCACCCCCACCCCCATGAAGCTGATACAGCTGGAACCATGGTCCCCCTCCCTCCAGTCAGTGACACTGACCACCGGTGGCTCATCTCAGCTGTTCTTTTGGCAGATGCCATTCTTTTGCTCCCCAGAGACTGGGTGATGTCTGAGAGATAGGGTTAGGGTTGGCAAGGTTGGTGTGAAGTGGGTAACTTTGGAGCAGCGAGCGACCCGGTATGCCTGTGCATCCAGGACACAGGGCCCAGGAAGCATGAGAATAGCAGGAGCCTTGGAGGAGGTGCCCTTGGGGGTGGAATAGGGCTCTTGAGGGCTTATCCTAGGCCCAAGGAAATGAAGGGAACTTCTTTCCTTCTTGTCCCTTTCCCCCAACACACCCCCAAGTTGAGCTAGCATACCCATCATGCTAAACAGGTTTAACAGGTTTTATGATCCAATCTGATTATCTTATTATGAGTTACAGATTGTTTTATAGGAAAAATGCTTCCCCCCATATCAATAATAGCTTCTCTTTTAATTTAGAGAATAATTTCAAAATTATAATTACACAAGTACAGTCACGAATTGCTTAACAATGGGGATACATTCTAAGAAATGCGTTGTTAGGTGATTTCATCATATGTGAACATCATAGAGTGAATATACACAAACCTGGATGGTTGAGCCTGCTGCACACCTAGGCTATATGGCGTAGCCCATCGTTCCTTGGATTCCGTACAGCATGCCACTGTACTTCAGTACTGTAAGCAATTGTAATACAATGCTAAACATATCTAAACATAGAAAAGGTACAAAGTACAGTATAAAAGATTAAGAAAGTGGTTTGCCTGTGTAGGTCATTTACCATGAATGGAGCTTGCAGGACTGGAAGTTGCTCTGTGTGAGTCATGAGTGAGTGGACATGACTGCACACTACTGTGGACTTTATTAACAGTGGACTTAGGCTACACTAAATTTATAAAAAATATGTTTCTTCCTGCAATAATACGTTAACCTTAGCTTGCTATAACTTTTTTGCTTTATAAACTTTAATTTTTAACTTGATGACTCTTATAATAACATGTAGCTTAAAACACAAACACACAGCTGTACAAAAATACTCTCTTTATATCCTTTTTTCTATGTGATGTATTCTATTAAAAATTATTTTATTTTATTTTTTGCTTTGTAAATTTTTTGTTAAGAAGTAAGACACGCGCACATAGTAACCTAGACCTACGCAGGTCATCAAGATGTCATGAGGTGATAGGAATTTTTCAGCCTCATTATAACCTTATGAGACCACCATTGTGTATGTGGCCTGTTGTTGACTGCAGTGTTATGCAGCACGTGACTGTCGTACATAGTCATTATCAAAAAATTAAGGGCAGATTTTTAAAGAGCAAAGAAGTTCATTCAAAATCTCAGACCAAAGGGATACTACTCTCTTTTATGTGTATATCCTTCCAGTCTTTACCATGCAAATATGGAAATATATTTTTTTAAAAAAGAATCCTACTACACATATTACTATGTACTTTGGTTTTTAAAAACTATATGTAATGACTGTCCTTTTGTGGCATTAAATATGAATCTGCAGTATAATGTGGAATCCTGTGAAGGTGTCCTGGTGTTCATAATTCATCTGCTGTTTGGTGAGCACGAAGCTGTTTTCACAGTTTCAGCAGCACAGTGAAGAATAACTTTATTCTTCTATATACAACTTTATAATGTACATAATAACATATATATGTAAAATAAATAACTGTATTCTATATATACCCCTTTTTGCAGATGTATTCTAACAGAAGGATTTATAGGTGAAAAGTTATGTTTTTTGCTTTATTTTGCCAAAAGGCACTTAAGAAAGCCTGTCCAAATCTGGATTCTCAGCAGCAGAATATGAAAGTTTCTGACTCCTCACACCCATGCCAACAGGCTGAGCATTATCTTTATTAATCTGAAAGGAAGAAAACAAGTGAATGGGACATAGCATTGGGAAAATGCTTTCTGAACCCACAATTACTCTTCTAAAACACAACCCAAGTGCCACCTGTACAACCTCTAACAAAACATGGCTGAACCCAAGCTGGGGCATTCTTATTTCTACCTGTAGTTAAGATAAAATTCTGATCAACAGAGGGATCCGGAGGGTCCCTGGAAATGTATTGAGAGGAGATTGATTTGATCCATAGCTGAAGTTTCCTTGAAAAAAGACACTGGCTGGGTGTGGTGGCTCACGCCTGTAATCCCAGCACTTTGGGAGGCCGAGGCTGGCAGATCACGAGGTCAGGAGATCGAGACCATCCTGGTTAACACGGTGAAACCCCATCTCTCTAAAAATACAAAAAAATTAGCCGGGCGTGGTGGCGGGCGCCTGTAGTCCCAGCTACTCAGGAGACTGAGGCAGGAGAATGGCGTGAAGCTGGGAGGCAGAGCTTGCAGTGAGCCGAGATTGTGCCACTGCACCCCAGCCTGGGCGACAGAGTGAGACTCCGTCTCAAAAAAGAAAAAAAAAAGACTTGGCCTTTTAATGAAATACAGCGATACGGCAGTAGGCACCTTCAACACTCCCTAGGGGGAGTGGACATGAACGTTTTTGCATGTAAGACTTGGTCGAAAGCCCTGGTCCAGGCCTGGATGTGCCACTTGTTACCCTTGTCACCTGGACAGGCCTCTTCCTGTTTTCACCTGCGGTGGCTTGGGGCAGTGAGGGGAGTGCTGGGGCACTGGTCACACAGATCCTGGTTCCTCCCTGCATCCTGGCTGTGTGACTGGCAGGCGATCTGCAGAAAGATTGTGTCTCTGACCCCTGGGATAGCGTGAGGATTAGAGCACATGGTGCGAGCTTGGCACTTGGTCATTGTTTTCCTTTGGCTCTTTCCCTTTTTCATCTGTTCCAGCGAGGGATTAAACTATCTGATGTCTAAGAACCCCATGAGATCCAATTTCCTGAGGATTCCAAGGCAGCCCAGGTGAGGCCCTGCTCTTCTAAGTATGAAGTTCAGAGTCGCTGTGGAATCCCCACTCTGGGAGGCAGTGCTGTGCGGGCCCTGCGTTTCACACAGGTAGCCACAGGCCCCTGTGCACACCTGAGAGGCAGCCTCCCGCGGAGCCCTGCTGGACTGTGACGTTATCCACATGCCTTAGCAGATGTCTGTCATTGTCTTCTTGCCTTTGTGGGTTTGTCCTCTGTTTAGAAAAATGAATTTCCTGAGGGCAAGACCAGGTTCATCATCTCCTCTGACTTTTGCCTGCCCTCAAATAAGTCTGGAACTAGTACGAGCACGTGTGACGGACCCTCATTCAGGGGTAACTGACTGGTTGATAAGGAGTTTGACTGGCAAGGAAGTGATTTCAATGGGTCAGCCTCTCTGGCCCTGGCTGTGATGATCTGTTTACCGCAGCTTAACCTTAGTGGATTTCAGCCCATCGGCACAACCCACATAGCCCCATTCAGCTCATGGCTGCATTTAAGGCCCACTGATAGCCTCGGATTTGGGGAGTGTTAACCCCATGCTGCTTGGGTATGCTTCGACCCAACCTCACGGGTTAAAATCATGATGGTGAGGTATTACAGGGCCCAGTCATTTGTTAGGAAATAAAACCAGACTGTTTCCAAAGAGTAGAGAAATAGGATGACTCATGAAGTATTAACCACTTAAAAACCCTCCTTAGGCATGTCTTCCCTTGGCTCCCTTGAGCGGTGTCACCCGACAGATTGCAGTATGATTGTCATTGCTGTGTTGAAGTTACCCACCCTGAACTCATGCTGGGTATCCTCAGTCAGGGCATCGTTCTGTTTGTTTCTACTTTGTGCACATAACTGGTACCTTTTCTTTTCCCTGCCCTGTCTCGTCACTTATAATATAAAGGGAGTTAATCCAGCCACTTGTATATCCTGAGTCCTTTTTGTGTATCCAGCACTTTGTAAATTTACTATAGGCATTCATTCATCCTCTTCCTCATTCAATCCACAAATATTGAATATCCACAACTGGCAGGATAACAGCCAGTTGCTTTGAACAAAGAGTTTCTTTCTAAGCCCATGAATGTGACTATGCCTAGCACAGTGCCTGGCACACTGAGGTGCCCAGTGCATTTATAAAAAGCAACTCTCAGGGTTCTTGACGGAGCTGTGTCATACTGAAGCCCCCTGGCCTAGATAGATTCGCCTGGATGAAACACTTCCCTGCCTTCTTAAACAGAATGCATTGAATTTACTTTCATCTTTTCCTGATGCCTCCAAGCCATCATTTTGAACATCAGTGCTGCAGTAGGATGATGTGTTGCTTCTGTTTTATTGAGGTATACCAGTTCTTTGCCCTTAACGTTAAATCAGCCTGAGTGTTGTCTTTGTGAGCCCTTGTGTTTGATTTCTGTAGTTTGCCTCCTTCCCAGCAGTGAAACTGAGGATGCTTATTTTTTATTCCATCAGTGAATCTTTGTGATAACAAGCATCTTACATTTATTTAGCAGTTTTCATGTGCATTATTTTATTTAAGCCTTATATCAGCTCTGCAAGGCAGATAGGATCATTTCCAATTTGCTGATTAAAAGAGAAAAAACAAACAAGCAAGCAACAGACTGAAGCTTTCAAGAGCTCAGCAACCTGCCAAAGATACATGGCTAGAAGGAAGACACTGGGATTCAGGACTGGGTGTCCTGATTCTAGGCTGGGACTCTTTCTGTGCCAACATCCTTCTTCCCTTTAGCAACTCCCAACCTTCTTTCTAGTTTGGTACTGGTAATCTGCCACAAAGCTTGTTAAAATTGGGCGCAAAATGACCAGGTGAAGGTTTAAGAGTCTCTCCTTTGGAGACAGTGTTTGAGATTTAGTGCCTGGGTTTTGTGGCCTCTCTCTATTTGGCTGTTCACAACCTTTTTCTTCTCTCTGTCTGAAGTGTAAGCAAGGAGGAAGGGTAACAGATCGAATTGCCAGATTTAACAAAAAACAAAACAAAGAAACAACAGAACAAAACCAAACACAAGATGCCCAGCTGGATTTGAATTTCAGATAGACAACAAATAATTTTTTGTAAGTATATCCTAACTGTTACATGGAGCATACTTATACTGAAAAAAAAATTATTTGTTGTTTATCTGAAATTCAAATCTAGCTGGGTGTCCTGTATTTTATCTGTAGCCCTAATACCAGGACTGTGGCTGGGTGGGCAGTGTCTGATCTGTAATGACAGCAGAGTCTTCAGTAAGAGTGGGGGCTGGGAAAATAAATTAATGGGTTGCAGAATGTATAGTGTTAATTAGATAATGCTTCCTGGAAAAGACGGATCTTGAGCTATTATTTACAGGGCAGTAGGGAAATGATGTGGCCGCTAGCTGCAGAAAGAGCAACTCATATGAAAAAGAATGGCAGACCGGAGAGGCCAAGGCTCAGAGACACATGCACACACCAAATAAGGGTCTGTTTACTTTGACTGTAAAAGTGTATTACTTTTTGACTGCAACAATGTTTCATCTCCTGCCTAACATAATGACCAGTTTGGTTCCTGTCCTGGAAATAGAGAAAACGGTGCCACCTTCCCCACACACTTGAGTTGATCTGACATTGATAGTTTGAAAACTTTGGTTCCCCCAGGCAGTAAATTTAAGGAGCAACCCTGTCTTGAAAACGGAATTAGGTTACCAAAGACTTCCGGCAGTTGAGAATTTCTTGAAATCCAGAATATCATATTTTCCCAATAATGCCTTCTTGCGATCTCACACATCATGCTTTTAAGGCCGATTGCTACTACTGTTAGGAAATTTACCTGTGATGGTCTCAGGTAATAGAAGTTGTGGATAAGTTGAAAATTGCCAGCCTGTTAAATGGAATGATGTAGCAAAGAAAGGGCATTCTTTTTGAACACTTCCTCCAGGTGTGTGAGCGTTTCACACTCTGCATTTTCACAGTATCTTTGTGAAGGTAGCTCTGGGTTCTCTTGCACCCTGGAGAGGTAGGAACATGCCTAGTGCCCTCCTGTGAGTCTGTCCCCTCTCTTCTCTTATTAGGGGCATTTGCATTACAAATCCACAGACCAAGCAACTCTTTTTAAAACATTTATGTTCAACTGCTTTTTTGAGTGCTTATCATTCCAGAGAATGTGAAGATACATGGCCCAAAACCTCCTCCCTCAATAGTGTCTTGAGTGCGGAGTCTGTGGGCTGTCCTGGGATGGGCCCTCACCTTGCTTTATTCCCACAGCACACCTCACTCCCAGATGAGGATGTGCGCCTATGTGTGTCCCTGTGTGTGTGGAGGCTGAGACTGCAGGCACTTGCCCAATGCCCCATGTAGCACCACTGAGATTCAAGCTCATGTTTTTTTATTTGAATGTCATACTTTCTACTTGCCAGGTTACTCCATCAAAACAGTGATAACAAACCAGGACAGGGCAGATGGTGCATAGTGGTGGCAGAATTGGACAGATTTAACTGTTTCTTTAAGAAATATTTACTTTCTTGAGCATTTACTGCTGCCCTAAGAGACTAGCTTTGGGGTTTTCCTAGCTTCGCAGAAGTGTGGACGTTGATTCCAGCTTTTCCCAAACATTTTTGGCCTTGAAATGAAGCTGGGAACCATACTAGATCAAGCTCTCTGGCCGTGAGCCCCATGTCTGTGGGTTTGAATGATCTAGAGAGGAACTGCATGCTCAATCAGAACCAGCAGGAAGCTGAGCAGGGTTAGAAGGCTCAGTCCCTCTGAGAGTAGGAAGAGGGCATACCTCAGGAGCTTGCCAAGTGCGCAGAGGTGAAAGGGAATGTGAGAGAGTCTATGGGGCAGGGGTGACATTTGAACAGGGAAGGATGCTGTGGCATAGATATCAAGGCTCGAACAGGCAGCTCCCCCTGTACGCCAGGCATTAACTGGATTGGTAGCTGGATTGCGAAGAGGTCCAGGAGCCCTGGAAGGAGGGCCACAAGGTGGAAGATTCTCGGTGAGCATAGGGCAGTGGCCACTAACCAACTGGTTCCAAAGTGTTTTAATGATGTAAGTGCTTAGTTAAATATTAAATGCTTTATTACACATACTAACTCAGTAACTTTTACAAATAACCCGGAAGTTAGATTTTGTTAATATCTCCATTTCACAAATGTTGAAACTGAGGCACTGAGTGATTAAGAAACTTCTCTAAAATTGTAGCTAGAAAGTGGCACGGCTGGACTGGAACCATCTGTTTAACTTTGAAGGCTGTGCTCTTAATTACAAGGTGACTTTTGTCTCCTTATGCAAATCGCCTGTTACTGTCTCTGCAGGTTGATCTAGGCTGGCCACTAGAAATAGTTCACTTCAAAATGATGACATGGAGGTGACTGAATGGGGTGGGTCATATGGTACAGCCGTGATCATCTGTCCCTGAGGTCCTAAAATGGAGTATGGTGAGATGTTTATGCTTTTGAACCTTCATGAACTTTTCCGCTCTTCCTTGGGCCAAATTCCAAGGTCCAGGACTTGGAGGAAGGGAAGTAGAAACCCACTCGCCTCCTCAGGACCCTGCCTGGCTACATGAAACCCCCATTAATCACCTCTGACGCCCGGGCTTGGTCTGTGAAGGAACGTGGGCCGTATGGCAGTGATGGGAGGAGGCTGAGATAGTGCTGAAGATGCACAGCCTCTGTGTTCCATTTAGAACCGCTGAAGCTCCCCAGGTGCACCAGGAGCCTTCCCAAGACCTGGATCCGCTGCAAGGTGATAGCCGTGGCTTGGTTGTCTGTGGGTGGAGCCGAGGAAGGCAGAGGTGTGCGTGTGTGTCTCTGTGTGTGTCATCTCTGTGTGTGTCTGTGTGTGTCTCTGTCTGTGCATCTCTCGTATGTGCCTGTGTCTCTATGTAATGTGTTTGTGTGTACATTTCTGTGTGTCTGTGTGTCTTTGTAATGTGTGTGTGTGCCTATGTATGTCTCTGTGTTTGTGTGTTTGTGTGTCTATGTCTGTGTTTGGGCAAGACTGTGTTCCACCCCCTTCCCCAGGCTTGGGACAAGCTCACATTCCACAGGTCCTAGAGGAAATGTTTTTGCTGTCCAGGGCTTTGGGACAATGGGCTTGCTATGTTTTAAATTTTGGGCCCCAGGAAGAGAGTTGCCCCTGTGTTAGGATGGCTGTGGCTCAGTCACATACTCCCCCATTTCTCTTAGCCGGCCCCAGTGTGTGTCCTGGGGGCGTAGTCACTGCCCTTCCAAGCCTGGAGAATGACTGCATCGTCCACCGTGATGAAGTACAGGCTTTGCCAGGGCTTAGCAGGGGGAATTGGAAGGCCTTAAAAGGAACATTTAGAAATCAGGAGTCAAACGTGACTTGGACATTAAAACTTGATTTTGCATCCAGCTCATGATAAGCATATAGCAGCATATACACAAATACATACAAAGCAGTGTGTATGTGGCAATCATTTGGTGCCTCACTCACCTCCAAGGCTTGTTAGGGGTGCCATGATTTGAACCATCTCACCTCTGCATTTTTGCTGGTGTCTCCCTCTTCTCAGAATGCTAGTCCTTTGTATAACCCTTTCCACTGGCTGGGGCCACAGACCTTACAGGACTAAGAGGCCATCTGACCCCCTTTCAATGAGTAGGGTGCTCCTCTTTGTGTAGGATCACACCGCAGTTTTAGCCTGTCTGAACTCTTGTTATAATTCTTTGCTCCCCTATGTTCCTGGAGGGCAGAGACCAAGCCTTGCTCCTTGTACTACCTCCAAGGGTATGTGAGCCTGCCATGTGTATGCAGCTAGCATCTGAATGGATGAATGAATGAACAAATGCACCCTTTCTCACCTCCCCACGAACACTGCACTTTCCCCACATCTGTCAGTGAGGAATGAACTAAGTGAGATGTACCAGCACCCATGGTTGCCTGTCTTCCCGATCATACGGTTTACATTTGCAGTTCAGCATCCAGTGCTGTGTGCTAGGTACATCCACAGCATCACAGTTTCATTTCATGCTGCTGACAACTGTTTAAACTTATCCTTTCTGGAGGGAGATGGGGAAAGGAAATTAGGCTCCACATTTGTACCAGTAAAAAGCTTCAAGAGAGATCCTGAGTGCAGCGGGCTGAGGATCACAGAAGTTGGCAGGCTCTAGGCCTGATGCTCATAGGGTGGTATCCCAGGGCTTCCTCTGACCCAGTCAGTAGGAACACCGCTCCAGGACCAGAGAATCCTAGAGGACAGGAGCCCAGGACCCGTGGGGGCCAGTCTCATAGCTCCTGCCTTTGGGATTTGTGGGAGGGTTTGCCTTATGGGATTCCATTCTCTGAGCTCCATCCATGTGGCCAGGCCCTATGCCCTTTTTGCCTGACTCATGCCTGAGCTTGGACACTAAACCAGACCTGCCCAGTGATGTCCCTGGCCAGCTTCTACAGGAGGACACATCCCCACATTGGGAGCAGGTCCCAGACTCAGGTCTTGCCCTTTCTCTGTCCCCACCAGCTCCAAGGGGCTGTGCACTTGGTAGGCTGTTGGAGTATCACACCAGATTCCAGAAGAGGGGCCAGGAGCGGGAGGATTATGCCCTGGGGCCATTCTCACCGGACTGTTGGAAACAGTCTTTGGTACCTGCTGAGAGAGCCAGTGCCAGCTGGGAAATCTGTGAGGTCTCCCTGAGGAAGCTTGTCCTAGAAACTGCAGTGAGGTGACTGTGCGGCAGGCCCACTCTCAACTCGAGGGGAGCCCCTCCTGCCTGCTGCAGGAGTGGGAGCGTGGGGCTAGCTGCCAGTGGGATGGCCCCAGCCGGAGGAGCTGGGCAGTGCAGCGAGGCGCCAGCTGTGCCTGACTCCTGAGGCCTTCTGCTCACCGGAAGGGGGGCAGGTCTGCAGCCCCTCCCCCACTGCAGGGCCAGGACAGGCCGTCCTGAGTGCTGGCCCTGAGGATCTAGACCCTTTGGATCCTATGTGCGGGGGACTTCCCAAGAGCTCCCGGCCCACGACTGAGTCACGCGGCTTCTTAGCAACTTAGTCAATCCAAACGTGGAGGTGATTGGCATATGTAAGAACCCCCTTTCCCGTTGGCGTGTATGGTGTCTTCTCGCTGAGCCACAGCACCTGGTTTAGGGCTACAAATAGTCTCCCCGAGGGAATGGGCTCATACGCCGGGTGGGCAAGGATTTCAAGTCGTCGGCACAAGAAGAGACACTATATTAAGGCCTGGTTATGTTTAGAAGCCGTCCAGAGAATGTTTGGCATGCTGAATATAAACTCATGCTTCCGTCTGCTGCCACACTTTAAGATTTCTCCCAGAGGGACCCAGAGTGTGGGGCGCCCTGGAGAAGGAGCTGGGAATGTCTCGGGGGAAAGGTTCCTTCCTCGGGAACTGGGTGGCATGGGAGAGTAGCTTCAAGCTTGCTCATGGCTGGACTTCCCAGACACAGGGTGGGGCTGTTGGATGTTACCCGTCATGTCAGCATTCAGAGCCCGGCAGGAAAAAGCCTCCTTCAAAGTGAACCCAATTCCTAAAGTCCTCCTTAATGGAATTCCTCTTAGAGGCAGGCATCGACTGGCTAACTGGTATGATACTTTGGAGTTCAGTTAGCCCAGAATGGTGAAGAAAATGGCTGTCACCCAAAACACACTGAATTGAAGGACGGTGGTGCCAGAAAAGACTGTGGGTTATCTTATCCAGCCCCTTCATCTATAACATGGGGAAACTGAGGCCTAATAGAGGATGGTGACCTGCTCTACTGATGGCATTCAGCACTACACCAAGGTCACGGGAGGGGTCTGCTCTAATAGCATGTTCCCATGGACTGGAAAACGTCAGAAGGGTAGAATACAATACAAACACCGTTAGGACTGAGATGTGGCCAGCATGAAGTCCCATGGTCCTGTGTGAGTGGAACCTTGGTGTGGAAAGTGGCCCCTGGCAGCGTTGGGACATAGAGCAGTTTGGGTGGGGTTCTAACTGGGTATGGAATTTCAACAGACTCGCAGGGAGATTCTCTAGTACTGTCTCAATTGGAATCATCGTTTTTTTTAAAGTTAAGAAGAAAAATGGAAGGGCTCAGGTGAAATAAACATTTTACAAGCAGATGCTTGCCTCTGCCAGCCTGGGGGCATTTTGAGTAGGGGCGCAGCATGCAAAGCAGAGAAGAGCTCCCACGTCTGCCCCCTGCCCTCCTCCCCTCTGGAATTTTAGCCCCTGCTTGGCATTGCCATGGGTGTGAAAGGTGGTGTCTGGACTCAGGAGGAAGGTACTGCAGAGGGTAGGAAGAGCTCTGCAGTGGTCCCACGGATCTGGCTTTAAACCAGGAGCTCTTGCGAGTCTGGAGCTACGTGAGTTCTCTGAGCCTCTGTTTCTTCATCTGCAGAATGGGGATAGGATGGTTGTATGG